>NC_000005.10:166670414-166973445 GCF_000001405.40 Homo sapiens | reverse complement strand
GTGTTTAGACCTGAGTCCAATCCTTAAGATAACTAATTATGTATATGAAAATATTCCAAAAATCTGAAAAAGTCCGAACTCTGAAACACTTCTGGTCCCAAGCATATTGGATGGGCAATACTCAACCTGTGTCTGAATTTTAAATTCCAAAAACGCTTCTTCTTCTTTTTTTCTTTTTCTTTTTTTTTGAGACAGAATCTCGCTCTGTGGCCCAGGCTGGAGTACAGTGGCGCGATCTCCACTCGCTGCAAGCTCCGCCTCCTGGGTTCACGCCATTCTCCTGCCTCAGCCTCCCGAGTAGCTGGGACTACAGGTGCCCGCCACCACACCTGGCTACTTTTTTGTATTTTTTAGTAGAGACGGGGTTTCACTGTGTTAGCCAGGATGGTCTCAATCTCCTGACCTCGTGATCTGCCTGCCTCGGCCTCCCAGAGTGCTGGGATTACAGGTGTGAGCCAATGTGCCCGGCCTCCAAAAACCCTTTACATAATTGCTCAGAGCCCATAAGGAATGAGAAGACAAGAGGTAAACTGCTATTTCTAGGAAATTAATAATAGTAAGAAGTAGAATCTGATAACCAGAAGATGAAGAAGATAAAATTTAAATTTCCCATAAAAAATTTGAAGGCTTGGAGGAGCCAAGATGGCCGAATAGGAACAGCTCCGGTCTACAGCTCCCAGCGTGAGCGACGCAGAAGACAGGTGATTTCTGCATTTCCATCTGAGGTACCGGGTTCATCTCACTAGGGAGTGCCAGACAGTGGGCGCAGGCCAGTGTGTGTGCGCACCGTGCGCGAGCCGAAGCAGGGCGAGGCATTGCCTCACCTGGGAAGCGCAAGGGGTCAGGGAGTTCCCTTTCCGAGTCAAAGAAAGGGGTGACGGACGCACCTGGAAAATCGGGTCACTCCCACCCGAATATTGCGCTTTTCAGACCGGCTTAAGAAACGGCGCACCACGAGACTATATCCCACACCTGGCTCAGAGGGTCCTACGCCCACGGAATCTCGCTGATTGCTAGCACAGCAGTCTGAGATCAAACTGCAAGGCGGCAACGAGGCTGGGGGAGGGGCGCCCGCCATTGCCCAGGCTTGCTTAGGTAAACAAAGCAGCCGGGAAGCTCGAACTGGGTGGAGCCCACCACAGCTCAAGGAGGCCTGCCTGCCTCTGTAGGCTCCACCTCTGGGGGCAGGGCACAGACAAACAAAAAGACAGCAGTAACCTCTGCAGACTTAAGTGTCCCTGTCTGACAGCTTTGAAGAGAGCAGTGGTTCTCCCAGCACGCAGCTGGAGATCTGAGAACGGGCAGACTGCCTCCTCAAGTGGGTCCCTGACCCCTGACCCCTAACCCCCGAGCAGCCTAACTGGGAGGCACCCCCCAGCAGGGGCACACTGACACCTCACACGGCAGGGTATTCCAACAGACCTGCAGCTGAGGGTCCTGTCTGTTAGAAGGAAAACTAACAACCAGAAAGGACATCTACACCGAAAACCCATCTGTACATCACCATCATCAAAGACCAAAAGTAGATAAAACCACAAAGATGGGGAAAAAACAGAACAGAAAAACTGGAAACTCTAAAACGCAGAGCGCCTCTCCTCCTCCAAAGGAACGCAGTTCCTCACCAGCAACAGAACAAAGCTGGATGGAGAATGATTTTGACGAGCTGAGAGAAGAAGGCTTCAGACGATCAAATTACTCTGAGCTACGGGAGGACATTCAAACCAAAGGCAAAGAAGTTGAAAACTTTGAAAAAAATTTAGAAGAATGTATAACTAGAATAACCAATACAGAGAAGTGCTTAAAGGAGCTGATGGAGCTGAAAACCAAGGCTCGAGAACTACGTGAAGAATGCAGAAGCCTCAGGAGCCGATGCGATCAACTGGAAGAAAGGGTATCAGCAATGGAAGATGAAATGAATGAAATGAAGCGAGAAGGGAAGTTTAGAGAAAAAAGAATAAAAAGAAATGAGCAAAGCCTCCAAGAAATATGGGACTATGTGAAAAGACCAAATCTACGTCTGATTGGTGTACCTGAAAGTGATGTGGAGAATGGAACCAAGTTGGAAAACACTCTGCAGGATATTATCCAGGAGAACTTCCCCAATCTAGCAAGGCAGGCCAACGTTCAGATTCAGGAAATACAGAGAACTCCACAAAGATACTCCTCGAGAAGAGCAACTCCAAGACACATAATTGTCAGATTCACCAAAGTTGAAATGAAGGAAAAAATGTTAAGGGCAGCCAGAGAGAAAGGTCGGGTTACCCTCAAAGGAAAGCCCATCAGACTAACAGCGGATCTCTCGGCAGAAACCCTACAAGCCAGAAGAGAGTGGGGGCCAATATTCAACATTCTTAAAGAAAAGAATTTTCAACCCAGAATTTCATATCCAGCCAAACTAAGCTTCATAAGTGAAGGAGAAATAAAATACTTTATAGACAAGCAAATGCTGAGAGATTTTGTCACCACCAGGCCTGCCCTAAAAGAGCTCCTGAAGGAAGCCCTAAACATGGAAAGGAACAACTGGTACCAGCCGCTGCAAAATCATGCCAAAATGTAAAGACCATCGAGACTAGGAAGAAACTGCATCAACTAATGAGCAAAATCACCAGCTAACATCATAATGACAGGATCAAATTCACACATAACAATATTAACTTTAAATATAAATGGACTAAATTCTGCAATTAAAAGACACAGACTGGCAAGTTGGATAAAGAGTCAAGACCCATCAGTGTGCTGTATTCAGGAAACCCATCTCACGTGCAGAGACACACATAGGCTCAAAATAAAAGGATGGAGGAAGATCTACCAAGCCAATGGAAAACAAAAAAAGGCAGGGGTTGCAATCCTAGTCTCTGATAAAACAGACTTTAAACCAACAAAGATCAAAAGAGACAAAGAAGGCCATTACATAATGGTAAAGGGATCAATTCAACAAGAGGAGCTAACTATCCTAAATATTTATGCACCCAATACAGGAGCACTCAGATTCATAAAGCAAGTCCTGAGTGACCTACAAAGAGACTTAGACTCCCACACATTAATAATGGGAGACTTTAACACCCCACTGTCAACATTAGACAGATCAACGAGACAGAAAGTCAACAAGGATACCCAGGAATTGAACTCAGCTCTGCACCAAGCAGACCTAATAGACATCTACAGAACTCTCCACCCCAAATCAACAGAATATACATTTTTTTCAGCACCACACCACACCTATTCCAAAATTGACCACATAGTTGGAAGTAAAGCTCTCCTCAGCAAATGTAAAAGAACAGAAATTATAACAAACTATCTCTCAGACCACAGTGCAATCAAACTAGAACTCAGGATTAAGAATCTCACTCAAAGCCGCTCAACTACATGGAAACTGAACAACCTGCTCCTGAATGACTACTGGGTACATAACGAAATGAAGGCAGAAATAAAGATGTTCTTTGAAACCAACGAGAACAAAGACACCACATACCAGAATCTCTGGGACGCATTCAAAGCAGTGTGTAGAGGGAAATTTATAGCACTAAATGCCTACAAGAGAAAGCAGGAAAGATCCAAAATTGACACCCTAACATCACAATTAAAAGAACTAGAAAAGCAAGAGCAAACACATTCAAAAGCTAGCAGAAGGCAAGAAATAACTAAAATCAGAGCAGAACTGAAGGAAATAGAGACACAAAAAACCCTTCAAAAAATCAATGAATCCAGGAGCTGGTTTTTTGAAAGGATCAACAAAATTGATAGACCGCTAGCAAGACTAATAAAGAAAAAAAGAGAGAAGAATCAAATAGACACAATAAAAAATGATAAAGGGGATATCACCACCGATCCCACAGAAATACAAACTACCATCAGAGAATACTACAAACACCTCTACGCAAATAAACTAGAAAATCTAGAAGAAATGGATACATTCCTCGACACATACACTCTCCCAAGACTAAACCAGGAAGAAGTTGAATCTCTGAATAGACCAATAACAGGCTCTGAAATTGTGGCAATAATCAATAGTTTACCAACCAAAAAGAGTCCAGGACCAGATGGATTCACAGCCGAATTCTACCAGAGGTACAAGGAGGAACTGGTACCATTCCTTCTGAAACTATTCCAATCAATAGAAAAAGAGGGAATCCTCCCTAACTCATTTTATGAGGCCAGCATCATTCTGATACCAAAGCCGGGCAGAGACACAACCAAAAAAGAGAATTTTAGACCAATATCCTTGATGAACATTGATGCAAAAATCCTCAATAAAATACTGGCAAACCGAATCCAGCAGCACATCAAAAAGCTTATCCACCATGATCAAGTGGGCTTCATCCCTGGGATGCAAGGCTGGTTCAATATACGCAAATCAATAAATGTAATCCAGCATATAAACAGAGCCAAAGACAAAAACCACATGATTATCTCAATAGATGCAGAAAAAGCCTTTGACAAAATTCAACAACCCTTCATGCTAAAAACTCTCAATAAATTAGGTATTGATGGGACGTATTTCAAAATAATAAGAGCTATCTATGACAAACCCACAGCCAATATCATTCTGAATGGGCAAAAACTGGAAGCATTCCCTTTGAAAACTGGCACAAGACAGGGATGCCCTCTCTCACCGCTCCTATTCAACATAGTGTTGGAAGTTCTGGCCAGGGCAATCAGGCAGGAGAAGGAAATAAAGGGTATTCAATTAGGAAAAGAGGAAGTCAAATTGTCCCTGTTTGCAGACGACATGATTGTTTATCTAGAAAACCCCATCGTCTCAGCCCAAAATCTCCTTAAGCTGATAAGCAACTTCAGCAGTCTCAGGATACAAAATCAATGTACAAAAATCACAAGCATTCTTATACACCAACAACAGACAAACAGAGAGCCAAATCATGAGTGAACTCCCATTCACAATTGCTTCAAAGAGAATAAAATACCTAGGAATCCAACTTACAAGGGATGTGAAGGACCTCTTCAAGGAGAACTACAAACCACTGCTCAAGGAAATAAAAGAGGACACAAACAAATGGAAGAACATTCCATGCTCATGGGTAGGAAGAATCAATATCGTGAAAATGGCCATACTGCCCAAGGTAATTTACAGATTCAATGCCATCCCCATCAAGCTACCAATGACTTTCTTCACAGAATTGGAAAAAACTACTTTAAAGTTCATATGGAACCAAAAAAGAGCCCGCATCGCCAAGTCAATCCTAAGCCAAAAGAACAAAGCTGGAGGCATCACACTACCTGACTTCAAACTATACTACATGGCTACAGTAACCAAAACAGCATGGTACTGGTACCAAAACAGAGATATAGATCAATGGAACAGAACAGAGCTCTCAGAAATAATGCCACATATCTACAACTATCTGATCTTTGACAAACCTGAGAAAAACAAGCAATGGGGAAAGGATTCCCTATTTAATAAATGGTGCTGGGAAAACTGGCTAGCCATATGTAGAAAGCTGAAACTGGATCCCTTCCTTACACCTTATACAAAAATCAATTCAAGATGGATTAAAGATTTAAACGTTAGACCTAAAACCATAAAAACCCTAGAAGAAAACCTAGGCATTACCATTCAGGACATAGGCGTGGGCAAGGACTTCATGTCCAAAACACCAAAAGCAATGGCAACAAAAGCCAAAATTGACAAATGGGATCTAATTAAACTAAAGAGCTTCTGCACAGCAAAAGAAACTACCATCAGAGTGAACAGGCAACCTACAACATGGGAGAAAATTTTCGCAACCTACTCATCTGACAAAGGGCTAATATCCAGAATCTACAATGAACTCAAACAAATTTACAAGAAAAAAACAAACAACCCCATCAAAAAGTGGGCGAAGGACATGAACAGACACTTCTCAAAAGAAGACATTTATGCAGCCAAAAAACACATGAAGAAATGCTCATCATCACTGGCCATCAGAGAAATGCAAATCAAAACCACTATGAGATATCATCTCACACCAGTTAGAATGGCAATCATTAAAAAGTCAGGAAACAACAGGTGCTGGAGAGGATGTGGAGAAATAGGAACACTTTTACACTGTTGGTGGGACTGTAAACTAGTTCAACCATTGTGGAAGTCAGTGTGGCGATTCCTCAGGGATCTAGAACTAGGAATACCATTTGACCCAGCCATCCCATTACTGGGTATATACCCAAAGGACTATAAATCATGCTGCTATAAAGACACATGCACACGTATGTTTATTGCGGCACTATTCACAATAGCAAAGACTTGGAACCAACCCAAATGTCCAACAATGATAGACTGGATTAAGAAAATGTGGCACATATACACAATGGAATACTATGCAGCCATAAAAAATGATGAGTTCATGTCCTTTGTAGGGACATGGATGAAATTGGAAACCATCATTCTCAGTAAACTATCGCAAGAACAAAAAACCAAACACCGCATATTCTCACTCATAGGTGGGAATTGAACAATGAGATCACTTGGACACAGGAAGGGGAATATCACACTCTGGGGACTGTGGTGGGGTCGGGGGAGGGGGGAGGGATAGCATTGGGAGATATACCTAATGCTAGATGACACGTTAGTGGGTGCAGCGCACCAGCATGCCACATGTATACATATGTAACTAACCTGCACAATGTGCACATGTACCCTAAAACTTAGAGTATAATAAAAAAAAAAAAATTAAAAAAAAAAAAAAAAAAATTTGAAGGCTTAATTTAATGTGTAGGTAAGGCTTCCAATACTGCATTTCAATAGCACTTCTGGATGTCTTCAAATTACAATATGGTAGGACAGCAATGATGTTAATGATATTTACGTTGAATCCATTCTTCAATTGCAGTGTAATGTCAAAAATTAAAGCCTGGATTCCTCAGTCTATCACATAAGGCTCTTCATATTGTGACCCAGGAGTGGGATGTGCTTTTCCTCACATAAACCAATGCGCTCCAACACACTGGATCAGCAGTGACTGCGTGGATAGGTATTTGGAGGCCATATCTACACAAGCAACATTGTTCTGAGTGATGAGATTGATTCGTTGATGGCTGCTGCTGGTAGGGACCTAGTATAGTGCTGCAAATGCCATGCATTTCCCCAATATAGGGCCAATCCACATTTCCTAGATCATGTCTTCTATCCTTTTCCCTACATAGGCCCTAGTTAAATGATTCTCATAAACTATAATTTCCTTTGTCCATGGTTTTCCCCTCTTATTTCGCCTCCATCTGGAACATCACCCAATCCCCATCAGTTCCACAAGAAAGATCCTCTTTCAATATCCCACTCAGGCATCATCTACTCCAAAAAGGCTTCCCTGAATTCCCCAGCCAAAAATCCTCTCCCCTTCTTCTGATGGTGCTTCTTTGTCGGTGTTCATCATGTCTCCTTTATATTAAAGTTATTTATGTTCTTGCCTTCTCTGTGCAGCTGGACAACAAACCCCTTGAATGCAATAACCCTGTGTAGCTCATCTTTGAATCCATCACTGTGATTCACACAAAGACTTGCACTGAATAAAGTATATGATATAGGAATATATAAATAAATGAATGGCGGGTACTCAATATTTGTTGAATTAATGAACATAAGATTATTATTACTACTCGCCTGCAATGTCACAAAGAGATTAAGTTATGCTTTGTAGGCCAGAGAATAGGGCTGATGCTTTGGTGGCTCTATGAGTAGCTAGGCTCTAGGGAGATGGTGACAAAACACCAGCTCTAGAGCAGCTCAGAAGGCAGTAGAAGAGTCAGGAAAGTAGATGCTCATATGTAATAGGTGAAGCTGATAACGTGAGACTCAACAGGAATTTTTTTGTCTTGAAATTGCTGGCAGGTTAATAAAAAGCTGATGAGCACCCTGGATTAGAAAATGTTATATAATATTTTGATGCACTTACTGTCAAGGGGCTCAGTCCTAAAATAACCTTTTCCATTTGTTAATGCGTGTGCATGTGTGCATGTATGCACACGTGCATTTTCACATGCTCATGCTTGCTTGGATGAATAGAGTGAAAGGAGCATGCAGAGATTCCACACGATCTCCTGAAATGTCTCCAAAAAAAAAGAGAAAGAAAAAAAAAAGAAACTGATGATTCCCTTTAGATGAAAGAGAAAACATCCCTGAATAAATAATACCTTTCAAGAGGCTTAATACGTTGTCAAGAGCATTTTCACTGATTGGTAGAAATTCTTTTTGATTAATTAATCAGTTAATGTTTTCAAAGCATTTTCAAGATGAAAAACATTTTGCGAGGGCTATATAATTGTTATTTTTCCTACGCGCCCTGGCTTTCCACATTACTAGGTTTGTTTTTCTCTCCTGTTGCTCACCAAGCCACGTATCCTCACAGACGCATGGTAGGGAATACTCTTAGAGAATAGAGACAGAGAGATGGGTTACTAATGAGCAGGCAATAAGAAAAAAATAACTCTGAAGATACACTTTAAAATTATATTTGAAATATAACCATACAAGAAGATGGAGAGGAGCATCATGCTAAAAACTAGTCATATCCTCTACCAGGAAAATTCCTTTTACTCCCTTGCAAAAAACCCCACGTGCCTTGCATGTTCCTGGACTAATACCTATAGTTTAAGGAATAACAATGACTATCTTTTACGAAGTGCTTACTATATCATTATTATTATTATTGGCTAGTACTTGGCATATATTAATAAAATTTTTCCTCAAAGCAACAGTTTGAGATATCGTTATTATAAACATTTCACACTTGTAGAAAATGAGGACTACGGAAGCTAAGTTACTCACCCAAGGCCATTACATCTTGGCAGTGACACACCCCAGACCGTGATGTTGGGAGGAAGGAAAGGAGGAAAGCAGAATGAGAGGGAAAAAGAGGGAAGTAAGAGGGAGCGATGGAAAGCAGAAAGAAGGGGAGAGGGAGATGGACCAAAGATTCTCATGTTTAAAGAGTGTTAGAAATTCTGACTATAATCTACCCCTACAGTATCTGATGAACACTAATAGACTAATAAATAGAAAATAAATGAGGCCAACATGTCTTATGGGTGAAACTAATTCACATGGCAAAGGTGATGTAGCTTCATTTCCAAAGTGAAGATCTATATTCAATACAGCCTCTTCCGACATTCTGCCCACATACCCAGGCCCCTAAAATCTTCATTATCATCAAATGCCATGGCACCAGGGGGAGAATGAAGTCCAGGATCAAGGGTCTCTGATCTCCCTTTGGTTTAAAGCAACTGTATAGTATCTTTTTTTTTTTAAAAAAAAAAAAAAGCTTCATGATAGAGTGAAAAGAACAAGGGCTTCAGATGACAGCTTTGTATCACCTCAGCCCCTTACTTGCTGTGTGACCTTGGTCCTCATTACTTAACATCTCTGAATCTCAATCATCCTATTTACAAAATGGGGACAAAAAAGCTCCTCTGCTAGATTGTTGTGACAGTTATTTAATCGTGAAAATACATGGAAAGCAACTAGCAATGCCCAGAATATAGCAGGTGCTTCATTTTTTTTTAATAATTCCAACAGTCTGTTCCCCGCCCCCCCCCCCCGCCCCCCCGCCTTTCTCTTCTCTCTCTCTTTCTCTCTCTCTCTCTCTCTCTCTCTGTCTCAAGCTCATGTGGCCTGGCCTGTTGAAGAACATGCCAAGAAATTCCCAAGCAACAGGCTCCAGAGTGCAAAAAATGGTGGATTGAGCAAAGTAATGCCACTGAAACCCACTGTTCGGTTTAACTGTGCCTCTCCCCACTGCAGACATTATTAGACCATCCATGTGATGGACAAGATGTGTAATCTCTGAAATGAGTGAGCTAATAAGAATCTCAGAACATTGAGGCCAAGTGTTTGGCACAAGGACAAAAGCGAAAAGTAAGACAGGTGTGCAGAATGTATAGGCCTTCTCGGCTGCAGGTTTCTCACTTAAGGGGGAGTAATTAACAAAGCTCTTTTCAGATATGAGATGTAAAGATGCTAAATCAATGGAGGAAAGTAGCAGAGCAAATCCCGCGGTCTCCATCCACTAGCTAGGTGACCCCAAGCAGGTTACATTACTTTTTCAGCTTCAGTTTTTCTCATCAGAGAAATGATTCCTAAGCTAACCCATTGAAAGGACTTAGGAGAGTGCCCGAGTGTTAGCAGTGGCTTTGGAGGTGATGTAGAGGGAGCACTCTCCTGGAGAAAAGATGGGGCTTAAAATAAGCTATTCCTGCTGAGTGGGGCTGCCAAAGGGGAATGAAGGAGCAAAGGAAGGGCAGCAGTATCGAGAAGGATCTTTTGGACCGTGTACAGCTCTGCCAAGGAGCAGCAAAAAGGTTGTGATGCGGCTCTCATTTGTATGTGTTTTCCAGAGGCCTCCAGAACCTTCGAGGCTGTGTTCCCCTCACCCACTCCGCATTCTGACAGGCACAGGAGACCTTGAGCTCGCTTAAATAGGAAGATATTGAATGGGTTGGAATTCGACTTCCTATTTTTCTTTCTTTGTTCTTCCCCAAAGCCTTTGAACAGTTCACAGCCATCAACAAGCATCCTCAGAGAAGTAACAGGTTAGGGCAGGTTAGTGCTCTGCCCAGAAACCTGTGAGGAGGCGAGTTATAATAAGAACGCTGTACTCGCTGCATCTTCCCGACCTTCTGTCTCTGGTAAAAGAGTCGACCTCCGCGGCAGGGCTTCCAGAAGCACTCGCGAGTGCCCTGTGATATGTCACACCGACTTGGAGGAGCAGAATGCCCTTCATAGTGAAATGAAGTTGGAGAAATCAGAGCGCAGAGTATTTTTGGTTCTGAGATTAAAAGGCCTGTGTCCTTTCCTGCCAGCCAAGATTCCACCCCACCCCCCATCCCCAACCAGGAACACTTCAAAGATATTCTAATAGGAAAGGTTGCCAAATAATTGTCAGAGAGGATTAGTATTATCAGTGACCAAACTGTGAGTCTTTGGTCTTCTGGCAAGCCAAGTGGAAAGCAGAGCCAGCTCCAAAAAGCAGTTTCTATGGAGAGCAGAGAAGTAGCCCTAATTCCGGGGTAAGGGACTTAGGCAGCATTTAGCACCCCATATGAGCAGACCACTTATTCCTAGAACAGATCAGCTATAGGGCACATTGCCCTCACTTCTATTCGATGATAAACACCAAACATGCAAAGTAAAGGCAAGCAATGCACAAAGTAGCCATTAAGAGATTTAGATTAGGATAGGTAATTATCCCGCTCCTACCCCCAACCTCATTCCAAATGGGTTCCAAACCTTTACAGACAGCTCTAACAGCCCAGAGCACAGCCATGGTCACTGGGAGGAAAAAAGAGAAGAAGGGAACTAGAGGCAATAATATCTCACTTGACATTTCAGCTGGAGAGAAGGTAGCGAAGAGGAAGCAAGATAGTGGTTCTAGCAAGTTATTATGTCATTCCACTCCCGGAATGTTAACACAGATAGAGAATGCAATACAAGTTGATTTGATAGCCTAGCTGGAGGAGAAAAGCTGAGAAAGTGAGAGACGACTGGAAGATTCTTGTTGGGAATATTTCCTTATCAAGGATCCCCTTTATGAGCCATGTTTCTCCTTAAGACAAAAATTGTATCCATGTGTTTCTTTCTTTAAATCGTTTTATCTTACAGATTTCATCATGTCATGGCTCCCTCTTGCCTGTAAGATTAGCTTCAAAGGGCATGTCTTCATGTCTTGACCTTTGTCATGTATTTTAAACCTACCATCAAGTATCGTCTAACCCCACTTTTCAATTATGAACCCTACGTTTTGATCACACAGATTCACGATTGTTTTGTAAATGCATCATTATCTGTGTACAGCATGGTTTGTTTCTTTCTTTTGCAATGATCTTCCTTTCTTCTCCACGTTTGGTAAACTATTTCTTTTTTCAAAGCTAATGTTAATAGAATAACATTATTCTGAAATCTTCCCAGATTCCTCCTGGAAGAAATCAGAATTCTGTCTTCTGTGATTCATCTTATATTATAGAAGCTTCATCTTAATGATATTTGAAATTTTTGATATGATACTTATTGTGCTAATATATTGCTAAAATACTGAATCATTTGTGGGCTTGGAGTCTTGTCTTATTTTTATGGCAAATGGCTGCCTACAATAGGCAACCCATTATTATTATTTTTTCCCAAATGAAAATAAGATGGGTATTCAGAGTCTGAATATCAATCAGTTCATCTCACCTATTTTATAATAGTTACAATGATTGAGATCATGTGATCACAACTAAAGCACACACCACCATCTGGTGGCAACATATATAAATTGCAGTATCAAGTTTTAAGATACGGGTAAACTTTATGAAATTTCTCCCTGCTAGTGTGAATTTTAAAATAGTGACTAGGCTGGGCGCGGTGGCTAACGCCTGTAATCCCAACACTTTGGGAGGCCGAGGTGGGCAGATTACCTGAGGTCAGGAGTTCAAGACCAGCTTGACCAACATAGTGAAACCCTGTCTCTACTAAAAATACAAAATTAGCTGGGCGTGGTGGTGGGCACCTGTAATCCCAGCTACTCAGGAGGCTGAGGCAGGAGAATATCTTGAAACCAAGAGGCGGAGGTTGCAGTAAGCTGAGATTGCCCCATTGCTTTCCAGCCTGGACAACAAAAGCGAAACAGTCTCAAAAAAAAAAAAAAAAAAAAAAAAAGCATAGTGACTACACTAAGAGTTACCATTTTATGATCATTTTGGTAACAGATTCTTGTATTGATGATTAGCAGATAACTTCATAGACACTTTTAATGCATTGGATTATTCACCTACTCCAGTTATTTTCAATTTTAAAATTCTATTCATATGCTTTAAATGCAGTTTATTTCATGTAAATCTTATAAATTTGATATTTTAAAAGTCTATTTGCAATACAATATCTTTTCATATACAGTCCGTGCATGTGCTTTTGTTCCTGTAACAAATGAACCTACTATATGCAACATAATGCCTTAGACACTGCATTATGAAAAGTTTTCTCTTGGATTAAAAGAATATAATGTCAATACATGTGCCCAGCACTTGACCAACCAGACATCTCCTTAAGTTAGCACATTTTTAAGCATAAAATGGTTGCTGACACTTATAACAGTGGTCCTTAGGCACTGTCATTGCTATTGATCTGAAAGGACCGTCAAAGAAAAAATTATATTTTGTGTAGTTTCAGGATTAAGAATGTGTAGTTGATATAACATATAAGAATATCATTTCCCAAGAATTAATAGTAATCTTTCTCAACCAGAATATTGTATCAAATGCAACACCCTAGACCATGACCACATAGAAAATTTATGGTATGATAGTTATCATATTGCTGCTAGACAAACATGAATGTCTTCTTCTACTATTACAACTCTCTTTATGTTCCTCTCTACAGTCTTCCAGTATTGAGGGGAAAGTATACTATGGATAAAATAACAAAGCTGCTGTATGTACACTGGCTGCCACTCAGAGTAAGATGCAGCCTGTGTCTCTATTCATATACAGAACGTAACTCCAATGTCAGGCTGCTAGAAGAGATAAGAATCCCTGAAAGTAAAACAATGTGTTTTGAAGATAAGAACTTGCTTCCTGAATTGCACCCAAGTCTGAGAGTTTCACTCTATATTTGTGAATTTAGAATTCATGTGGAGGCCTCTGTAAGAACCTCCATACCTCTGGTCTCTCCTTCCCCTAATCTGGTCTACAAATGGTCACCAGATGATCATGTTAAGCCATCTCTGTACACATCACTTTTACTTAGGAGCTCTTAGACTTCCAACTTTCCACAAAACAAAATCCTAACTGCTTATTATAGTGATCAAGGCACCTGATGACTTGATCTCCACTGTGTGGCACCTACCTCACTATGTGCTATGCTCTATATTCCATCTATTGCCATGGGTCCCCTTTGCCCATCACCAAATTGTCTGTCGTTTCTTATCTTGATATTTTCCCCTATGCCAGCGCTTCTCAAGCTATAATGCAAATGCAAATCACTTGAGAATGCAGATTTTGATTCAGGGGGTCTGGGACAGACAGCCTGAGATTGCACATTTCTAACCAATTCCATGGGATGTCAATGCTGCTGGTCGCAGGATCACAACTGGAGTGGAAGGGATCTATTCCAAATCTCAACCTGCCCATCCATCTCCATTCTCACCCCCTGACATTTCTGACTTTTGAAATAGTGACTTATTCTTGAAATATCAACTCTGACTCTCTCTCCTTTTTAACATTTTCCCTAGTACCTCTAGTTCAGTGTTTTTCAACTTGGATGCACATTAGAATTACCTGGGGAACTTTCAAAAATCCAGCTGCACAAGCGCATGCCAGGTCCGTTAAGTCAGAAACTCTAGGGTGGAGACCCAAGGCATCTGTATGTTTTTTAACTCCTCAGGTGATTTCAACCTGCAGCCAAGTCTGACAGCCAGTGCTTTTGGATGGAAGTGATTTGTTTTCAATACTTATAGCTATTTGTTTTTACCTGTGTTGAACTTGAACTTACTGTAAACTATTCTTGTCTTCATAAATACCTTGCTTTTCCTGCTAGCCTGCATGCATTTTGAGACTAGGATGTTTGCCATGTCTTGGCAGGTGGAATACCTTAGCACTTATTCAAGGGCTGTTGGGTCAGAGTCCCTGTGTTCGATTCCCAGATCTGCACATACAGCCTTGCCATGCACCATCTTGGTGTCCTTGGGCTTATAGTTTAAGCTCTCTATGCGTTAGTTTTCATCTCTATACGTTGGAAATAATAATGGCAGTTGCATCATCAGGTATTTTTAAAGAATAAGATAAGGCATATGAAACGCTAAGTGAGTACTGGCTCACAGTGTCTACTCAATAAACGCTAGCCATTATTATTATTAATTAGCCTTCTTTGTATGTCTCACATTGTACAACATAGCAGTAAGCAGTCAATAATCATTTGCTGGATGAATAAGTCAATAAATGATGGAGAATAAATCATATTTAATTGCTCTGAAATAAACCCAGAGCAGTCAGCCTTCTACTGAAAAATTCACGTTAATGAATGTTAACTGTTTTACAAGTGCTTGTAGGTACCTCTATGGCCATTAGCCTAGTGAATTCAAATCTGAGAAAAGATAGAGGTTCTCCTCACAATGGAAGAAATCTGACAAAAGATAATAATGACCAAGTCTCCACAAATGCTTTAAAGTTATTCTCAGTAGCATGTGCCCACTCAAATGTATTAAGCCTATTAACATAAATTTAAAAGGTTACATTGAACATATTATTTTCTGTAGGTCACCTTTACAACCCAACCCAAGCCAAGAACTTGCTGAATTTCATAATCCCAAAAATGTGTGAATATCTGTCCTTTAGGAATGAGCAGTGCTTTGCCTTCCATTGGAGGGACATTGTCTTGGCCACCACAAGTGTAAACAGCTCAGCTTTATAATGATTCTTATGTCAACAGAGCATTTCATTACCACTGAACAGTAAAGCAGGTAGGTGACTGAAGAGTGCGAGACATAATACATAATGTGATGGAGCGGGTGAAGTCTGCCTATTACCAGTGTGAACAGAGGCCTTTTGTTGGAATCCATCCTGGTGGAATGAATAGCCTCTGTTATGTTTATTGATTACACCCGAAGTACTGAGGTAGAGGTGGCTGGAGCTGCCCAGAAAAATAGTCAGATGCCATTGTGTGCCTTTCATTTTGGCAAGGCCAGATAATCAGTCAGAAATTCACTTTTAAACGCTAAACAAAATGTTCAATAGTCTTACATCTCACAAGAATAAAATCAAGCAGAAAAAGAAATGTCTTAAGTCACTTGTATTTGAGAACTTTTCACTAACTCTGTGGCTGCCATCCTAGCCCACAGTACCATTGACCTTTGCCTGAAGAGCTGCTACAAGGCCCCCTTGGCCCCACTTTCTTCCTACACAGTCAATATACTCTTAAAAATTCTATCTGATCATGGCACTGTCTCACTTACAGCCCTCCAATGACTTCCTATTATAGTTTGAATAAGATCCAGACTCCTTGGTGGTCTTACTAGTTCTCAAATGGTCCAGCCTTGCTTAATCGTTTGACCTCCTCCCAGGCTGTGTGGATCACCACAAGGCCCTGCGGGCTCTTCCTGCTCCTGACAACTTCAAACTGATTTCTCCTTATCAACTGACTTTTCCCTTTTACACTTTCCTGGAGTACCCTCCTTAGATTTTGCAGATCTTGTCCCTTATCCAGTCCTCCCCTCCATTACTATCCCATTACTCTCCTTTATTTTCTTCATAGAAGTTATCATCATCATCAAGTACTTTATAATTGTATTTGTTCATTTGTTAAGCATCCTTTTTTTTAAAACTGAAGTTTGTTCACCTTTAAAGATCTTTGGCCTCAGGTAGCACTGAACACAACATAAGGAGTGAACACTACATAGTTTTGTTTAAGTAAATGAATGAAATTAGCGGCTTACTTACCTTTACACAAACTATGTTTTTCACACACAACATGCATTAACATTAGTATTTTGACCCAAACCATAACCCTCTCCTCTTCAGAAATAAATAAATAAATATTACTTCAGGAAAAATTTCTGTACCTAAATGAGAATGATTTTCCTTTTGGTAGCACTATTATATATATATATATATATATATATACACATATATATATATTATGTTATTGGCATTGAAAAACACTAAGATTTGTTATCAACAAAAGCAAAAACAAAGAGACATCATGCCTAGTTCTCCTTTATTATTATATATTATTATATTTCCAAATGGAATCTTACAATACCTGGTTTTTTGTGAGTGGCTTTTGATTTTTTCATTTAGCGTAATGTTTCCAAGATTCATCTATGTTGTAGCACCACTGGTACTTCTTCATTTCTTTTTATTGCTAAATAATATTCCATTGATTGGTTATACAATGTTTTGTTGATCCATTCATCAGTTGATGCCCTTCTGGGTTGTTTACACTTCTTGACTAATGTGAATAATGTTGCTATGAACATTTCTGTGAAAGTTTTTGTGTAGATGTGTTGTCATCTATCTTGTATATAGACCTAGGAGAGAAATGGCTGGGTCATAGGGTAACTATAAGTTTAACTCTTTGAGGCAAGCTATTTTTTAAAGTGATTGCACTATTTCAGATTTCCACCGCCAGTGTACGAAGGTTCTAATTTCTCCACATCCTTATCAACATTTGTGCTTGTCTATCTTTTTTAGTATGTCCATCTCATGAGTGTGAGGTGAGACTTCATTGTGGCTTTGATTTTCATTTCCCTAATTAGTAATGTGGTATCTTTTAATGTGTTTCTTGGTTGTACATATTCTTTGGAGAAATGTCTATCCTGATCTCTTATCCATTCTTTAATTGGATTATTTTTCTTTTTATTATTGAATTTCTAGAGTTTTTTACATATTCTGAATATAAGTCATCAGATGAATGATTTTCAAATATTTCTCTCATTTTGTGGAGTTTTTTCTTTTTTACTTTCTTGCTGGTGTCCTTTGAAGCACAATTTAAAAAAAAAAAGTTTTGATGAGGTCTAATTTAATCGTTTGTTGTTATTTGTTATATCTAAGAAACCATTAACAACCCAGTCTCACAAAGATTTACTCTATATTTTCTTTTAGGATTTTTATAGTTTTAGCACTGACGTTTAGCCTACGATTAACTTTGAGTTAAATTTTGTGTATAGTATGAGGTACTGGTCCAACTTCATTCTTTTGCATGTGGACATCCAGTTGTCCTAGCACCATTAGTCAAAAAATACCTTTCTTTCCCCTGTTAAACTGTCTTGCCACCTGTACAGAAAATCACTTGGCCATGAGAATGTGAGTTTATTTCTTGAATCTTCTATTCTATTGATCTATGTGTCTATCCTCATGCCAGTTCCACATTGTTTTGAGTATTTCAAGCTTTGCAGTATAAATTTTGAAATCAGGAAGTGTGAATTTTTCAAATTTGTTCTTCTTTTACAAAATTATTTTGGCTATTCTGGGTCCCTTGCATTTCCAAAGGAATTTTTGGATCCAGTTGTGACATTCTGAAGAGAAAAAAAAAAAAAAGCAAGCTGGGATTTTGACAGGGATTGTGTTGAATCTGTAGATCAATTTGAGGAATATTGCATTCTTAACTATATTCATTCTTTTGATCCATAACCATTGGGTTTCTTTCCATTAACTTAGTTCTTTGTTAATCTCTGTCAACATTATTTTGTAGCTTTCAGTGTACGTATCTTATACTCCAATTGATACAATTATTCCTAATTATTTTATTCCTTTAGATGCTATTGAAAATGGAATTGTTCCCTTAATTTAATTTTTACAGATATATCCAAAATTTAATATATTGAACATAAATGATTTAGTCAATTGCCTTTCAAAGAAATATAACAGATAGCTGATTTTGTGCAAATTTGTATAACGCCAAGGATGTTGTTCATTTTTAACTTCTACCATTGTACTCTTGTTGCCAAATAAGAAAATTAGGCAACAACAGCTGAAGAAGTTAAACTAGGAACATATCTCCAATAGACAGTAAGATGCAGATGTTTAAGTAAGATGCTAAAAATGATATGGGTTAAACTCTCTCTTTATTTTAGGTAACATGCATGGCTGACAGTATATACTCTCATGTGAGGTTCTGACACACACAATCTTCCTGACAGGATTTATTAATTAGAAAGGAAAAGGGGTTTTTAAAAATTGCAGCAAATTTTATAGAAAGCATAAAAATAAATTTAGCCTTCAAAGTATATTTCAAGACAAGTCTATGGACATGATATTTTGAAACACAATGCATTTTTTTATATTATGTTGAGTGATGTTATTTATTATAAGAATTTTACTTAATGATATTGCTGTCCCAGTGATATATTTTATATACTCTACTTACCGAAGCATTGTTCCCTTCAAGCTTTAAAGTTTTGGAGAAACCAACTCTAGAGTCTTGTTTTTTAACTTTAATTGGTAATGTAGCCTCATTACTTTTTAAACATTCAAATGAAAATACTGTTGCAAATCAGGCTTCTGGCAGTGGTCTGACCTTTCTGGTCATTGTTTTACACTTTTGTTTTCTTCTAACATTATGGAAGGAGAGGCAGGTGTGTTAGGGATATACAGCTGTGTTATTTCTTGAAACAGCTGGCGCCAAGTTGTCAAAAGAAAAGCTCTCATTTCCAAATATTGCAAGCCTTGTGTAAGTAGACATAATGTAAGCTATGTACCCACAGTTATTGATTCTGCTCATTGACAGCTGAGGTGTTTAATATATCCATCCCCTTTGTAATGCCATTTTAAAACTCTTTGAGGATTAGGAAGGCGGTTTTCTCAAAGGTATTCTTGAGAGAGCAAAGGCCAACTAGCCCTGTAGTTGTGAGGGCTCTGACAGAAACTTAAGTGAGGAAAATGGAGCAGAGAAGCTAGCAGATATGTTCTAACCTGCCACAAATAATGATTTTTAAAAAGCCCCAGAAGAATGCGCTTTGCTACTTTACATAATGCTATAATGCATTAACTCATGTAGTATGACTGGTGAAAGTTTATTTATTCATTTATTTCTGCCGCAGGCAAATACCGGATAAATGCTTACAATAGCAGGTTAGCAGGTGTTTCAGCTACAGCCATTAGTAAGTACCTCCTTGATGTACAGGAATTGTTTGACTGCTTGCCTAGTTCTAGCCCACGTGGAAATTGTCAAAGCCTTTAGCGATTTGCAGAAAATAAAAAAAAAAAGACCAAGATTTGATGCTGTAGTATTTAGATCAATAAAGGATTTACTACATTCATGCTTGGATAATCAGCTCACAATGGAATGTGCCAGATGCATAGTCTGCATAATCTATACATCAAGAAATTCTTACTCATCTTCACCATCAACGCATCTTTTCAATTATTTATTTATTTGGAAAAGTATTCTGAGATAGTCTTCAACTGCCTCACTAACTGTACCCTATGCTAATAAATTTTAGATACTTCTTCAGCAGTTCACTTGTACTATTTTGTGTAATATACCTTCAGGCTACTGAGTGCATCTATAGGTTTCCCTCTCTCCATGATTCGTCGTCCTGTGTGCTTAGCAGATCAGTGAACTGAACTGATGCAAATGAGGCTTGAAATGTTAAACACAACTTGTAATATCAAAGGTTTTCATATCAAATAATTTTGTTCCTAAAGAATCCTAGGGAGATTAAGGATGCACATGGTGTCTAAAATGTCCACCATTTACATGAAATATCCCAGCAGTAGATGGATAATTACCAGCTCACGCTAGGAATGCAAAGAAAACACAGCCAGTTTATCCTGTCCATGTAAACAGACTGGAGAGTTTTTCTGGGAATTAGGTCCATATAAAACTTACTGAATACAGAACCAAAAATAACTGCAGACATCTGTCTGATACAAGCTTTTATGATCGGGCCTTGAGGTAGTATTTTCCTTACAACTACAGTTGCAACAATTTTCTAAGCCCAGCTGAGAAGCAAAATGTGTAAGGCTGAGCTTTCAAACTAGCCACTGTCAACTTATCTCAAAACCCTGTGAAATAAGTTTTTCATAAACTGTAATGCTAAACTGATTTTCAGGGTATGTTGATACTGCTGTTTTGTGCACAGTGTGGAAGAATTCCTTACTCTGGGTACTGGGGAAGGCAGTGAGGCAATGTTATCCAAACTGACTTGAAAGTTTCCTAAACCAAGTCCTTGAGGTTTTCCAGTTCGCGAAGTCAAACTGGAATAACACACCTGAAATTCACTGCCAAAGGAGGCACTGCTGGAGACAAATAAATATGCATTGTTAAGACACAGAATAAGGATGTCTAGCCATCACAAAGCATAGAGCAGTGGTTCTCAACTGGGAGACGTTTTGCTCCACAGAGAATGTTTGGCAATATCTGAAGGCATTTTTGGTTTTCACACCTGAGGGGTGAGGGGGGGATGGGTGCTACTGGCACCCAGTGGGTAGAAGCCAAGGGCGCTGCTAAACATCCTACCATAGGCAGGATATCTCTCTGCTGCAAAGAATTTTCCAGCCCCAAATGTCAATATAGTTGAGTTTTGAAAAATCCAGGTAGAGAGTAGTCAGGCAACTATCTTAGTGTGCCTCAGAATGAGAGGAGATTTGAGACTGAATTGTCCAAATAATTACTTAAAAGTCTTCACTTGGCTCTGTCAGTGGAGGGCTGGTCTGAGACCACAAATAAAGATGCCTGTGCTTGAGTTAATCAGTGTAAACATCCAAAGGCTATGGAGGTTCCTTTGGAGTGCAGGCTGAGACCAGCCAATCAATTGTATCTGGTTTCAATCCATCATGAGGGGCAGTCTATCCCACGGGAACTGACAGCGAAAGGTGATGTTTCAGAGGACTAACGTTACATGCTGATTCATTGGTGCCTTAACCTCATTCTTGCAAGTACCATTATTTAGTTAGGGTTTATAAAGCGTTGTGAAGATAGAAAATGCTATATAAATGCTAAGTATCATTACTATTGTTATCATCTTTGTGAGGAACCGCTTCTGTGAGTGATGTGATAGTATAAAAACACACACACAGATATCACTTCATACCCATTTGTAGTTTTGAGGAGAGGTTACTATAATTAGTAATTCACATTGTGCCATCTCCTTTACACTCTGAGTTAAAACAAATTAAATAAAGCTTAATTAGAGAGTGTTTTATGCACTACAAAAAATGCAACTGATTGATATTCTGAGTAAATACAGGTTAGCTACCGGAGAAAGAATACTGAAAAGTTTCCAGAATTATAAAATCAAGACTGAATTATTGCCATGATATTAAACATATGAATGAAGCAGATAAAATCCCTCCATATATTTTAATTTTCTAATTGTCTTTTTTGGTATGTAAAATACAATATATTGTAGCATTTCCCCATTTTTAATGAATGTTTGAAATTCTACCATTTTCACAGTACTAAAACTGCTATTTAATTTTAATTGTGTGGGGAAAGGTCTCTTAAAACACTGTGGAAGAACAATAAATAAGCAAATAAAAACCTTTTTAAAAAGGCCTAGTAAAATGCTAATTGTAAAGTGATTGCTTAAAAAGTAACTGCTGATGTATTTGTAAATTATTTCCAATTTAATTTTGTGATGGCAGTTACTTTCTAAGCTGGCATGCTTTTCTTGAGATTTTGATTCAGGTAGAAACTGTCAAACTGTCAATGGATGTGGTAGTCACATTTTGACTGTTACGCCTAAGGCAGTGTGGAAAATACCGATACAATATGGCACCACTAATGATTCAATCATTATGGGAACACAGGCAGACATGGTTTACGGTTGCATGTACATGTTGATTGTGTTTTCCTGTTAGTCTCCTTCATTTTTATAGAAATCTACAGAAAACCAGGTTGATCCAATTAATAAATTTCTGCCACTTTTGGCCCATATCGAGTCAAACTCTTTGGCCTACTCCTCTGTGACTACTTAAGATATCTTTTACACTGTCAGAGACAAAGAGAATTAAATTGAGGATTTATAGCAGAAGCAAATTAATTTCTAAAAGAAAAAAACATCTTCTCTGTAAATGCTAAAATCACAACATAGTTATATTTTTGCATTTATATACATACTGATTTCTCTACCCAGCGCCAAAGTAAGATAAATCCTGGTGCTCAGCATCTGCCTTTTCCCATTTTCCATGCTAGGTTGCCCCACAGGCTGGTGAAATATTACTTAGGGCAATAGTATCATGACAGAGTATGCCATCCGAGCAAAAAGAGAGAGAAAAAGGAGAGATGAGGTAGTTCTGATGAGCTAGCTGATCTACAGTTTTACAATCAAAAAAGCTAATTGAATTTCCACCTACTTGTAAGATTTGTGTTTAGGTTTGGTTTGCTCTTATTTTGAATTATATATAGCTGTTGGCAACATAGTCATTCCCTGATTAGAACCACTTAGGCCTTAATCTGTCCCTGTCTCCATCTTCTAACATTTAAAGTTGTCCCAGGGAAAAGTAGGGACCCAGAGACAAATACTTAGGGATCCAGCTCAAAACTGGGGAGGAAGATCAAGGTAGAAAGCAGAATGAACTAAAATTCTTCAACATTCACATGGCCCACTATTTTATTGCTATATCTAACCAAGCGAATGAACATTTTCGGAAGTCTTTGGAGTGGGCCCCCATTTATCCAAAGAGAAGATCCAGGAAGAAATGTTTGTGATGAGTGTAGACATGTACAGGGGTAGACCTATAGCTGAAATCATCAAATGTCTACTTCTATTTAATTTTTTTTCATTTACTTACACATACCTATTCAAGATTATCTATTTTTAAACACTTATTTGGATACAATTCAAGTACCATACTATTCAACTATTTGAAGTATACAGTTCAATGGTTTGTAGTATATTCACAGAGTTTCAAAAAGAAACGTATACCCTTCAGCTATTACCTTCTTGTTCCTCCATCACCTCCCCCAGTACCAGGCAACCAATAATCAATGTTCTGTCTCTATAGATTCCCCTTTTCTAGGTATTTCATATGAGTGGAATTATATAATGTGGTCTTTTGTGCCTGCTTTCTTTCACTCAGCATGATGTTTTCAATTTCACCCATTTTGTAACATGTATCAGTATCCCCATTCCTTGTATAACCAAATAATATTCTATGGAATGGATCTACCATATTTTAATTATCCTTTTGTTGATGGATATTTGGGTTTCACCTTTTGGCTACTATGTATAATGCAGCTATAGACATTCATGTACAGTTTTTGTTTGGACATATACCTAAGATTAGATATTTTTAAGTATTAATTTATGCATGTTTTAATACTTTCACATTTCCTGAAATAACTTCATTCAAACTCTTCACAGGCATCTTCAACATCAATCTTCATCAGCAGTAAAGTCACTTTCTGACTGATAACAATGTTTGAGAGCACGTAATTTTCACTTTTATTCTAATTTTTTGGCAACACAGAACTTTTAATATCCATCTGTGACGATCTCCCTTAAAATTTTATCTTGATCCACAAGAGCTCTTTTATATAACATTTGAACACATTGCTCATTTGCTTGTTTTCTCATTCATCTGGAAAAGTTCATATAGATAGTCTCCAAGATGTAGCCACATAGTCTAATGCTGTTGAAATAAAATTTTGTCAAGGCTTGTTTACAATGATACCTAGTGCTTACAAGTGTGAGGTCAGACTACAAGAATCATTACTAATTTTGCATTAGTTTGTCTCCTTTATTTTCCCAGTTTCATTGGTTGATTTCTGTTAGAATCCAGAAGTTTCTTTGATTGAGATAATTTCTGGACAGCGTGCTTTCTATTACTTTTTGCACTCGCTGTTTCTCGGGCTGGGATGCTCTTTCCTCAGATAACAATGTGGCTAGATCCCTCATTTGCTGAATTGTCATTTCATTTCACAGAGGTCCTCATATCTAAAATTGTAACCCCACTTGAGAATTCATTAAAAAAAACTCTCGCTTCTGCTTTATTTTCCTCCTTAACACTTACAATTTTCTAACATTTATATAGTTTTCTTATCTACTTTGCTTTATTATTTCTCTCTCCCACTACAGTATAAGATCTATGAAAGCAGAGATTTCTGTATTGTCCTCATGGCTGAAACAGTATCTGGAAAAGTGTTTGTACTTACAAGGCACTAAATATTTGCTGAATAGGTAAAATTGTTGTTGAATAGGTCATCCTACTGCTCAAAAATAACATAAGCGAGGGAGCTCCCCATGTAACAAATCAAATATGTCGACTCCCTTTTTGATAATGAGTAATTTTGGGGAATAATATTCTGTTTATAATTTGTCACACATATTAACTGTTACACTATTATCTTATTGAACCTCTTATTACTGTAAAATTTTCAAATGTAGAGATCAAAATAAAAATGTACAGATCAGTGATGTATTACAAAATGGACATCCACATAACCACCTTCCTGGTGAAGCAATGGAACGTTGCCAGCACCTTGGAAGCCTCCTTGTGCTCTCTTTCCATTATACTTCTTCCCTCCCTTTCCAAAGTAATTGTTTTGATCATCATTTCCTTGCTTTTCCCTATTGTTTACACACCTAGACTTATCTAAACACTATGATTTTTGCCTGTTTTCATTTTTTTACTAATGAAATAATAAAGCACCCTCCTTTATATTCATTTCATTGTGCATAGCTGTAGTTCACTTCTTTCCATTTCTATACTGTATCGCATTGGGTGAATTTACCACAATTTATTTATTCACTCTACAGCTGATTATCATTTATGATGCCTCTGGTTTGGAGCCATTACAAATAATATTGCAATGAATATTTTATACACTTTCGATGTATCTGTATGCGTTTCAACTGGATATGTTAGTGCGGACCGTATAAACTTGTCATTTGTAATGGCAAATATTGGCAATTTTATATGGTTCAAGCTGATACCTAACAGTAAAATTTCTGGGTATGTGTATTTCCAACTTTAGTTCCCCCAGGAGAGTGTGCACACCTACTAACAGCCTATGAGAGTTCCAGTTGCTCCACATCCTTGCTAGCATTTGGTATCCTCAGTATTTTTATTTTTAAACATTCTGCCGGATGTGTAGTGGTATCACTTATGGTTTTAATTTGCAAAATTCTGATAACAAATGAGGCTGAGCATATTTTATAAGTATATATTAGGCATTTGGTTATCTTCTTTTGTGAAGTGACTTCAAATATTTGTCCACTTTCTTTTCTACTCTATTATAGCTCTTTTCCTAATTAACTTACAGGAGCTCTTTGTATGTTTTGGATATAAGCTGCTAATCCTGTGCTTTCATATACCAGTGTTCTTAATGTAAATGCCGCCTAAATACCTATGTTTTTCCTTATTTTATACCTATCATATCTCTTCACAAAATCTTCCCCATGACAAATTTTATGTTCTATAAACATTATTTATCTTTCATAATTTAAGCTATAATTCACGTGAAATTATTTTTTGTATATGATAAGAAGTAGACTCGTATTTTTTCTGTATGGATATCCAATTGAGGTAGAAACTTTTTTTTTTTTTTTTTTTTTTTTGAGATGAAGTCTTGCCTTGTTGCCAGGCTGGAGTGCACTGGTGCAATCTCAACTCACTGCAGCCTCCACCTCCCGGGTTCAGGCGATTCTCCTGCCTCAGCCTCCAGAGTAGCTGGGAATACAGGTGCACACCACAACGCCCAGCTAATTTTTTGTATCTTTATAGCGACGGGGTTTCACCGTGTTGGCCAGGCTGGTCTCAAACCCCTAACCTCATGATCCGCCCGCCTCGATCTCCGAAAGTGCAGGGATTACAGGCGTGAGCCACCCCGCCCAGCCCGATGTAGCAACATTTCTTAAGAAAACTGTGCTTCCCTCATTCTGCAGTGCAAATTATGTCATAAATCAATACATAGGTGGGTCTGTTTATGGAATTTTTATTTTGTTTCATTGCTTAGTTTGTCTATGTTTACACAATATCTTTCTGTCGTAATTGTTATAACCTAATAATAAAATCTTGAGAGTGAGTACAATAAGTCCTTCAATTCTGTTTTATTGCTTTAGATTTAACTGGCTATTCTTGACCCTTGGCATTTCCAAATGCATTTGCCATCAACTTACAAGTTATACCAAGAGAAATAAATTCTAACAATTTTAGCTCAATTTATTTAGGTCGTCTTTATCTTCTCTCAATAATATTTTACGTTTCATTGGTAGAGTTATGCACAGCTTTTATGAGGTTTGTTCTTTTAAGAGGTTTTTCCTATGCTCTCATAAATGGCGTGCTTTCATGAAATTGTCCAATTGCTCATTTAAAGCAATACAGTTGATTTTATATATTGACCTTATTCATTACAACAATTTTATGCAGATTTTTTAACTTTTCATATAGTCAATCATGTTGTCTGTGAATTAAGTTTTATTTCTTTGTTCTCAATTGTTGCATTATTTCTTTTTTTCTTGCTTTATTATATTGGCTACAACATTTATTATAATATTAAATACAAGTCATGTTATTAGACTTACTTGTACCCAATCTCAGAGGAAAAGCTTGCAATACATTATTCCAAATATAATATTGATTGTGATTTATTTATTTCTTTTGTAAGTAATTTTTATAAAATTAAGGTAATCTTCCTCCCAAGTTTGCCAGTTTTTTGTTTGTTTGTTTGTTTGTTTTTTGAGATGGAGTCTCGCTCTGTCACCAGGCTGGAGTGCAGTGGCACAATCTCGGCTCACTGCAACATCCACCTCCCAGGTTCAAGCGATTCTCCTGCCTCAGCCTCCCAAGTAGCTGGGACTATAGGTGCCCACCACCACACCAGGCTAATTTTTTGCAGTTTTAGTAGAGATGGAGTTTCACCATGTTCGCCAGGATGGCCTCGATCTCCTGACTTCATGATCCGCCTGCCTCAGCCTCCCAAAGTGCTGGGATTACAGGCGTGAGCCACCGCACCCTGCTGGAAAGTTTTAATTTATTATTGAATTTCTTTAATAATTATAGGTATGCTTAGATTTTCTATTTTTCTTTAGTAATTAGTTTGTGGATTTATCTAATCTAAGTGTTTATATTTACTGGCATAAAGTTATCAGACCTTTAAATATCTAATATCTGTAGAGATGTGGTATTGACCCCTTCTCTGTTCCTGACATTAGTTATTTGTGCCTTTTGTCTTTTTCTTGATTAGTCTCAACAGAAGTTTATTACTTTTAAAAATTCTTTCAAAGGTCCAGCTTTTGGCATTGTTAATGTCTATGTTTATTTTCTATTTCATTTGGTTTCTCATTTTTCTATTTTATATTCAATTTGTGTTTATTTTCTAAATTCTGGGAAAGTTAATTTTCACATCTTTCTTTTTAATAAATGCACTAATGGCACAGATTAGCATCTAAGAATGTTTTTCTGTAGCAGCCCACACTTTAATACAGCACTTTCATTATTACTTAATTCAAAATATTGATATTCCTCTATTGATTTCTTCTTGATCGACTAGATCATCTATAAGAGTATTTCTTAATTGTCAGCCTATATGAATGTTTTCTAGCTTTTTGTAATATTTGATAGCTAATTTCTTCACGGTCAAAAAACACACTGTGAATAATTTCAATCGTTCCTTAAAACTTGCTTGATGACCTGGCAAATGCTCCATTTGCAAATGTTATGCCCGCAGTTAAGATGCATTTTGTAGTTTTATAGGGAGTGATGTACTAGCTATGCCCGTTAGATCCAGTCTACTCATGTTATTCAAATTTTTAATATTCTTATTAATTTTAGTTTTATCTATGTGTGAGAGAAGAAGTGTGTAAAAATATCCCACTGTGATTAGACTTTTTTTTTCCTTTTCTCCTCATAGTTTCAACTATTCTTTATACATCTTCAAGCTAAGTTTTCAGTGCACTCGCATTTAGAATTGTTGTATCTTTCTGGTGAATTCATCCAATTATCATTATAAAGTGTTCCTCTTTATCTCTAGTAATTCTGCTAATCTTAAGACTTACTGAGACTAATGTTAATATAGCTAAGCAATGTCTTTTGGATCATATCTACAAGGTATACAATTTTCCTTTTTTGTTGTTTTACCTTTTAACTATTTGGAATCCTTATTTTGGAATATTTTAGATGAGACTTTTATAAAAATTACATAAACAAGCCTGATAATTTTTCTATTTATTTTGAACACCTAGTTTTTTTACATTTAATATTTGAGTTTAAACATAAAATAATGCTGTGTGTTTTGTCCTAACATTTTTTTCTCCTCTTTTTTCTCTTTTTTTGCCTCCTTTTCAATTTATTGATAATTTTTTGTTCTTATTTTTTTGCTCTCTATTAAGGAGTTACATAGTCTTTTACAATTCTTTTAGAGGTGACCCAGAAATGATATATTTCATTCTTGCCTTATCAGTGTAATATTAATTGGTTATTGCCTTGTTCTTTAACTTCATTTACTATCTTTTTTTTTTCTGGAAACAGAGTCTTGCTCTGTTGCCCAGGCTGGAGTGCAGTGGTGCAATCTCGGCTGACTGCAACCTCTACCTCCTAGGTTCAAGTGATTCTCCTGCCTCAGCCTCCCGAGGAGCGAGTAGCTGGGATTACAGCTACTCCCTGGGATTATAGCACTGCCATGCTCGGCTAATTTTTGTATTTTTTAGTAGAGACGGGGTTTCACCATGTTGTCCAGGCGGGCCTCAAACTCCTGACCTCAGGTGATCCACCTGCCTTGGCCTCCCGAAGTGCTGGGATTACAGGCATGAGGCACTACGCCTGGCCTAACTTCATTTACTATTTAACCCCATTTTATTTTATGTGTGTGGTGGTGTATTAAAATCCAATGAGACATGACATATTAATATTTACCATACAGCCTTTTATTATTTAGTAATATTAATATTACTTCATAGTTAATATTCACTTATATTTACCCATTTGTTCATCATTTTATTGTTGTCATTTTATTCTCCATCTTTAATCTTCTATTAGGGATCATTTTCACTTGGCCTGAGTAACACTCTTCAAGAGGTATTTCTGGTAGAAAATTCTCAGTTTTTGTTTGTTTGTTTGTTTAAGACAGAGTTTCACTCTTATTGCCCAGGCTGGAGAGCAATGGCGTGATCTCATCTCACTGCAAACTCCGCCTCCCAGGTTCAAGCAATTCTCCTGCCTCAGCCTCCCGAGTAGCTGGGATTACAGGCGCCCGCCAACATGCCCAGCTAATTTTTGTATTTTTAGTAGAGACGGAGTTTCACCATGTTAGCCAGGCTGGTCTTGAACTCCTGACCTCAGGTAATCTGCCTGCCTTGGCCTCCCAAAGTACTGAGATTACAAGCAGGAGCCACAACGCTAGGTCAAAAATTCTCATTTTTTTATTTGTCTGAAAACGTCTATTTCAGTTCAACAATCTTGAAAGGCATTTTTTCTGTGTATCGAACTCTAGTTTGACAATTATTTTCTATTAATACTTTATAGTTAATCTTCTGGCTATGTCATGATGTTAAGAAGTCAACAGTGAGTCTTATACTTGCTTCTGAAAGACAATCTATCCTTTTTACATGGCTGCATTACATTTTTTCTCTTTTTCTTTGGTTTGCAAAAGTTCAATATTATATGCCTAGGCATAGATTACTTGTTGTATATTCTACTTGTAGTTCATAGAGATTTTAAAATCTAAGGTTTAACACATTTTATAAGTTTTGGAAAGTTCTCAGTCTTTGTGGCATTAGATACTACTTCTCTCCCAATTCCCTCTTCCATTTATTAATGGGATTCAGATTGCACCCATGTTGGATCTCCTCTTGTATCCTATATGTATTTTATATTTTCTTGTGATTTTTCCGTATTTTTGTCTCTTTGGTGTGTTCTTAATATTTTCTTCTTATCTATCTTCCAGATCACTAGGCCTCTCTTTATTTGTGTCTAATCTGCTGATAAAATCACCCATTGAGTACCTAACCTTGGTTATTGCATTTTTTCTGTTCTGAAGTCTGTATATTATTCTTCTCTTATTTCCAGGGTTTTCCATAATTATTACTATTTTATTTTCCTGAACATAGCAAGCATGCTTATTTTAAAATATATACACTATAAGTTGAATATCTAAAGTCTAAGTGAATCTGACTTTATTGTCTGTTGTTTGCATTGATTTTTATTCACGATGTGTGTTAATTGTGCTGGTTTTCATATGTGTTATCTTATAATTTTGTGTGGTTTTAAAAAATGTGTACTGAACACTGAATTATAAAAAGATAGAAATAACTCAACTAGGGCGATGTTATTTTTCTCTTGAAAAAAATTAGCATTTACTTCCATAAGATGCTCAGAAGCACAGTTAATCTATAATCCCTCAATCTTGTTTCAGGTTTGAATTAGTTTGAAACTGGTCTGAGGTCACTGTAAGAATTTATCTAGTTTCCAGTGTTCTAGGGATTTAGTACCTCAGAGTCCCAAACCCAAGGGATTCAGTTCAACAACTGCCCCACTCTCCTTCCCTTTGTGGGCTCTGGAGCTCATTTGCTGTATCTTAGGCCCATATGCTATTTTAAAGTGCTCTTTAATCTTTAGTCTCTGAGATGATCTGCTCAGTAACTAGAAAGTACCCAAGGGGAAATACAGTCCTAAAAGTGAGATCTTTCTCTGGGTCTCTACCTTCTTACAGGTCCTAGCCTGGTAGTATTTGTTTTCTGATGGCTCAAAAGGCATTTATTAGGTTTTATCTAGATTTTCTCACTGGCATCATCACAGAAAATCTTGGTCTGAATTACTCAGTGATTTATTACTAGAAGCTGAAGTCCTATTAATTGTATACAATAATATGAAATAACAGTGTAATATTTTATAATGATGTGAATGATTTATCATTTAGGTCATAAACTAAAATATTTAAAATTTATACTTTATTGCTAAAGTTGATAAAAATAATATCCATATTACTAACTAGCCAAATTATGAGAAAGGCTGAAGAAAACTTTAATACTTACAGCATTAATTTTACTGAAACTGTCTAATCTAGTAACTAATATTAATATTCAAACAATGTAAAAAAATTATTTTATTTATTTTTTTTGAGACGAAGTCTCGCTCTTGTCCCCCAGTCTGGGGTGCAATGGCGCAATCTCAGCTCACTGCAACCTCTGCCTCCCGGGTTCAAGCGAGTCTCCTGCCTCAGCCTCCCGAGTAGCTGGGATTACAGGTGCGCAACACCATGCCCAGCTAATTTTTTGTATTTTAAGTAGAGACGGGGTTTCACCATGTTGGCCAGGCTGGTCTTGAACTCCTGACCTCAGGTGATCCACCTGCCTTGGCCTCCCAAAGTGCTGGGATTACAGGCGTGAGCCATCGCGCCCGGCCAAAAACAATATTTATTAATATTAAACCCATATGACCCACCAATTAAGAATGTATATATATATATATATATATATATATATATATATATATATACACATACATACATACATATATATATCACATTCAAATTGAGCTCTCACAAGGCTTAGAGAAATTAATCTTTAAGGCTTTGATAGAGACCTATTTTCTCCTTTATTATAATGCTTATTAGATGTGTAATCTATTAAAAATGACTTACCGTCTGTATCTACTATCTGTAAAGTAAGAATAATAACAATACCACTTCATGGCGTTGTGATGAGGAGTGATTAAACACATATATAAACATAGAACAACAGAGTAAACATAGTACACATTCAGTAACCACTGCATGTCATCAATGTTATCATCATTAAAAGTAAGAAAACTTTGAAGATTTCAGCTTGCTCTAGAGAATCTGAGAAAGTAAAAAACATCAAAGAATGCTACTTTACATGAATATCGTACAAAATACAGAACACCAGAAAATATGGATATCGGAAGTCTCCTTTTGCTATCCATGGTGAAGAAGCCATTTTTATGATCTCAGCTCACCTGGGTAACCCTAACCCTAACCCTAATCCTACACCTTTGAAACAAGCTAAGCATGTTTCGCTGCTCACACTCAATGGATTCTACTGGCTTCATAAGGATAAAATGCTCTGAATAGGATGTATCTTGATCTTCTCTAGGTAACTTTAAGATGCATAGGAGTTCATGAAAGATGGGGAGAAACAATGCTTTGTCTATCATCTGAACCTGACCCCAATTTGTTCTATGTTGTAGATTAGAAAGTCATATTTTGAATTAATGAATATGTCAGAGTGAGGCATAAATGACTTACAAATGAATTTTGAATGACACCTGGCTCAGAAATTGGGTACTCCCTACATAAGCACAAATTTAAATAGATTTCCTTTTCAAATTTAGTAGCCTCCCTCTTGCCTAAGTGAGTGTCGTCTGACTTCTCTCAGGGACTCAACAAGTCAGCTTTAGTAGAGGAGGAGTTGGCAAATGTTTTCTGTAAAGAGCCAGAGAGTAAATATTTCAGGTTTTGCAGGCCATATGGTCTTTGTTGCAACTACTGGAGTCTTCTGTTGAAGCTTAAAAGTGTCAATAGGCAATGCGTAAATAAATGGGGATGACGGTATTACGATAAAACTTTATTTACAAAAACAGGCGGGTGGCTGGATTTGGCCCATGGTCCATAGCTTGCCAAATTCTGAAAAGTACCCTAAGTTTGAAGCTTTTTCAACACAAGCTAGAGAATTTATTTTGGCTTTTACCTTGCTCTGATTTACAGCTATGGCTGGACATTTATTTTGCCCATATAAAATGCTCTCTATACTCAACAACTTCTGCAAACGGAGTGCCTTCATTTTGGTTAACCATAGTTTGAAATCTTCATATGTTTTTTTTTTAAGAACAGCACTGTGAGATATTTATTATTTATTTAAAGAATGCAATCTTATAACAAAAGCATGTATGCATTATTCAAACTTATATATTTTTTTTAGTCTCAGATATATAAAGATACCTTGAGTGTAAGTGGATTTAAAAAGAATTCTTTCTCTCACATTGTTATGCAGACATCCTTGAGCTATAACAAATAGTTTGCACATTTGATTCTTTTCAGTATTTTCTCACCAACACTTTTACGAGAAATAATCTGTTTTTTTAAAGATAATTTGAAAACTACCATACTTCACATTGTAAAGACTACAGTTCAACACCATCAGGACTAGAACGCTATTTTATCAAGAGGGAAAAAGGAAAAGCACTATGCTTTTTTTTTATTTTTATCTTTTTTTTGAAAAGCACAAGGAGGAAGTCTTAAAAAATTGAAATTATCAGCTTTGATTTTGGAGTTTGTGTTTTTTTTTTTTTTTTCAAAGACATGATTTCACATTTAATGATACTGAGGTAGGTATTTTTTACTTAATGATCAGGACAGAGGGCTGAAGCCAAAATCCTAAGCATAATTTAAATTTTGACATTGACTTCCCATCTGGTCTGGAAGAAAATTAGCTTCCTTTTAACTTGTATTTACCTATCTTGTTTCAATAAAATGAAAATTAATTAATTGGTGTGAGTAAAACACTTGGAAGATGAAAATGCCTTATAAGTGCTAGATATCATTAGATAAAGATGTCCCTGTTGGAATGAATGATTCCTGCCAAAATACTTCTAGAAAGAATATAGCCTTGCATTTAAAACCCTAATTTAATTTTCAGTAAAATGTTATTGCTTTTTTGTTAAATACATTGAGTAACTATAAAGTATTTGATCAAATAAATGCTACCATGGATAGATTATTCTCACATTTTGGTTGGAACATACACTAGATATTGATCTTGGTGATGTTTTATTCATATTAGAAATTATGTCAATATAAGCTCTTTGGACAGATGGAGAGTCTTATACTTAACTACAGAATTTAACTACCTGTCCTTGTTTCCTTAATTTTTCCAATTCATTTACAGCGCCATTTTTTTTTTTTTTTTGAGATGGAGTCTCTCTGTAGCCCAGGCTGGAGTGCAGTGGTGCGATCTAGGCTCACTGCAAGCTCCCTGCTCTGGGTTCAAGTGATTTTCCTGCCTCAGCCTCCCAAGTAGCTGGGATTACAGGCAACTGCCTCCATGCTGGGATAATTTTTTTTTTTTTTTTTTGTATTTTTAGTGGAGATGGGGTTTCACCATGTTAGCCAGGATGGTCTCCTGACCTCGTGCTCTGCCCACCTCAGCCTCCCAAAGTGCTGGGATGACAGGCGTGAGCCACTGCGCCTGGCCTTACAGCGCCATTTTTATTAGTAAATCCAAGATAACAAGCTTGGTGCTTGCTTACATCATTGGGCTTCCTAGTGACATTTTCTGTATCACCTGCAGACTAATCTTCAGGGCACACAAATTCATTCTTCTCTCTTCCATGAATCTCTATATGAAACTGACTTTGACATTAGTAAGAGCAGACCAGAATTTAGTGATTTTCAAGTAAATGCTGCTGGACCTCGTACATAAAACAGCATAGATTGCCTCAAATTTGTGAATAGTACTAAACCAAATGTTAAGATAATCAATGCAGAGGAGTTTTGCTACCTTTCTTTCAGATAAATCCTGTCGTACATCTGTTTAAGATGAACTTCATTTAATCGGTATGTTGCAGTTGATTTTAACATGCAAAGTGATTTAAAAAACTCTCAATGACCTTAACTATTTTGAGTTGTGCTTTGTGTTTGTTCAATCATCTAAAAATCTGTGGCTAAAACTGAGAATAAGCCCTTTCTCCCCCTAATAGAGGAGAGAACACATAAATTGCTTCTACAAACCTAGTCGCATTCAGTTGTGTAATATTGTTTTTTAAATGCTGTCTTGACCCAGTTTTGAGGCCCTGGGTAGAGGCCAATCAGTTCCCTTTCTTGAGCAGCCAATTAAATCCACACCCACAACCACTTCCTCTTATGGGACTCTTGTACTCTGGACCACTGTACACCCACCCTAATCACCCCAGGGCCAGATAAAAGACAGTTGAAATATCCTCTGTGCCCCAGAGCCCACAGATATTTTTCATACTAACAAATCCTAAGCCTACTTAGCTGGCTTTGCCAGTTCCTTCTCGTGGAAACCACAAAAAAGGCACTTACCCAGTCGCCCCCTCTCCCTCTATCTTGTGATACATCCGGGTGGTCTCTGTGTGCCCCCTCACCCAGGTGTGACCTGTACTTTCTCGAAAATTGAATAAATTCTATTCTACTTATGATTAGAATAAACTATTTTTTAAATAACAGTCATCTTTCCATCTTACAATGTCTCATCATTGGCCTTGTCATACCTAAATAGTAATGAAACCTATTACAAGTTGGAATCTGATTTGCCTTTTTATTGTTTTCTTCCTTCCCTCTTTCCTTCCATCCTTTCTTTTCTTCCTTCTTTCCTCCTTCCCTCTCTCCTTCCTTCTTTCCTCCTTCCCCTCTCCCTCCCTCCCTTCCTTTCTTTTCTACCAAGTATAAGTGGACATCTGTGCTCTCTGTCTTATAATGTGTACTTTATGATATTGATATTTGCTACATTTTAAAAGTAAGACCAGACTAATAAAAGAAATACCAAGCATTCTGTCCTATGATGTTATATCAAACACTGTCGTGGCACCAATAATAGGATCATGTTGGAAGGGGTATTTCATTGAACTGGACTGTGAACTGTTCTCCAGCTCACTGAAGTCTCCTCAAGTAGGTTCATGGACATTGCTGAGGACCTGCCTACTGTTTTCAGAGTTGCTTCCCAATGCCTCTCTTGTCACCATGCCCCTGGCTTCAGTAACTACTGTTACGGAGCTGTGATTGCATCAGTACAATAAACAGGTCACATCCACGCAAAATGAAAAAATAGCTCAGATGCTGCCACTGTAAAGGATTTAATTTATGAAGATGGCATTCAACATTTAGTGCTTAACTAAAATGTTATTTTCTCAGGAAGTTTTTTCTCAATTCCCCCAACCAGGTTTTTCCTACAATTTGCTCCCCACAAATGCTGTAAAACCTCTACTTCTCGCCGGAAGCAGTGGCTCCGCCTGTAATCCCAGCACTCTGGGGGGCGGAGGTGGGTGGATCACGAGGTCAGGAGATTGAGACCATCCTGGCTACCATGGTGAAACTCGGGCTCTACTAAAAATACAAAAACCGTAGCCAGGCGTGGTGGCAGCGCTTGTAGTCCCAGCTACTCTGGAGGCTGAGGCAGGAGAATGGCGTGAACCCAGGAGGCGGAGCTTGCAGTGAGCCGAGATCACACCACTGCATTCTACTGGGCAACAGAGCTAAATTCTGTGTTAAAAAAAAAAAAACAAAAAACAAAACTTCAACTTCTCTCCCTTAATGCTGATCACAATTGTAAAATTTTTACAATTAATACTGAGAGGTGACACCGTGCTGGCAGCCCTCGCAGCCCTCGCTCGCTCTCAGTGCCTCCTCTACCTGGGCTCCCACTTTGGCGGGCGGCACATGAGGAGCCCTTCAGCCCACTGCTGCACTGTGGGAGCCCCTTTCTGGGCTGGCCAAGGCCTCAGCCGAGCCGGCTCCCTCTGCTTGCAGGGAGGTGTGGAGAGGCGCGGGCAGAAACCGCAGCTGCACGCAGCGCTTGTGGGGCAGCACGAGTTCGGGGTTGGCGTGGGCTCGGCAGGCCCCGCACTTAGAGCAGCCAGCCAGCCCCACCGCCATGGGCAGTGAGGGGCTTAGCAGCCAGGCCAGCAGCTGCTGCGCTCCACTTCTCGCCGGGCCTTAGCTGCCTCCCCGCGGGGCAGGGCTCAGGACCTGCAGCCCACCATGCCTGAGTCTCCCCCCAACTCCGTGGGCTCCTGTGTGGCCTAAGTCTCCCTGACAAGCACCGCTCCCTGATCCACTGCCCAGTCCCATCGACCGCCCAAGGGCTGAGGAGTGCAGGCGCAGGGTGCGGGACTGGCAGGCAGCTCCACCTGTGGCCCAGTGTGCGATCCACTGTGTGAAGCCAGCTGGGCTCCTGAGTCTGGTGGGGACTTGGAGAATCTTTACGTCTAGCTAAGGGATTGTAAATACACCAATCGGTACTCTGTATCTAGCTCAAGCTTTGTAAACACACCAATCAGCACCCTGTGTCTAGCTCAGGGTTTGTGAATGCACCAATCGACACTCTGTATCTAGCTATTCTGGCGGGGACTTGGAGAACCTTTGTGTCCACACTCTGTATCTAGCTAATCTAGTGGGGATGTGGAGAACTTTTGTGTCTAGCTCAGGGATTGTAAACGCACCAATCAGCACCCTGTCAAAACGGACCAATCAGTTCTCTGTAAAACAGACCAATCGGCTCTCTGTAAAATGGACCAGTCAGCAGGATGTGGGTAGGGCCAGATAAGAGAATAAAAGCAGGCTGCCAGAGCCAGCAGTGGCAACCAGCTCCAGTCCCCTTCCACACTGTGGAAGCTTTGTTCTTTCACTCTTTGCAATAAATCTTGGTACTGCTCACTCTTTGGGTCCACACTGCCTTTATGAGCTGTTAACACTCACCAAGAACGTCTGCAGCTTCACTCCTGAAGCCAGGGAGACCATGAACCCACCGGGAGGAACAAACAACTCCAGATGCGCCGCCTTAAGAGCTGTAACACTCACCGCGAAGGTCTGCAGCTTCAATCCTGAGCCAGCGAGACCACGCACCCCCAAGAAGGAGGAAACTCCGAACACATCCGAACATCAGAAGGAACAAACTCTGAACACGCTGCCTTTAAGAACTGTAACACTCACCGCGAGGGTCCGTGGCTTCATTCTTGAAGTCAGTGAGACCAAGAACTCACCAATTCCGGACACAATACCAATCTGTAATTGGATTTAGAGATTTTGATTGCAAACCAGGAGGCACAGCATCTTGACGGGATAAATAGGCATAAGAATACCTAATTTACAATAGGCCACTGGGATGATTAGGAAAATACTGTTGATTGCTCATCCCACAGCCATTCCTTACTTTTTCCCAACCCTGATTTTGTTCAGTCTCTTTTAAACTGTTCTATTCCTCAGGGAGGCTAGACCTTCCTCAGTTTGGGGCAGAGAGCAAGGGGTGCAGAAAATCTTAAGTTGTCTAATTAAGTCATATCTTATTTCCTTTGCCAAGTGGTCTTTGGTTTGACTTTAGCATGCAATACAGTTCTGTCCAGTAAATTATGAAGGGAAGTCTGCCTGGGGTGGTATGAATCAGAGAGGTTTCTTTATCCTTTAAAGGAAAATAAGACATTGACATGAATTTTTCTTCCCTCTGTACTTGATTTCTGGAATTTCTATAGCCATCTTATACAAATGTGGGGCAAGTCTTGCTGAGAATATCAAAACCTTGACATGATTAAGCAGGTTAGATTATTCCTGCAACCACCTTCCCTCTGGGCTGCTTCTTACATGAGATAATGGCTTCTTCATGTTGCTTAAGCCAGATTGAACTGAGTTTCCTATTACTTGCATCCAGATGCAAGGGATAATAAAGATAACTTAAGGTAAGGTATGTGAATGTTCCCCAGAATATAGTGGGAGTTCATTAAATCTATATTTTAAAATTAACCTGAACTTTGTAAAAGGGTAGGTTAAAATAGCCAATGAAAATATTTTAAAATTCTACCTTTCAAAGTAAAATGAGGTGTGATTTTCATGTATTTAATTAGCCAAAATTAAATAAATTATAATATTCAGTGTTGCCAAGAGGATAGGGAAATTGGACTTTCATGTGTCACTATGAGTAGTAAAAGAACATAAGTTTCTTAGAAGAACTTAACAGATAAATCCTCTGTTAATTAGTAACTTCATACGCACAAATATTTACAATAGACCTTAATTATATAATTGTTTATAATAGTAAAAAATAAATAACTGATTGTTCATAAGATAGGGTTGTTTAAATGCATTAGCTATGCAAAGAATCAGTATACAGCCATCTAAATATTTAGAAGAATCACTTTTTAAATAAACTCTGCTTTTAAAAAGTTTTAAATTTACCAAAAAATAAAAAAAGGGAAGACAGTCTAGAGAGTTCCCAGATATCCACATCCAGTTTTTCATAGTATCAACATCTTACATTGGTAGGGTACATTTGTTACAATTAATAAACCAGTATTGACAAATTATTATTAATTAGTCTATACATTATTCAGTTTTCTTAGTTTTTAAAAGAAAATAATTACTGAGAGGATAGAAATACCTCATGACAAAGCCTCCTAGATACAATACTCCCAGTTATGAGTTGTGCAGATAGATACATATTAAAATTTTTTTCCAGAACAATGCTTATGTTTTGTATAGCTAATTATTTTAAGTCTGTAACCAAAACCAACAGTATAGAAGCTCAATGCATAGAAGTTGAAGATAAGTCAGTTTTGTAACCTCATCTTTGGCTTTTTGTTTGTTGGCATTTTACTTAAAATAAAAATTATACATAAGGGGTAATGAATGGTTGTCCACGTCCATTTCTATCTGGCCTAGAACATTTAATTTTCTATAAGTCTTTTGATTCTAAGTCCCTTGACCCCAGGGAGTTTCACTGAGGAACAGGATGGACCCAGGGCAGGCGGCCATGCCAGCCACCCCGGCAATGCTATGGGACAAAATAAAAATCTGGTGGCCATTGATGTTGCCTCTAGAAAATCTTGGCCAGAAGGGGGAGAATGTAAATGAAAAATAAAATTCTAAGGTCCCCAGCCATCTGAATGGACTCCTCCTCTCAGCCAAGGGCATTCTAGAGTTACTTAAGAATCTAGTTCAGGTCATGATGGAAGAGGGGCTTGAACATGCCTCATTATATCGCGCCAGCATTAACATCAACACAGACCTTAAGTCTGATAAACATCTACAGTCACTGGCACAGCACGGTGGCTCACGCCTGTAATGCCAGCACTTTGGGAAACCGAAGTGGGAGGATCACTTGAGGTCACGAGTTTGAGACCAGCCTGGCCAACATGGTGAAACCCCATTTCTACTAAAAATACAAAATTAGCTGGGTGTGGTGGCATGCACCTGTAATCCCAGATGATACTCGAGAGGCTGAAGCAGGAGAATCACTTGAGCATGGGAGGCAGAGGTTGCGATGAGCTGAGATCACGCTACTGCACTCCAGCCTGTGTGAAAGAGTCTATCTCAAAAAAAAAAAAAAAAAAGAGAGAAAGAAAGAAAAAGAAGAATATACAGTATATTCTCTCTAAAGGCTGCGACTTGGAGACTCAATCTGCATGATAAAACCTAGGTCTCCACAACCCCTTATCATAACCCAGACATTTCTTTCTACTGATATTAACTCAACCAGTTGCCAATCACAAAATGTTTAAATCTACCTATAACCTGGAAGCCCCTGCTTCAAGTTGTCCCATCCTTCCAGATCAAATCGATGTAAATCTTACATATATTGATGGATGTGCTATGTCTCCCTAAAATGTACAAAAGCAAGCTGTACCCGACCACCTTGGGTACATGTCCTCAGGACCTCCTGATGCTCTGTTACAGGTACATCCTTAACCTTGGCCAAATAAACTTTCTAAATTTACTGAGATCTGTCTGAGATAATTTAGGTCCACAAAGTCATAATTCAATTTATATATTATTTTATTTTATTGCTCAAATTGTTTGAGCTTTGGCCATTGGGTGGTCTTTCAGTTGACTCCCATGTACCTTTAACATATCCCCATCACCGTGTTTGTTTGTTTGGGGCTTATCTGTTTGTTGGGCTACTTTAGCACTATACTTACTCTCTGGCAATCTAAGATGCTCCAAGTTCATCTTGCATATTTCCTTCCCCAGTCTTAGAACCAGTCCTTTCTCCAAGGTGCTCTGGTTCCTTTTTACCGAAGAATGGTATTATAAACCAAACCATGTGGGCACTAGCTATTCTCACTGCTACTGAGTGTCATTGCTATGGGGCCTGGCAGAGTAATGAAATATGAGCATGCTAAATACAGTGTATACATATACCTGTAAATATTTCCATATTTAACTGTTTATAACTACATTAATCTAAACAGGAGTTTATACTGATGTCTCCAACCCTAACCCATTGCTACATGGATCATTCTACACCTCTCCCCTTGCTTATCTGTAAACCCCCACTTCAACAGTAAGATTCCTGCCTCCTGCCATCTGCCATCAATTTACTTAACGTTCCATTCCAGGATCCACATACAGTAATTCAGAATTGCTAACTTATACTCCTGTGGGTATCAATTTTATCAACTAGAGTACAGTGCTTACGTGCAATTTGTTGTCACTTCAGTCCTACAGACCTTATTCATTTCACGTTCTTTAATCAGTTTTTTTCTCCTACAACCTTTTCAGCAAGTTTGTTTCATAGACTTGGAATACACTTATATTGTTTAATCCCAATGTATTCTGTCTTGGAATCCTTGGAAATCCTAAGTGATTTTTTTTAAAGTTGCACACATGAAGTTCATTCTTTGTACTGTAAAGTTCTCTGGGTTTTCACTAATGTATAATGTTATGTGTCCATAATTACAGTACCTTACAAAATAGTTACAAAATTACCCTAAAAATGCCCCCGTGCTTCCCCTATTCAACACATTCCCACACCCGGAATTCTTAGCAAACACTGACCTTCATACTGTTGCTCTAGTTTTGCCCATTACAAAATGTCATAAAATTGCCGGAGTCATATAATCTGTAACCTTTTAAGACTGGCTTCTTTCCCTTAGATCAAATAAGAAAATGGAAAATGGCCGAGCACGGTGGCTCATGCCAGTAATCCTAGTACTTTGAGAGGTCGAGACAGGCAAATTGCCTGAGCTCAGGATTTTGAGACCAGCCTGGGCAAGATGGTGAAACCCCGTCTCTACTAAAAATACAGAAAGTCAGCTGGGTGTGTTGGGGGGCACCTGTAATCCCAGCTACTCAGGAGGCTGAGGCATGAGAATTACATGAACCCGTGAAGCAGAGGTTGCAGTGAGCCAAGATCACACCACTGCACATCCAGCCTGGACAACAAAGCAAAACTCTGTCTCAAAAAAAAAAGAAAAAGAAAATGAAAAACAAGACATATTTTACCATTACTGATTTTGTTTTTTCTCCGACACTCTTTACGTAGATCTGAGTTTCTGACCTATAACATACTTCTTCTACCCGAAAAACACTTTTAAAATTTCTTACAGAGAAGATCTCCTAGAGATGGATTCCCTCAATTTTTGTTTGGCTGAGAAAACCTTTACTTCTCTTTCACTTTTGACGATTATTTTGCTGGATACAGAATTTCATGTTGGTGGTTTATTTCTTTCAACACTTTAAATACTTCACCCTTGGCCCTGTGTGTGGCGGCTCACGCCTGTAATCCCAGCACTTTGGGAGGCCGAGGCTGGCAGACCACCTGAGGTCAGGAGTTTGAGACCAGCCTGGCCAACGTGGTGAAACCCCATCTCTACTAAAAATACAAAAATTAGCCCGGTGTGGTGGCAGGCACCTGTAATTCCAGCTACTCGGGAGGCTGGGACAGGAGAATCGCTTGAACCTGTGAGGCAGAGGTTGCAGTGAGCCGAGATCACACCACTGCACTCCAGCCTGGGTGGCAGAGGAAGACTCCATTTCAAATAACTAAATAAATAGGCTGGGCACTGTGGCACATGCCTGTAATCCCAGAACTTTGGGAGGCTGAGGCGGGCGGATGACCTGAGGTCAGGAGTTCAAGACCAGCCTGGCTAACATGGTGAAACCCTGTCTCTACTAAAAATACACACACACACACACACACACACACACACACACACGTAGCCAGGCTTGGTGGTACATGCCTATAATCCCAGCTACGCAGGGGGCTGAGACAGGAGAATTGCTTGAACCCAGGAGGTGGATGTTGCAGTGAGCCGAGATCACACCACTGCACTCCAGCCTGGGTGACAGAGCCACACTCCATCTCAAATAAATAAATAAATAGGCCGGGCACTGTGGCACACGCCTGTAACCCCAGAACTTTGGGAGGCTGAGATGGGCAGATCACCTGAGGTCAGGGGTTCGAGACCGGCCTGGCTAACATGGTGAAATGCTGTCTCTTCAAAAACAAAAATATAGCCGGGCTTGGTGGTGCACACCTATAATCCCAGCTACTCGGGGGCCTGAGACAAGAGAATCACTTGAACACAGGAGGCAGAGGTTGCAATGAACCAAGATCACACCACTGCACTCCAGCCTGGGCAAGAGTGAGATTCCGTCTCAAAAAATAAAGGCCGGGCACAGTGGCTCACGCCTGTAATCCCAACACTTTGGGAGGCCAAGGCCGGCGGATCACGAGGCCAGGAGATCGAGACCATCCTGGCTAACATGGTGAAACCCTGTCTTTACTAAAAATACAAAAAATTAGCTGGACATGGTAGTGGGCGCCTGTAGTCCCGGCTACTTGGGAGGCTGAGGCAGGAGAGTTGCTTGAACCCGGGAGGTGGAGGTTGCAGTGAGCTGAGATCGCACCACTGCGCTCCAGCCTGGGTGACAGAGCAAGACTCCATCTTAAAAAATAAATAAATAAATAAATAAATAAATAAATACTTCACCTTACTCTTTTATTCCTTGGTGGCTCTGATGGAAAGTCCACTGAATTCTTATTCTCCATAGGAAAGGCATTTTTGTACTGCCCCCTGTGCCCAAGGACCTTTCAAGATCTCTCTGTCTTTGGCTTTCTGCAGCTGGAATATGATATGCCTAAATGTAGATTTTAGGTATTTATCTCATCTGATATGTCCTGAAGTTTCTGCAACTGCAGTATGTCTTTCATTAAATTTGGAAAATTACTGACCACTGTTAGTTCAAGTATTTCTTGATCCATTCTCTCTGTCTTCTCTTTGGGTTTTCTCATTTTGCATATATGCATCCTCAGAAGCTGTCCCAGTTTTGTGATTTCTGTTCTATTTTTTCAATATTTTTTCTCTTTCCATTTCAATTTGGAAACTTTCTATTAACCTGCCTTTGAGATTACTGATTATTATTATTATTTTTTTAAGGCAATGTCTTGCCCTGTTGCCCTGGATGGACGGCAGTACCATGATCTCAGCTCACTGCAGCCTCTGCCTCCCTAGTTCAAGCAATCCTCCCACCTCAGCCTCCCAAGTAGCTGAGACCACAGGCATGAGCCACCATGCCCAGCTAATTTTTGTATTTTTTGTACAGACGGGGTTTTGCCATGTTGCCCAGGCTTGTCTTGAACTCCTGAGCTCAAGCAATCCACCTGCCTTGGCCTCCCAAAGTGCTGGGATTACAAGTATGAGCCACTGCACTCAGCCTAGCTTCCTGATTGTTTCATTAGTCATGTTCAGCTACTGATGAGACTTTCAAATGCATCCTTCATTTCTATTACTATGTTTTGTTTTGTTTTTTTTTAATTTCTAACATTTTCTTTGGATCCTTTCTTAGATTTTCCGTCTCTCTTAGCACATTGACCATCTGTTCTTGCATGTTGTCCACTTTTTCCATTAGAGCTCTTAACATAGTGAACATAGTTACTTTATATGCCTTGTTTGATAACTCCAAAATCTGTCATATCTGAGTCTGGTTTGGATGCTTGCTTTGTCTCTTCAGGCTGTGTTTTTTCTCTTGCCTCTTAGCATGTTTCATAATTTCTTGTTAAAAGCTGGGCATGACGTATAGTGTAACAGGAACTGGGGTAAAATAGGCCTCAATAGTAAACTGGGGTAAAATAGCCCTAAAGTAGTGTGGGGTTTTATGTTAAACTGGGTAGGAGTTTATCTTTGCTTAAGGTTTGCCACAGCTATAGGTGCCAGAGCGTCAATCTTCTCTAGAATCATTATTTTAGACTCCCATGCTACCTTTAGATTTCCCTAAAAATTTATCCTCAGGTAAAATCTGTGTCTTCCAGCTTTTTTTCTTCACCTTTAATACACTGTTATTATACCAGAGCCTTGCTGATGTGGTGAAAAAGTATCAGACAGGGGGAGCATTCTATAATTACATGATTAAATCTTAGTCTTTTAGTGGCCATGTATCCCCAGACTGTGACCTTCACAATGTATTTCTTAGAATCCTATCCTCTCACTCCTCCAAGGGCCTTAGTTTGGGGAAGTTCTGTTTCCTCATGTGAGAGAAGTTTCTGGTGAAGTCTTTTCCCCTGAAGGGTAGACCTTCATAATGAAGAATGCACTGGGCATATTTTACAATGGTCACTCCTCCCCTCCCCTGCCAGAGCCATGAGAGACTCTTGTTTCTGCACTAAGAACCTAGTAGAGTCCGTGGAGGTGAGTTTGTGTAGAGAGCTGCTAAGCCTATGGCCTCCAGGAGTTTCACTCTCTGGAGCTCATCTACGTTAAATCTACAACAATTTGTTACAATTACCATTTATGTGTTCCTAGCACTTTATGGCTGCAGTAGGGTCTGCTCCAGTATACAGATCAGGCTATGACTCTCTGGATTCTCTTTTCTCTCTAGATTTTGCACTAGGGTGTTTGCCCTGCAACACCAGTTCTCTGATGAGTCCAAGAAAAGTCAATGGTTTTTAGTTCATTCTGCTTTTGTCTGTTTAAAGGATGGGAGATAACCTCTGAGGTTTTCACATGTTGAAACTGAAACCCAAAGTTTAGTAACATTTTTGTTGTTAAGTAAAACAGAAGTGCATCTTAAAACATGATACAAAATATAATCTACGTATACATGTGTGTGTCTAGTGGAAAACATACCAAAATAGTGAGAAGTGACAGCGTGCTGGCAGACCTTGCAGCCCTCGCTCGCTCTCGGTGCCTCCTCGGCCTCAGCGCCCACTCTGGCCACGCTTGAGGAGCCCTTCAGCCCGCTGCTGCACTGTGGGAGCCCCTTTCTGGGCTAGCCGAGGCCAGAGCCGGCTACCTCAGCTTGCAGGGAGGTATGGAGGGAGAGGCGTGGGTGGGAACAGCGGCTGAGCGCGGCGCTTGCGGGCCAGCGCGAGTTCCGGGTGGGCGTGGGCTCGGCGGGCGCGCACTCGGATTGGCCGGCCGGCACCGCCAGCCCCAGGCAGTGAGGGGCTTAGCACCCGGGCCAGCAGCTGTGGAGGGTGCGCCGGGTCCCCCAGCAGTGCTGGCCTGCCGGAGCTGCACTCGAACTCTCCCCAGGCCTCAGCTGCGTCCCGGGGGAAGGGCTCGGGACGCGCAGCCCGCCATGCCTGAGCCTGCCCTGCGCCGTCAGCTCCTGCGCGGCTGGAACCTCCTCTATGAGCGCCAGCCGCTGGCTCCCAACCACTGCCCATGGGCTGAGGAGTGTGGGCGCACCGCAGGGGACTGGCAGGCAGCTCCACCTGCAGACGTGGTGCAGGATCCACTAGGTGAAGCCAGCTGGGCTCCTGAGTCTAGTGGGGACTTGGAGAACCTTTATGTCTAGCCAAGGGATTGTAGATGCACCCGTCAGCACTCTGTGTCTAGCTCAAGGTTTGTGAATGCGCCAATCAGCACCCTGTGTCCAGCTAATCTGGTGGGGACTTGGAGAACCTTTATGTCTAGCTAAGGGATTGTAGATGCACCAATCAGCACTCTGTGTCTAGCTCAAGGTTTGTAAACATACCAATCAGCACTCTGTATCTAGCTCAAGGTTTGTAAACACACCAATCAGCACCCTGTGTCTACCTCAAGGTTTGTAAGTACACCAATCGGCACCCTGTGTCTAGCTAATCTGGTGGGGACTTGGAGAGCTTTTGAGTCTAGCTCAGGGGTTGTAAACGCACCAATCAGCACCCTGCCAAAACGGACCAATCAGCCTCTGTAAAACAGACCAATCAGCTTGCTGTAAAATGGACCAATCAGCAGGATGTGGGTGGGACCACATAAGGGAATAAAAGCAGGCTGCCAGAGCTAGCAGTGGCAACCTGCTCAGTTTCTCTCTGCAGTGTGGAAGGTTTGTTCTTTTGCTGTTTGCGGTAAATCTTGCTGCTGCTCACTGTTTTGGTTTGCATTCCCTTTATGAGCTGTGACACTCACCGCAAAGGTCTGCAGTTTCACTCCTGAGGCCAGTGCGACCACGAACCCACAGGGAGGAATGAACAACTCCCGACAGGAGGAATGAACAATTCCAGACGCGCGCCGCCTTAAGAGCTGTAACACTCACCACGAAAGTCTGCAGCTTCACTCCTGAAGCTAGCAAGACCACGAACCCACTAGAAGGAAAAAACTCTGAACGCGTCTGAACATCAGAAGGAGAAAACTTCGGACACACCGTCTTTAAGAACTGGAACACTTATACCATGAGGGTCTGCGGCTTCATTCTTGAGGTTAGTGAAATCAGGAACCCACCAATTCCGGACACAATATTAGTAGTTCTTATTCAGGGTATTGAAATGGAAGGTTATTTTTATTTTCATCTACTACTTTCATTTTGACTTCTAAACGTTTTACAATGAACAGTATCATTTTGAAAAGATATTATTTTAATCTTACTTTGAAATATTTCAAATTTATGACATGCGTAAATATTAAACACCTACTTTTTTTTTATTAATATATTTTGAGACAGAGTCTCATTCTGTCGCCCAGGCTGGAGTGCAGTGGTGTGATCTTGGCTCACTGCAACCTCTGCCTCCCAGGTTCAAGTGATTCTCCTGCCTCAGCCTCCCGAGTAGCTGGGATTACAGGCACATGCCACTGTGCCCAGCTAATTTTTGTATTTTTAGTACAGATGGGGTTTCACCATGTTGCCTAGGCTGGTCTTGAACTCGTGACCTCTGGTGGTTCACCCATCTCAGCCTCCCAAAGTGCTGGGATTACAGTAGTGAGCCTTTGCACCTGGCCTAAGTCTCCTTCTTTAGAGTAACCATTGTCCTCATATTTATTCTTGCACTTCCTGATCAAATTTTGTATCTTTAGTTGATATGCACGTAATATGGTTTAGATGTCCTCCCCAAATCTCATGTTAAAACATGATTCTCACTGTTGGAGGGGGGCCTTATGGGAGGCGTTGGGGTAATGGGGCTGGATCCCTATTAATGCCTTGAAGCCCTCCCGAGAGTACTGAGTTCATATGAGATCTAATGTTAAAAAGTCTGGGATTCCCCCCATCTCTCTCTCGTTCTCTTTCCTGCCATATGGTATGCCAGTTCCCTGTTTGCCTACCACCATGATTAAAAGCTTCTTGAGGCCTTACCAGAAGCAGATGCTGGTGCAGTACTTCTTGTACAGTCTGCAGAACCATGAACCAAATAAACCTCTTTTTTTTTACAAATTGCCAAGTCTCAGGCATTTCTTTATAGCAATGCAAACTGGACCAACACAGAAAATATATAAAGTTTACATATTTTAAAAATTTACAAAAATGTCATTTACTGTATATATCATTCTGTAGTTTGCATATTCGAGTTGAAGATATATATACCTGGAGCCTAGAATTTCCCTTTCACATAAATGTCCTAGAGATCTTTCCTCATGTGTGCATACTATAATAAAACGTACTTTAAAATAAAATGTATATTTGCATTATTTTGTCAGAACAAAAAAACTGAAAACCATTAGAGAGTGGATAATAAATGTGAGAGCATTCATGCAAATGAATACTAGAAAAATTGCAAATAAATTATATCTACATGCTATCACTATAAACAAACTTCATAACATTGAGTAAAATAATTGTAAAAATTTGAATAAAAATAACATTCACCCCTAACCCTTGTTTTTAAAATAATAGCAGTATACTCTAATAATTTAACAGCTATCTGTGTGTCCTTTCTACTTCATGGTTTCCATCATCCTCTGTTAGTTCATTTAAACTTACTATATCATCTAGTATTTGAGTTTCGTATGACTCACCCAGATTTTAATGATAATTTTCACTCAATTTTTTCCATCTTTAAGCACTTCTTGATTTTATCCTGAAGTAACTAATATCAAAGATGACAAACTGCAAAATTCTAGAGTGCCAACTTCTTCCCTCTTTCATTCTTCTTGTCATTGTAGTCTTGCTAAAAATGTTCTTTTGTCCTCATCATAACTTCAACTTCTTCATGTTTTCAACTTACTATTTCTCCATTCTATGAGATTTTGGAGGTTCTCATTTGCCTCTGTTCCTTGCCTTGATCTTAGGCTTAGCTATTTAATTGATGCTCTCCTGAACACCATAGATTCATGGATTCACTATTCTTTTTGCTTTTATAATTCTGGTGATTTTCAATTCTGAATAAGCCCCTCTATCCATTTCCTGTATTTGGCTACTGAGAACTTCTGGAAGAAGTTAAAAAATCAAGTACAGCATGAAAATCACGTATAGTTAAAAACTCACCAATTTCTAACACAGTTGGGTTTATAAGGCTTGGGTTGCTTGTAACTCTCCTATTTACTTGCTACAGACCTGCAGTAGTTTCTTACTACATACCTGCAGAGATTTCAAACTTTCTCTGGTCTCCTCAAATTATCAAAACTCTTTATTACCTTACTGGCTGAAAATAGCCTTGATATCCCATTGTCTTCAACTTGACTGAGAATATTTAAATTTGCTAGAGTGCCCTTTATCTTTCTCTTCTGTATTTCAATATAACTCTGTACCTCCAACTAGTGTTTCCTTTTCTCTCCTCTTGTAGAAGAAATATGACTCCCTCTTGTCAAAACTAACAGCTACTTATGTGCCTTAGTTTTGACATCCTACACATGACATCAATATTTTACACTTTTACCTTTTCTCTTATATTGTCTGCATCCCCCCCGCCCCCTTTTTTTTTTTTTTTTTTTGAGACGGAGTTTGGCTCTGTCGCCCAGGCTGGAGTGCAGCGGCGCGATCTCGGCTCACTGAGAGCTCCGACTCCCGTGTTCATGCCATTCTCCTGCCTCAGCCTCCCAGGTAGCTGGGACTACAGGCGCCCGCCACCGTGCCCGGCTAATTTATTTCTATTTTTAGTAGAGACGGGGTTTCACCGTGTTAGCCATGATAGTCTGGATCTCCTGACCTCGTGATCCACCTGCCTTGGCCTCCCAAAGTGCTGGGATTACAGGCGTGAGTCACCGCACCCGGCCTGCTTCCCCGTTTTCAAAGCCCCTTCTGTCCTGCTTACAAATATACTCAGATCTCACCTCTCCCAATAGCATTTTATATTTTCCTTGCTGCCCCCTTATGCTATCACCCAATCTTTCTTTTCATCTCCCTTTTACTCTTATTTGCCAAAATATTGATTTAAAATTTTAAAATTTAAAATTTGGTATTACATCACAGAAAATACCATGAAAGACTCCCACACTAAATTTGAATACATGGTGTTATCATATTTACCATAAAAATCTTAACAGAAATTAATAACTCATAGTGCAAAAGCCCCATTATCTAAACTCTTCCTTGTTTTCTCCCAAAAGTTATCACTCTCCTCAAGTACGTATTACAATTCCCATGCATTTTTTGCATTTTCATAAACACATATAAAGCCATATGGAATATAGATATTATTGTTGTGTCTTTAAAAAGTTCCAGGCTGGACGTGGCGGCTCACGTATGTAATCCCAGCACTTTGGGAGGCCGAGGGGGGCGGATTGCCTGAGGTCGGGAGTTCAACACCAGCCTGGCCAGCATGGTGAAACCCTGTCTCTACTAAAAATACAAAAATTAGCCGAGTGTGGTGGCAGGCGCCTGTAATCCCAGCTACTTAGGAAGCTGAGGCAGGAGAATTGCTTGAACCAGGGAAGGAAGTTACAGTGAGCCGAGATCATATCATTGCACTCTAGCCTGTGTGACAGACTGAGACTCCATCTCAAAAAAAAAAAAAAAAATTCCAGTGGGGTTGCATGTTGTACTAATTCTACTCCAAATTCAGTTTTTTATATGAATTCATATTAATATATGTAGTTCTGGCTTATTACTTTTAAATTTGTATAAAACTGCATTGTAGGAATAAACCACAGTTCATATTTGTCCTATTGAAGGATTTGAGTAGCTTCTTTTTCTACTATTATAAATAGTGCTGCTAACCTCTCTTGTCCATGTAGGAGAGTTAATTTGGGAAATGTATCTAGAAGTGAAGTCACTAGGCTGAAGAATATGGATAATTTTATTCAGAATTATAAAATGAACTTCAAAATAGTCTTTCAAATTTATATTAAATTACATCACTACTTGCTTCTACAAACTCTTACCAATACTTTGTGTTATTAGACTTAATTTGTTTTGCCATTCAGATGAGAATAAGTGTTATCTTGATTTCGTTTTTCATTGTATTGATTATTACTAGATCGAGCAGCTTTTTCTGTGTTTATTAGTCATTTGGTTGTTCTGTTCAATGAATTGTCTGTTTATATATTACTTATCCACGTTCTCTTTTTCTACCTTCTTATTGATTTTCCTTCATTCATTTGTTCATTCATTTAATCAACAAGTACTATTGAACACCCACTCTTTCTAGGCACTCTTTTATATGCTCAAAAAACATCAATGAACAACAGCAATGAAATATTGCCCTTGTGGAGCTCACTATCTTGCAAATTAAGAATATGAAAAATAAGTAAAATATATGGTGTTTTGCAAGATGATATGCAAAATAAAAAAATAAGGGCTGGGAGTGGTGGCTCATGCCTGTAATCCCAGCACTTTGGGAGGCCGAGGTGGGCAGATTACGAGGTCAGGATATTGAGAACATCCTGGCCAACACGGGGAAACCCTGTCTCTCTACTAAAAATGCAGAAAAAAAGTTAGCCGGGCGTGGTGGCACGCGCCTGTAGTCCCAGCTCCTAGGGAGGCTGAGGCAGGAGAATGGCATGAACCCAGGAGGCGGAGCTTGCAGTGAGCCGAGATCACGCCACTGCACTCCAGCCTGGGCGACAGAGCGAGACTCCGTCCCAAAAAAAAAAAAAAAAATAATAATAATAATAATAATAATAATAATAATAAACAAAAATAAGAGCACAGTAAGGAGAATGGTACAAGTTGTGTCATAAAACATTGTGGTGTCCGGGCTTGGTGGCTCACGCCTGCAATCCCAGCACTTTGGGAGGCTGAGGCAGGCGGATCACGAGATCAGGAGTTCGAGAACAGCCTGGCCGGCATGGTGAAAATCCATCTCTACTAAAAATACAAAAATTAGCTGGGCGTGGTGGTGCACACCTGTAATCCCAGTTCCTCAGGAGGGAGGCCGAGGCAGAATTGCTTGAACCCTGGAGGTGGAGGTTGCAGTGAGCCGAGACGCACCATTGCACTCCAGCCTGGACAACAGAGTGAGACTCCGTCTCAAAAAAAAAAAAAAAAAAAATTGTGGTCAGAGTAGTCTCATTAAGGGCAGATTTGATCAGACTTGAAATTGCCATGGGAATCAGCCAAGTAGTTTCTGGCAGTACAAAGCATTTCAGACAAAGGGAACAGCTAGAACCACGACCATGAAGTGGGATCATGCCTTTCGTGTCTTAAGAACAGCAAGAAGGCTAGTCTGTGGCTGCACCAGAAAAAGCAAGGGAGAAAGAAGTTGGAGCGAAGATCAGAGAGTCACTTCAGGCTTCTGAGCTGTGATCTGAATTAAAATTTTAAAAGATCACTGAGGCTCCTGTGAAAGATACACATAGAATAGAAGCAGGGATGGATATTTAGTTGCTTCCATGTCTTGGTTATTATGAATAATGCTGCAATGAACAGGGAGTACAGAAAGATCTGTACCTTTTGTAATTGACTCTGCCTTCAATTCCTTGGGACATATACCCAGATGTGCTATTGCTAGGTGATTTGGTATTTCTATTTTTAGTTTTTTCAGGAACATCTATGCTGGTTCCTATAATGGCTTTATGAATTTACACTCCACTAACAGTGTATAAGTGTTCCCTTTTCTCCACATCTTCAATATTTATCTTTTTTTGATAATAGCCATTCTAACAGGTATGAGGTGATAGCTCGTGTGGTTTTGATTTGCATTTCCCTGATAATTAGTGATTTTGAATAAAAATGAGTTACATATATCCAATGAAATATTATTCAACCAAAGGGAATTTTGCTATTTGTGACATTATGGATGAATCTAGAGGTCACTATGCTAGGTGAAATGAGACACAGAAGGATAAATACTACATGATACAACATATGTGATAAATTTAAAATAATCAAATTCATAGAAGCATATAGTGAAATGGTGGTTTCTACAGGATGAGGAGAGAGAAAAATGTGATGTTCATCAAAGGGTACAAAGTTTTGGTTATAGATGATAAATAAATCCTACAGATCTGTTGTACAACATAGTGAATATAGTTAACAGTACTGTATTGTATACTTGACATTTTTCTAAGAGAGTAGAACTCATGTTAAGCATGCTTATCACAAAAATTTGTAATCGTAACATATAATAGATTGGGAGGAAGCTTTTAACATGATGAATAGGTCTATGACACAGATAGTGGTGGTGGCTTCATGGGTGTACACTCATCTCCAGATTGACCAAGTTGTATACATTAATTATGCACAGATTGTTATATACCAAAAAATCAATTCTACCTCCACACACACACACACACACACACACACACACACACACAAATAGAAGCAGGGAAACTTGGTAGAAAGCTATTGTTATAATACTGGAAATATACATGATGAAGAGTGGTTAGATTCTGGCTGGGTGTGGTAGCTCAAGCCTGTAATTCCAGTATTTTTGGGAGGCTGAGGCGGGCAGATCACCTGAGGCCAGGAGTTTGAGACCAGCCTGGCAAACATGGTGAAATCCCGTCTCTACTTAAAAAAAAAAAAAAAAAAAAAAATTAGGCATGGTGGCACACACCTGTAATCCCAGCTACTCAGGAGGCTGAGGCACGAGGATTGCTTGAACCTGAGAGGTGGAGGTTGCAGTGAGCCGAGATTGTACCACTGCACTCCAGCCTGGACGACAGAGCAAGACTGTTTCAAAAACAAATAAAAAAAGAAGGAGAAGAAATAAATAGAATGGAGAAAAAGAAAAAGTTAACCTTTTGTTTACTTTAAAATGAGTATTTCTAACTTTTATTATTAAGGAGTTTGCTGTAAGTTTTTTGCTAGAAACCTTCATCATATTAGCAATGTTTTCTTAGATTCCCTGGATTCTTTTTTTTTTTTTAATCAAGAATGGACTTTAATTTTATCCAATTATTTTGTATCTTTTGGGATGACCATTTATTCCTTCCTCCTTTAACCTGTTAACATATTTAATTACATTAGTAGTTTTTTCTAATGTTAAACCATCCATGAATTCTTGAGGGAAACCTTTTCCGGTTCCAAAGCATTTTTAACACATTGCTTTATGTAGCATGCTAATATTTTAAATAAGATTTTTGCATGTAAAACTTTAATGAGATTGGCTGTAACTGTCTTATACTTTCCTTGGTTGGTTTGAGTATCAAGTTTATATTAGCTTTTAATAAAAGGTACAGAATATTACATCTTTTCATCTCATCTTGAACAGTGTGTAAAAGCCAAAGATATTATGTCATGAATGTTTTGGCTAAATTCACCTCTAAAATGATCAGGATCCCTTGTGGTCCATACTATCACTCACAGACTGTATATTTTTGCAGTGTACATGCTGAACCACTGCACTAGCTTGTAATTGGTCACTTACCATCCTCTGTTGCCTTTGATCTTTGCAAACTTGACACTGTATCATGTTCCTCTCTGAGTTTCTCATGGCCTAGAAGGTCCTGAGTGGTCTGACTCTGCCTGCTTTTCTGATCTCATCCACCACCATTCTCTTCCTAACCCAATATGTTTCTTTTTTCTTTTCTTTTTTTTTTTTTTTTTTGGGGGGGGGAGATGGAGTCTCGCCCTGTCACCTAGGCTGGAGTGCAATGGTGCAATCTCAACTCACTGCAACCTCTGCATCTCAGGTTCAAGCAATTCTCCTGCCCCAGCCTCCCGAGTAGCTGGGATTACAGGCACGTGCCACCATGCCCAGCAGATTTTTTGTATCTTTAGTAGAGATGGGGTTTCACCATGTTGGCCAGGCTGGTCTCAAACTCCTGAACTCGTGATCCGCCCACCTCAGCCTCCCAAAGTGCTGGGATTACAGGTGTGAGCCACCACGCCCAGCCAGTATGTTTTAAGAGTTGTGATCCTCATTCTGTTCTTCCAGCTCACCAAACTCAGTCCAATATCAGGGCCTTGCACTTTGCTCTTCTTTCTGCTTGAAATGCTCTTTCCTTAGATCTGAGTTTGGCAGACTTAATTGTCATTTATGTCTCGGTTCAAACATCAACTTTCAGAAAGGCTGTACCTGATTTCTGTATGTAAAAGATCAACTCCTCCTCCAGCCCCTCTCTATTCATTCCCTTGTTGTGGTCTTAGTGTTTTACAAGCATTAGCAATATCTAAACTTATTTTTTCTAACATATCAGTATCTGAACTTACAGCTTTTATCTTTTGTGTTTGTTTGTTTTAGTTCACTGTTTTTCTCTCCTCTATTAAAATGTAAGCTCCGTGAAGGTAAGGACTATTTCTCTTCTGTTTATTAAAATGTTTCTGGCCAGATGTGGTGGTGCACGCCTGTAATCCCAGCTGCTCAGGGGGCTGAGGCAGGAGAATCTCTTGAACCCAGGAGGTAGAGGCTTCAGTGAGCCGAGATCACCCCACTGCACTCCAGCCTGGGTGACAGAGCAAGACTCCGTCTTAAAAATAATAACAATAATAAAAAAAGTCTCCGAGTCCTAGAACAGTGTGAGCACCTAGTACACGAGCTCTCAAAAATATTTACTGAATGACGAAATTAGTGAATGGATGATAAGGCCAATCTCATCTTTCTCAAATATTAACTGCCATAGAATCCTAATTTTTGATATCCTCATCAATCATTCATTCGACATAAGTGTGTCAGACTCTGTCCAGGACACTAGATAAACAGTAGTGAACAAAACAGACTCTTTGCACTTTTTTGAGATTATACAATAGTGTTGACCAACAGTATATATGTAAGCACATAAATATTATGTCTTGTCATGTTCTGGTAAACCAGCTCTCTAAATAAAAGTCATGACTGGTAGTATTGCCAGTCACCGTGGTGTAAATATTTGCAACATGGCCAATTTCAAGTTTTAATGTTTTAAAAAATCACGTGGCAAATTTTTGAGAAATTTAGTAATTGAATTCTATGAGCAGGTATGGCTATGTCATATAGTATTCAGTGCTATGGAGAAATATAAAGCAGGGGTGGATAAAGTGTGAAGAAACTTTTGAGGAAACCATGTTAGTTTACAAATGACATGTGAGCAGAGACCTGAAGGAACTGAGACATCAATTTTGTGAGTATCTTGAAGAAAAGAATTTAAGACAGAGGGAAGGCTGGGTGCGGTGGCTCACGCCTGTAATCCCAGCACTTTGGGAGGTTAAGGCGGGTGGATCACGAGGTCAGGAGTTCGAGACCAGCCTGACCAACATGGTGAAACCCCATCTCTACTAAAAATACAAAAATTAGCCTGGTGTGGTGGCAGGCACCTGTAATCCCAGCTACTCAGGAGGCTGAGGCAGGAGAATTGCTTGAACCCAGGAGGCGGAGGTTGCAGTGAGCCGCAATTACACCATTGCACTCCAGCCTGGCGACAGAGTGAGACCCCGTCTCAAAAAAAAAAAAAAAAAAGAAAAGAAAAAAAAACAGACAAAAGGAAACAAAAATGCAAAGGCCTGAGGTAGGAGCATGCCTAGAACAAGAAGAATGGTGTCGTTATGGCAGAGTGAGTAAGTGGGGAGGAGAGATGAGGTTAAATGAGATCGGAGGGCCTAGTAACCCCTTTCAAGAACTGTCACTTTTACTCTGAATGAGATGGAGCACCTATGCATTGGGGCAAAGGAATAACAAGCTTGATAATTATAGTCAGCCTAACACAATAACTGTTGTCATGTTCTGACTCCGAAATTAATAAACGTAATGTATAGTATAGAAATCCTACTGAAGTCCTTACGAACGCAAGTGCAAAATCTTTTTATAAGCCTACAGTGGGATTTTTCCTTTATAAATGTCAGTTACAGATGTATGAGCAGCAAATGTCTTTGTGGATAACTTAAAGTCCTTGTTTGAAATTCCACCAATCACTCGCATACCTGGCAAACACAAATGTTTGTCTGGCAGTTGCTGGTCTGTACTTATGGTAAACATCATTCCAGGATGTTGTACTATAAATTTCCTTTGGGGATGATTTTATGAGACCCATTTTGGTTTTTAAGGGGACATCCCTGCACAGGTTTAATAATAGCATAAGAGATATTCACAGATTTTTATAAAAAACTGATTTTTAATGTTAAGACTAGTTTTAATATAAGTGATTTTTGTGCTAATAGCTTTTCAAAGTGCCACTTAACTGCATATTATAGCTAAAGAAGAGTGTGGGTAACATTGCAAGAAATAACTCTACATTCCGTCTCCATAAAACTCTGGTCTTGGTTTGTGAATTGCACTAATGAGGTCTATATATGAGATAGTTAATACCCACTTGGCCTTCTTACAAATGCATGCCCTGACAAGAAGAGGGCTCTATAAGAGAATGTGAATGATTCTACAAAAACCCGTAAGAAGCATCAGACAAAAAGAGAAAGATATAAAACAGGTGCCTCTTATTAAGCACTTAGTATTTGCCCAGCACAATGCTAATCACTTTGTTTACATTAGCTCCATAATTTCCTTCGAGCTAAGTACTGTTTATAGATCAGGTTCAAAGAATTTAAGTGTCATACAAAGTCACATGAGTGGTAAGTGGCAATGGTAGGACTTGACTCTGCAGTCTGTGCTCCTTCACGCCTGCCATGCGTTGCTGCCTACAGGTAGAGTCAGATGTAACTTTACCATATATAAGAGTAGCACACGGCTGGGCGTGGTGGGTCACGCCTGTAATCCCAGCACTTTAGGAGGCCAAGATGGGGAGATCACCTGAGGTCAGGAGTTTGAGACCAGCCTGGCCAACATAGTGAAACCCTGTCTCTACTAAAAATACAAAAATTAGCCAGGCGTGGTGGTGGACATCTGTAATCCCAGCTACTGGGGAGGCTGAGAAAGGGGAATCACTTGTACCTGGGAGGCGGAGGTTGCAGAGATTGCAGTGAGCCAAAATCGCGCCACTGCACTCCAGCCTGGGTGGCAGAGGGAGACTCGATCTCAACAACAACAAAAAAAAAAGTAGCACACATTACCCTAAAGATGTTTCCCATTTAAAATCTTACAAATTATCCCACAAGTCCCTAGGGATTACGACAGCTATACGCACACAGAAAAATTTTACTTTTCTACCCATCATGAACCACTTAAAGTTCCTAAGTCAGCATTTCCCAAAAGATATTCAATGGACCACTAATCAATTACATGTACTTTTTATGGTGTACTGTGGCCAGATTTGTATGGGATATATTGGGTAAACAAAGTTATATAGATTGTTGTTATTTATTTATTTGGTTTTTAGGACCTCTTAGGTTCTTTAATAATGTTCTTTGAAAATTGCTAAGAGATCAGATAATTCACTTTATTTCCTAAACATATTTTATTGAAGAACATTTTCTTTCAATACAGTAACAAGGGGAATGCTTTGCAAGAGCACTTTTTGGAGAGCTTCCTCTCACTTATCCTGAAGTTCAGGTTTATAACACAAATAGAAGCATCGTCTCTTCAGGAGAGTGCCCATCCAAGAGTTCAGTATGATTTCGGAAGAGGATGAATCAGAGCCACACGCTTATTTATTTCTGTTTTAAAGACTCTGGCACTAGTTCAACTTCTGACAGAGATGTGTAGATCTCAATAAAATCAAAGAATGAAATTGTATTCCTTGAAGATAACTCTTATCACGTTCTTAGACACCACGGGGTTTTTATTTATTTATTTTTTGGAATGGGTAAGATAGTGAACATCACCCCAAAGAAGCAAGCTTAGTTATAAACACTGACTAGAGGCAAGAGCTGGATCCTTCCATGTCCATGTGGCATTTTTCTCACTCACAGAACGTGTCTACCTATCTGTGTGTATGCATGTGTGTGCACACATGTGTGTGCGTTCCTTGCAAACACCTTTGGGGAAATTTTTGGTCTTATCAAAATAACATTACTATCAGAATTTAGTCATCTAATCAGGCTGAATTCCTCAGTAGACGTAGCAAATTGCTCCCCACAACCAGAAAAATTAAGGGAGGAGATCCTCTAACTGACAGAAATCCTCTAACTGCCTCATTGGACATGTTCCTTTTGCCTTTGAATAAACTATGCTCTGAACTGTAGATCAGAATATCAAATTCATCACGTACTAAATGAGGAAGGCATCATTATATAGAATAGCATGGGCTTCTATGTCCATGAGGGCTGAATCCAATCATAGCTCTATCCACTAACTCCCAGGCTGTGTGGCTTATTTACTTATTTATTCATTCACTTATTCATTCCAATCATGCATTTATTAAGCAAATTCTTATGGATTGCCTTTTATATTTCGAAACCTGTTCTCATCACAAGTTCACAGTGCAAGGCAGATAAGCCTTTGAGCCTCACTTTCTTCATCTATAAATTGGGAATTTATGGGACTGGTAATGATAATTAAATGAAATTATGTATATAAAGTATCTAGTGTAGTGCCTGGTGCACAAGAGGGGCTTAATAAATCCTAGTGATTGTTAAACCAAGGGTGATAATAATACTTCCTGATTTCTAACCAGCTGAACTGAACAGTTCACACAAGTATATTCCTTTTCATGGGAGGGGAAAAAAGCAGCTGCTTATATTGTGGGGTTTTTTTTTTTTTCTGTTAAATAGCTGTAACTTCCAAAGTATTTACTCCTTGCAGTCTAGATAATAAAGGCTGTTTTATAGGAAAGATACTATCTTAGGGGAATACCATTTTAAGTGACATTACCTATGAATGCTTTAATTCATATTGGTTTATCAGATTAGTTTACAAATTGCCTGGTAGGTCCCTAAGAAAGTGGGAAGCTGGAAGGCACATTACATGAGAAAAGACCAAAAAAGATCTTTGGACAAGGGGCTAACGGGAGAGCTGCAATATTAGGAGACTCTCAGAAGCAAGGGAATGGAAGTTCTAAGACAGAAAGGAGAAAGAGGATAGATATTTACCAAAATTTTGCAAAGTTCTCTTCAGATGAAAACTGCAGTTTTTATCATTGCCTATGAGAACTTACATGAGCCAAAAACCCATGTATCGCTCTTTTGCCTCATCTTATACTACTCTCTCTTTGTTAATTACACTTTGGTCTCACAGAGCTTCTTTCTGGCCATTAACTCCCAGCATTTCCCTGGTCTCAGTTCCACGGAACTGAGGTTTTTTAATTTGCCAAGGTTCTTCTATTTGTAATAGAAGGTTCTTCTATTTGTAATTCTATGTGTAATGGTTCCTTCCACATTTTCCACCATTTTGTAATGGTAATGGTTGGCTCTAAGGTCTCAGCTCACTGAAGAGGTCTTTTCTGACCACCACACTTAAGAAAGCCTCAGATAGGCCAGGCACAGTGGCTCACACCTGTAATCCCAGCCCTCTGGGAGGCTGAGGTGGGCGGATCACAAGATCAGGAGTTCAAGACCATCCTGACCAACATGGTGAAATCCTGTCTCTACTAAAGATTAGCTGGGTGTGGTGGCACGTGCCTGTAATCCCAGCTACTCAGGAGGCTGAGGCAGGAGAATCTTTTGAACCTGGGAGGTGGAGGTTGCAGTGAGCTGAGATTGCCACTGCACTCCAGCTTGGGCAACAAAGCAAGACTCCCGGTCAAAAAAGAAGAAAAAAAAAAAAAGAAAGCCTCAGATAACCTCCAATGTATCATTCTATTATTGTTATTACATTTACCATAATCTACAAACTTCTTTTTAAGCTTAATTAGGCTTTTTTTTTTCGTTTTTCTTTTCTTTTTTCTTTTTTTAGATGAAGTCTCGCTCTGTTGCCCAGGCTGGAGTGCAATGGTGTGATCTGGGCTCACTGCAACCTCCACCTCCCGGGTTCAAGCCATTCTCCTGCTTCAACCTCCCAGGTAGCTGGAATTACAGGCATGTGCCACCACGTCCAGCTAATTTTTGTATTTTTAGTAGAGATGGGGTGTCACCATATTGGTCAGGCTGGTCTTGAACTCCTGACCTCATGATCCACCCACCTCGGCCTCCCAAAGTGCTGGGATTACAGGCGTGAGCCACTGTGCCCAGCCTGAATTAGGTTTTTAATTATCTGATTCCACTCTGGTTTTCAGAATATAAGGTCTAGATACACAAGGTGTTTGTCTTTTTTGTTGCTGTATCTCTAGCACTGGGAATTATGACTGCCATCTAGTAGAGTCTCAGTAAAAAATTGTTGAATGAATAAATGATTTAATACCAGCATAAATAAAATCCTTCAAAGGTATGTTGAGAAATGGCAAGGAATAACTTCACCAAATTGACAATTTTGCCTAGGGCCAAAGCTGAATGTAACATTAATAATGTTCATTGATATTTTCTGGACTAATTTTGACATCTGAAATGAAAGAATTATTCCTTCATGCATGCAATTCAGGGAAATCAGTTATTATTCTAATCAATGTCTTGCTACTTTGAGCAATGGTTATTTTAAATCACCATAAAGGTGTGTTTGACCACGTGTCTTGAGAAGAATTTTCCATCTTTACATTTCTATTTAGTATAGGGGAGAGGTGACTTTTGAATATGTGTATGGAGGATTAATAATTATGTAGATATTTGTTACATAATAACATCATCAGAAAGAACAATAACAGCTTTTATTTTAATGGATGCTAGGCAAAATATCATTACCTTTATTCTCCCCTCAAAATAAATAACCAAATAATTACTTATCTTGTTTCATCTTCTTAGTGACAAGTTTCATTAGTTTAAGACATTTTTAAAATCTCACAATTTCCATATTTGCTATCATATTACTTCTAAGGATGTCAAACTCTTGCTAACCCACAAATAAGAGACTCAATGCCTGTATGTCAAACACAAGATTTCTTCCAGAGCTCAAAAACGTCTTGTGCTACAAACAGAATGGCAATTACTGATGCAAAAAACGTATAGCTCCCTCAAGGCTTTCAGAAATCTTGATTATTTAATCAGTGTTCTTGATTTGTAAGGCTAGGTAGTTGATGGCTCCCAAAATGTGTCACATTGGACATTAGCCAGATGGAATGCCAGTTTTCATTTGAGATTAAAGAGGTAAAATCCAACAAGAAAGGTTTTCCACCACCTCGGACTATAGCTCAACTTATATCAGATGACAAATAAAACTTGGCAGTCTGCTTTGCCCATGATTTTAAAACAGATACTTCATTGAACTGTCAGTTACCAAATGAGCTGATTAACTCTGATGTTGATTAAAGTTTTATTCTATGTTTTTGTTACTGACAAGTCTCTCTTTTCTTTTTGGGGGGAATCTAGTTCTTTCCATTTAATTCTCACCGCTTGTTTAAGGTTTCATTATGCCATTTAGGTTTTGATATATACACTTACTGGTGCTATTTTCAAGGCTTTTCTTTTATATACTTGCAAAATTAATGTACAATATGCATTACTTATCAGGAACCTAAACCACATGCATTTCTTTCATAGTTATACATAGGAACATCATAGTGATGTTTTACTTAACTGCTTGCAGATATGCCTCTTTCTCTTTTTTAGTTGTTTCATTTTATCTGTACAGAGTTTTGGTTTTTAGAATGTTGGGGCCCAATTTATACCAACAGCATACTTGAGATTGACAACTCTACTAAAAAATAGGTGATAGCTACAAGGAAAGGGACAGGACAGCAGCAAGTAGTCAGACAAAAAGTGTTTATTAATATCAACACTAAGAAACTAAAGGGGCCGGGAACGGTGGCTCACACCTGTAATCCCAGCACTTTGGGAGGCCGAGGTGGGAGGATCACTTGAGGTCATGAGTTCAAGACCAGCCTGGCCAACATGGCAAAACCCTGTCTCTACTAAAAATACAAAAAAATTAGCCTGGCATGGTGGCACATGCCTATAATCCCAGCTACTTGGGAGGCTGAGGCATGAGAATTGCTTGAACCCAGGAAGTGGAGGTTGCAGTGAGCTGAGATGGTGCCACTGCACTACAGCCTGGGTGACAGTAAGACTCTGTCTCAAAAAAAAAAAAAAAAAAAAGAGAAAGAAAGTAAGTAAAGGAAGGCCTGGGAGTCTAGAGTCCAAGAGTTCAGGAAGAAGTAGTCAGTTCAAATGTCCAGGCTGGAGAGAAGCCAACATTCCAGGCCTGGAGGTGCATTAAATAAAGGACACCACTGACCAGGTCACTAGGCTGCGCCTGACCAACAGACAGAATTATATTTGTTGGGAGTATCATTTCATATGACACTTTCCCTTTCTTCGGCTTCAATCCTATGAAACTTCTTTCAATTTTCTTACCAGACCTTACCCTTTCTCATTTTGGGGCTTGGATAATAAGTTCCCTCGCTCTATGCCACTCTTTCCTGTTTCTCTCCCCTTCCCCCAATATTTCCCTGGCTATAAGTTTCTTCCCTCCCAATTTTCAGTTGCATATCACCTCTAGCAGGAAGACTTTGCTGACTACATATGTGCATGTATGTGGAGCCCTAGGATTCTGTTATCCTGTATAATAGGTGCTATGTACCTTGAAGGTAAGGATTGTATTGATCCTCATCCATTCCTGTATCTCTAGCATCCAGCATAGCACCATCCAATTGCTTAATAAATACTTGTTGAAGTGAAAAAGCATTGCCTATGGGTGTGGGTGGCTATGGGCACTTGACTATAAGCAGGAAATTGATTGCAGCCTGTTGAAGAGCAAGCATTAAGATGGTAGAAAAACTGATATCCGGAGGGGCAGGGCTAAAGGAACTGAGGTGCTTGACAGTGATATAGGATGAGGGTCTAACTCCAAAGTACTCCATTCAGCAGTCCCCAGAATGTTGGTTTAGTTATTAAGAAAGCAGCTAATACTAATAATGCTTTCCAATCTCACTGCACTTCATACTCAAAGGATTTCTTGAGCTTTATAAACAGTGATTAATCATTCTTACCCCAGTGAGGGGGGTAAGAGTTATTATGCTCATGGTATGGAGAGGAAAACCAAGGCAGAGAGAGAGAGAGATTAAGTGGTTAACCCCAGGTCAGGCAGTGAGTCATGGAGAGCTGGCACTTAGACATGCAGTTTTAAACTTGCAGCTCTGGGCTTAGTCTATTGAGCACAGAAATGGAAGCTGGATGGCTTCCCTGACCCCCTAAAAGGGATGAGCAGCTCCCTTTTCCATGCTTTCTCATCTCCATTGGCCCCACCATTGCCTTTATCTTACTATCTGCCAGGTATTGTGCCTAGCGTTTTTCATATATTTTCATGGAATCCTGAAGAGAAAAGGAACTATCATTTTCTTTTTCTTTTCTTTCTTTCTTTTTTCTTTTTTCTTTTTTTGATGGAATCTTGCTCTGTCACCCAGGCTGAAGTGCAGTGGCGCGATCTCAGCTCACTGCAACCTTCACCTCTTGGGTTCAAGCGATTCTCCTGCCTCAGCCTCCCGAGTAGCTGGGACTACAGGCATGCACCACCACGCCCGGTAAATTTTTGTATTTTTATTAGAGACGGGGTTTTGCCATGCTGGCCAGGCTGGTCTCAAACTCCTGGCCTCAAGTGATCTGCCCACGTTGGCCTCCCAAAGTGCTGGGATTACAGGCATGAGCCACTGTGCCTGGCCTATTTCTACCATTTTCAAGATGAGAAAACCAAATCTCAAAAATATTAATTAACTGTTTAGTAGAAGACTTGGGATTCAGACCTGTAATTCTCATAGGTGAAAGCCCATGCTGTTTTACATCCTGTCACTTAAACATTTGTGTACATGATCGTGCATGATGGGTAGGTAGTATAATTCACAGAGGATAGCAGAGTACTAGGATATAATTGATCTTCGTCAAATATTTGTGAAAAAAATAAAGATCTAAAATCCCTCTGAAGATACTAGGTAGCTGATGCTGGAGTCTAACGTGTGAATGGCTCAAGGCCATAGAAGACAAGCTGACATGGAGTTCACGGCTATAATTGCGAGATGCGGACACCATGCGGGGATTCTCTGGGTCTTCTCCCATGAAGGGAGGCAGAGGTTTACTAGAGAGCCACCTTAACCATCCTTCACATTCCTTTAATCTCAGCAAGATGCAAGAATCTAGCTTTATCCTTTCTCATTTACAGGTATCTGAAAAGCAGATGAAGAGGTTAACAAACAGAATTCAATACAATTCTCCTTCAATTAGGGAAAATCTAATAACTACCTAAATATTCAATGAATGAATATTAATTCAAATTATCAATATTTTACAACTTTGCAGCCATTCAACATAGTGCATCAGAAGTGATCTTTCAACACATCCAGTACATGAATAAATGAAAAACGCAAGTTACAAAACATTACAGAGGTAAGTCTTATTTTGTAAAATGAAACATATATCAACACAAGAAACTCTGGAATAATATCTGTTACCAGATAGCAATGATGGTTATCTCTAGGAAGTAGGATTATGGGTGTCTTTATTTTATTGCTCTATATTTTCTGACTCTTTCGAAAAATCACGTATTGTTCTTATGATGAGAACCAAACTTAGTTTTAATTTTGAAAAAATAAAAATAGATGCCTCTTGAGAAAGAATGGATTTTGATCCACTGGAATCATAAACCAAGCACGAGCTGCCACCTGAAAATCTCAGCATTAAAATAAGCCATAGACTCCTGAACATACTCAAGCTTGCGTCTCCCTCTCCCTTCCTGACATAAGAAATCGAATGATTCATTCTGTTCCCCTCCACCTTACCCTGACATAGCAAAGATGGAATGTGCACTATTTCCAAATCAAAATAGGCACGGTGCAGCAAGAAGCACTTCCAAATGATGAAATTAGATTAGAAGTTAAGACAAAATATGTTTAACTGGCTTTTAAAGAAATTTGGTGGAACACATTACTATAAACAGTACATTTGGGCATCCAAACAAACTTTGCCCAGAGAAAATCAATTTTACTCCTCAAACAATGAGAAAAATTACTTTTGATTCGACATTAAATATTATTGTAAGTATTTTTAAGAAGCATTTCTATAATTCTGTGTAGAAATAGGAGTCAAAGGATGCCTTTGTTACCATGGTAACAGTCTCCCTTGGCAGAGCCAAGGATGAAGTAGCATACATTCGCCCTGCATATATTTGGCCAATCAATAAACAAAGGACTTAATCTGCATGCATCACATTAGGAAAGTGGTCAAGGTGTTGATGATTAGGAAAAGGGTGCAGAGGGGGTGTTTGAGAATTCTGGGTTCAATCATCCAGCCTAATTTTCAACTGAGTGTTGTTAACACTTTCTTCATTATGAAGATAAACTATTGCTGAAATGCCTGTAGATCCTTGAAAAATGGAAATCATCATTACAAAATTTTAACATGTCAGTGTGTATAAAGGTGATAAACTAGGGTAGGCGTATGAAGACAATGTGTGATACCACGAAAAAAAGGCACACACCTTGGAGCCCCAGAAATAATGATAATAATAACAGCTAATATTTCCTGAGCATTCACTATGCAGCAAACATAAGCTAAGTGCTTTATGTGAATTATTTCACTGAATCTTTCAAACAACCTCAAAAATTACTACTATGAGTTTTGATTACCATTTTGCATATGATGTGAGAACTATTATTACTCTAGTTTGCTGATAAGAAACTCACACTTAGATTCCAGTAAGTAGCCCAAGGTCTTCTGTCTTGGGAGTGTTGGAGGCAATGGTCAAACCCAAGTTGGTGGGCAGACCCAGTGTTGCAGTCAAACCCAAGCCTTGAGCTAAAGGGGAATGTTCTATTCACCACCTCATACTGCCAGCTTTGCCAGTAATCAACAAGGCGACTTGGTGAAAGCTATTTTACCCCTTTCAGCCCCAGACTCTTCATGAGCACCTAAAAGCTTATAGGAGGTTACGAGATAATGTATGTATACTCTTTTCTTCCTCTTGAAAGCTGTCAATTCCGCAGAACTTATTTTAGTTATTGTATTGACAGCTTTTAACTTATTTGGCATGAGAGAGAGCTAAGAATTATTAGTATGCTAAAATACCATTTTACTTTTGAATGCAACTTCCTTCCCCTTGAACATTTGAATAAAATTACCAACAAATAACATGCACACACGTGCACTTGTACACACACACCACCCCCCACCCATAAGTTTTTTCTCTTATTTTCTTACCCTTGTCACATGAAATGGCCACAAGACATAGGGCTTCGGGAATGTCAGCAGACGGAAATGCGATAAAGAAAACAGTCATCAGAAAACTAGCTCTGTGACTTTGGGGACATCTGTGAACATTAGTTTTTGGGCCTCAATTTCCTCTGCTGTAGCAGGAAAGGGTTGAAGGTTACTTCTTCCGAAGAACATTCCAGGGGTAACTATCCATGATATGACTGTGTCTGTGAACTGAGTGGCCTTGCTCATATGAGCCCTCTCTATGCCTTGTATTTATTTATTTATTTTGGATTTTTATAACCGGCTAAAGAAAATGAGTCCTTTTCAAACCCCCTGCACATGGCCTCCCTTCCAAGTGGCTTACTGCACCTCCCAGAATCATCTTCATAACTGAGGCTTCTACAACGTAGCCCTATGTAGAAAACTTGATAAAATTCTTTTTCCAGTTTTTTCAATGAAATGTTTTTCCCTCAATCATGTCATTATACAAATTATTACTCTGGGATAGAGACCATAAAACTGGGAATGGGACAGCAAATAAGTGCCCCAAATAAGTGCAAATAAGTGATCCAAATATCCCCCAATATTCTGAAACATCAACCGAGGTATCAATAAAAAGCAAAAACAGAGGCATTTTAGTAGATCAGTTATTGAGCAAAAGAATTATGGAAATGTTTCACTTGTCCACTCTTTATCATCAAATAAAATGTTTCTGTCACCTTTTTCTGGGTTCATTTTAAATGATTTCATAAGGCATTTTAATTAGCAACGTCTACTCAGAAAAGCAGTATTGAGCATTTGTGTTTTACTTGGTGCATTTCCTCAGGTAAAATCATAAATATAGTCCCTGAATTTCATGGCCACCTGACCTTCACATGAAGCTCATATTAAAGCCATCTATAGAGCATGTTTTCCTGAAAACTTGACAAGTGAGTACACACAACCTCTCTTTCTTTGGTCATGTGGAGATAGGAGTTTTGTACCATAAAAGGCATAGCCCAAAGTGTCAATTGTTTAGCTCCCTAAGAGGCAGGCCCATGGTCGTCTTAAATGCCAGCAGCAGGTTGAAGTCACCTGGAATGGTGTTTCAGAGAAATCCTCTTTAGTATAGGGAAGGCTTGTAGTCTGAGAAATCATTCCATGTTGGAATTGGGAATAAAGACAGTCCTCTCACCATCCTTCTAAAGTGGAATTTGCCAACTGCTGGCCCACAGGTTATCCCCAGAAGGGATTATATAGGCTGCAGTGGTAGCTGAATGGTGTTTTACATTTGAATTAATTGCCAATGTTTAAAAATCATTAGATTTCACTGCTTCTCTCAAAAAATCTGGCAACTCTCGAGCTGCGTTCCCACATGGCGACCATCTGCTGGGGCTGAGTCGGGGCTGCTTACACTCACAGGGGCGTGTAGTATCAAGTGCCCCCTCTCCCCACCACTCCCCGGTGTTTGCTGGTCTTTGCTCTTCAGTATGGCTCACCGTCACCATTTGAATAGTTCTTTACAGCTGGGACACTTCAACCAGGTTTACTTCACCCAGACTGATAAATACATAATAGTAAGCATGGCTTGGACACCAACCAATAGGAATTATTACAGGCCCTGCTTTTACAACCTAGAAGAGTTCCTGGGCTCCCTGCTACATTATCAACCCCTTGGTTGTAGGACTGTTCCCAGAGAGACTAGGAGATCACCCAGGGCACCTGGGGTAGTTTGGGGGTGCCTGGGGAGTTTGAGCCGGCAGATATCTTCCAACTGATGTGGGAGTGACTGTAGTTAGTGCTGAATACCAGCCTTGCCTTAGGCATTTAAATTTGTGATCCTAGCTATAAAGTTAAGTTCTCTGTCCTCAGCGGATATAAACGGACCAAGCTAGAGGGTACCACTCCCAAGGTGAAAACTGTTCCAAACCTTCTGCATTCAGTATTCCCTATTATTACAACTTCACCCAGGTTTTTTTTTTTTTTTAAGGCAGTTTCTCAGAGAAAATGTTAAATGGCACGTGAATGACTTCAAATAACATAAGTCCTATGAGCAGGGAAAAACATGCTTATTGATAGAGAATCTGGAGCAACACAGTCTTTATATTTCTGTCTTCCATTTGAATTTCATGCAGCATTTAATTCATGAATTGCCACACTTGATTATGTTTTAATTTAAAGTATTAAATGACTTTCTGTACATTATAACCGCAACCTTCAGAATCTCCTAAGAAGCTTCATACATAGTCCATATCGACATTTCTCAATATCTGCATTACTGATATTTTAGACCAGATACGCTTGTTTGTTTGTTTGTTTGTTTGGAGATGAAGTCTTACTCTGTCGCCAGGCTGGAGTGCAGTGGCTTGATCTCAGCTCACTGTAACCACTGCCTCCCAGGTTCAAGCGATTCCCCTGCCTCAGCCTCCCAAGTAGCTGGGATTACAGGCACGCACCGCCACGACCCGCTAATTTTTTGTATTTTAGTAGAGATGGGGTTTCACTGTGTTAGCCAGGATGGTCTCGATCTCCTGACCTTGTGATCCACCCGCCTCAGCCTCCCAAAGTGCTGGGATTACAGGTGTGACGGACCAGATACTTTTTTATCGGAGGTGAGCCGGGGCCGTCCTGTGCATTGTAACATATTTGCAGCATCCCTGGTCTCGACCTTGTTGATGCCAACAAGAATCCTCAGTTGTGACAACCAAAAATTGCGAAATGTCTCCTGGAAAGCAAATGATTCTCAAGGAAGAGCCACTGAATTATGTATCCCACAACTCAAAAGATTCATGTGGCCAGTGATGGTCCTGTTTACAGTACAAGTGTAATATCATAATGTATCAATAGGAACATAATGATGACTTATTTTTATATTACTACTATTAATAATAGCAATTTGACAATTTGTGACTTTGTCTAAACTGACCTTCTAATTCTCTTTTTTCTTTTGGGAAGATTTGAAAAAGGATAGTTTTAGATAGTCATTTGGTTTCTCCAGACTTTTTGTTTTTGTCTTTTGGGGGTGTAAGAGAAAGCACATACAGCTTTGCTTTATGTTCCCCATCTCATTAAAGTCCTAACTAACTTTTATATTTTGGGGAACATTTGGTATGATTGCAAGGTCTTTCCTCAAGAATACTTACTGTGACTGATTTTGAAAACACACATGTGCTTAATTAACTACTTTGTCTCCAAATACTAGACTAGAAAGAAGAATCAGAGAAGTTATGTTTTTTTTCCACAGCCAAAGGTTGCTTATAGCTTTAATCCTCACCATTTTCTATGAGTTCTTCAGAGCTAAGGATTCTTGTGCCCAATTTGCAGAGGCAGTTTGTGAAATAGTTTTTCTTACTCTGTTCGGGGTATTTTCCACAACATTACAATAAACTACTACTCAAATTGACAGGGAACATTGCTAAACTCTGAAAGTGCTTTTGAAACCAGAAAAAATGATTACATTAAGTCCAGTGTTGTTTTAATATTTAATAAAACCAGCATTCACCTAGTTAAGAGCTTTTATAGCTGTACTTGTCTCCCTTCTCCCATCACCTGCCTGTAATAAACACTGTAGAATCAGCCCCAGGAATGGCTTTGAAATCCTTTCCTCCTCCTCACCTACCCTTTAACATTTGCGTGGGCACTCATTTTGTCTCCCCTCATTTATTGCAGTGGCCTCCAATTAGAGTCTGGCTTTCTCAAATCGTTCACCATTTTCATGCCACAATTATGGTGTGTGAACCGAAATCTGACTTTATGTCTTTACCTAAAAACTTCCAATCATTTTCCATTGCTAACAAAAGTCAAATTCTACATGATATATACATATGTGTCATCCCCAATAAAGTTCCCAAGCATCTTTCCACCCACAGGTCCTGCCAGTTCCCACTATGCACCAATTCTTAAGCTCGCAGGCTACTGACAAAAGAGCCCACTCCATTCTTTCCCATTTTTGTGTCCCCTTGGTTTGTGACACCCTCTGCTATGCTACCTAGAAATGGTCTACTACTTCTGGCTGAGTGCAGTGGCTCTTGCCTGTAATCCCAGCACTTTGGGAGGCAGAGGCGGGCAGATACCTGTGACGAGGAGTTTGAGACCAGCCTGGGCAACATGGTGAAACCCTGTCTCTACTAAAAATCAGTCAGGTATGGTGGTGGGACACTGTAATCACAGCTACTTGGGAGGCTAGGGCAGGAGAATCACTTGACCCCAGAGGCAGAGGTTGCAGTGAGCTGAGATAGTGCCACTGCACTCCAGCCTGGGCGACAGAATGAGACACTGTCTAAAAAAAAAAAAAGAAAGAAAGAAAGAAGAAAAGAAAGAAAGAGAGAGAGAGAAAGAAAAGAAAGAAAGAAGAGAAAGAAAGAAAAGAAAGAAAGAAAGAAAGAAAGAAAGAGAAAGAAAGAAAAGGAAAGAAATAAATGTTCTACTACTTCTTCTAAACTCTTCTGCAGTATCCCCATTCCTCTATGTTCTACACTCTCCTGGGGAACTGAGCCTCTTCTTCCCAGCTTTTCTGAATCTTCTACAGTTGCATTTTATAATGTGGTCTTAGAACTATTGATTTTAACATCTGTCTCCTACACTAGACTGTGAGTCTCTACAAGACAAAGAACTGTGTGTGATTATTTTTTAATATGTATACCCTTCAATTGGTAAAGGTCTATCACATAGAAAGACAGTTTTTAAAATATTTATTTCATTTACTATAAAAAGGGTCTATCACATTGAATGTAGATATTTACTGAGTAAATGTCTTATTTGAAAACTTATAGTCTATCTAAATAGTTTATTCAACAAATATTCATTGAATGTTTTCAGTGCTGAAGCTCCTAGGTAATTAACATACATTCATAGATATAGAAAATAATGGTATCAATAAACTTCCATAAGAGTTTATAAATGAGAGAGATTTCTTTGAATTAGAGAGGTTACTTTTCAGTGAGTTTTTTAATTCAGGCAGACCTAAGTTAGATACTATTATATAAAATATACAACACTGCACAGTGCCTAGCACTTATAAAAAGCTAAATATAGTTTGGTTAACATTATTATTATTATTATTATTGATGAGAGGAAATATCTCAAATTGAAAACATCCACATAATGTGAGATAACAAAGAACTGCAATTTTAAAAACCTATCATCTCTAACCAAAATATTTTTCTATAGTTCGATTTATTTTTTAACTTCATGACTGTATTTGTTGAGTCCAGTTAAACAAGAAAAATGCATAAGTAGAATCAGCTAGAGTGAAATGTGCCAAGTATGAAAATATGGACCTGCCACTACCCCTGAAATTTTATGATTTCCACTTAATGTGTAAAAATGTAAATGAAGCTAAGAAATAAAAGTAAGTTATGAAATAAACGATCGATTTTTTTTTCTTTTTTTTTTTTTGAGACAGAGTCTCGCTTTGTCACCCAGGCTGGAGTGCAGTGGCGCGATCTCGGCTCACTGCAAATTCCGCCTCCCGGGTTCACGCCATTCTCCTGCTTCAGCCTCCCGAGTAGCTGGGACTACAGGCGCTCGCCACCACGCCTGGCTAATTTTTTGTATTTTTAGTAGAGATGGGGTTTCACCATGTTAGCCAGGATGGTCTCGATCTCCTGACCTCGTGATCCGCCCACCTCGGCCTCCCAAAGTGCTGGGATTACAGGCGTAAGCCACCACGCCCAGCCAAAAGATGGATTTTTAAATGGTATATTTCTTCTTTCTTTCCCCTTCCTTCCTTCCTTCCTTCCCTCCTTCGTTCCTTCCTTCCTCTCTTTTTCTTTCCTTCCCTCCCTCCCTTTCTTTCTTCCTTCCTTCCTTCCTCCCTTCCTCTTCCTTCCTTCCTTTTTTTTTCAGGGATAGGGTCTTGCTTTGTTGCCCAAGCTGGTCTTTTACTCCTGGCTTCAAGGGATCCTCCCACCTCAGTCTACCAAAGTGCTGGGATTACAGGCATGAGCCACTGCACCCAGCTTTTAAATGGTATATTTCTTTATGGTATAGGTAGCACCTTTCTATTTATAATAACATCTGATTCATTAGATAGATGGTATCATTAACCACATATCTGAGTGTCTTTTAAGCAAAGAATAGACAGTGGTCCCCATTTATGATGGAGCGTAAATAGGATATTGTCTCTTTCTATAGCTGAATGTTTTCATTTTATGCCACATAGTGGTAAAAAAGTTTGCGCAATAGTGATTTTTTATGAGATCAAATTTATTCAGGTAAATTATATTGCCTATGGACAATCCAAGGTTTTTGATTCTTTTTTTTTTTTTTTTTTTTTTTTTTTTTTTTTTTGAGGCATGGTGGCTCACGCCTGTAATCCTAGCACTTTGGGAGGCTGAGGTGGGTGGATCACCTGAGGTCAGGAGTTCAAGACCAGCCTGCCTGACATGGCAAAACCTCCTGTCTACTAAAAATACAAAACATTAGCTGGGCGTGGTGGTGCATGCCTATAATTCCAGCTGCTCAGGAGGCTGAGGCACAAGAATCGCTTGGACACAGGGGGCAGAAGTTGCAGTGAGCCGAGATCGCACCGCTGCACTCCAGTCTTAGAGACAGGGTGAGACTCCATCTAAAAAATAAATAAATAAATAAATAAATAAATAAATAAATAATAAAACATACATTTGACAAATTTTTGCTCAAAACATTTAGTCAAAACAGACAAATATTTAAAGGATATAGTTGTATTTGTTTTCATATTTGTTGACATTTGAAGTGTGCTGTCCAATAAGTTAGCCATTAGCCACTTGTGGCTTTTGATCACTCAAAATGAGACTAGTCTAAATTGAAGTGTGCACTGGGATCTCAAAGACATAGTACGACAAATATTATAAAATCGGTAATATATATAAAATAGATCATATAACTACATATGATTACTTGCTGGAATGACATTTTGGATACATTGAATGAAATGTTAAAATTAATTCTACCTTTAAAAATGTGGCTATTAGAGAATTTTAAATTATATATACGAATCATATGAATCACCTTTTATTTCTCTTAAGACAATGTTGGTTTCGACGCTTTGTTCCTACAATGATGCATACCATTGTTGTCCATTTTTACTGTGTTAAACATTACTGAAAAAGAATTAAGAGATCAACTGTTCCAGCAACCAGATTTTACAAATGAGAAAACAGAGGTTCAGAGACATTTTTGCGTAGGGTCAAGAGACTGACTAATTTGAGACACAGCAGAACTCAAGTATATAGCTCTAGATTTCCAGTCTTGAAATAAGTTACTGGCAAAGTAGCGGATATCAATGGACAGTTGTTAGTAGAACAAATGGATAAATACTGTCTTCATGCTGTGCTGCATTCATCTTTTTCTATGAGATTCTGACGTGAATCTTCTTTGTGTGCATTGGGGAGAAAGGCAAAGCAATTGTGTTCAGTAACAATAGTGGTAAAGTTAGCTTCATAAAACACTGAATACATTCCAATATGGAGCCTTTCATAGTAAGAGATATGACTGATGGAAGGAACACATTAAAATATCTCTGACCATCCCAATACTCCAGTGACTTTGTTTACAAAGTAGGAAGAATGAGACTGTGTCAATGAATGAAAAATAAAACCTATATTTCTTGGGAAGGAGGCATCTATCTTTTTCTATTTGTAAATGCTGACGAGCAGAGTTTAAGGAGGGCTAATGTCACCCATTCGTCTTAATTAAAGAGTTAATTGCTCGTGTATCCTGATTTAGTCGAGCCTGAGATCATGGGAAGCCCTTGCCTCTATGTATTTTATTGACCAGTGTAATGACATCATCAGTAAGTCTCAGCATTTATTCATGCTTCAGCCTATCCTCATAATGTTAATAGCCTTGTACATGATAAAACTTTCAACAGAAAGAGTCCTTGTGCCTGGCACGGAATACAAAGAAGACAGTGGCAGACGTTGCTAAATGTCTTGCCTCAGCTGTCATTGAAGCATTCCTTCAAAGTCTAGAGTCACAAAAATAGTAAAAAGTAATTCCAAATGCTAGTTTTCAGAAAATGTTTGTGTGTGGAATCATGTAGCAAGTTTTTATGACATAGTAAATATTTGAAAGTTAGCAATTTTCATTGAATCTTACCTAACCAGGTAAGCATGTGTTACAGCGAGAATGAGAGTCTACTGTTAGTGTGTTCAAAACAAGTGTCTTAGAAATAGAGTTGGCTGGGCGGGCATGGTGGCTCACGCCGGAAATCCCAGCACTTTGGGAGGCAGAGGCGGGTGGATCACCTGAGGTCAGGAGTTCGAGACCAGCCTGACCAATATGGTGAAACCCTGTCTCTACTAAAAATACAAAAATTAGCCGGGTGTGGTGGCCCGCGACTGTAATCCCAGCTACTTGGGAGGCTGAGACAGGAGAATTGCTTGAACCCAGGAGGCGGAGGTTGCAGTGAGCCAAGATCATGCCAATGCACTCCAGCCTGGGCAACAAAGTGAGACTGTCTGAAAAATAAAAATAAAAAAGAGGAAAGAAAAGAAAAAAGAAATAGAGTTGGCTAAGGAGAATGTCTTTAAAACACACACACACAGATTCAGAAAAAATTGAGACCGAATACCTTAGCCATGAATTAGATGAAGGGATTCCTAAAAAGAAAGGTTTTCAACCATTAAAATAGAATATTCCTCAAAGTTCTCTACCATTTTCTCAGAAATAATGTGTTTAGGTGAACTAAAAGGCTATAGTAAATACATGACTAATTTTGCACTAACACCCTGTGCTAATCCATTTTAAAAAATGAAAAAAAGAGGCAAAAATCAAGGAACAGCAGGGAAAAAGTACTATCTTGAGGGCATACGGAGCAGAAACACGGAAATGATGTTCAGAGTTAATGGGCCTTTTTGTGTCTCTTTTCACATGGAGCTACAAGCGGTTCTAGTTAAAGTTAATTAAAGTTAGTGCCCTGCTTCTGCAAACAAAACTGGCTCAAGAATCATCCCAAATTTGAGTTGCTGATTACATATTAAATATCATGTTACAGCCAAGGTAAGTACACTGTGGTTATAAACGGTACAAAGACAGAAGGTGAGAAGGTGGAAGTTAAATATACATCATTGTCCTACATAGAAAAGTGTCATGTTCTCCTGTAGGCTGAGGCGTCACAATAGCCTTGTGACCTTGGGCGGGTCACTTCCCTTGTCTGTTTCTCAGTTTGCACATTTGTAAAATAGTGACAGGTATAGTACTTCTCCCACAAAGTTATTGTGAAAGCTACATGAGTTAGTGAACTCAAAATACTGCCTAGCAGGTGGTAAGCATCATATATATCATATATATGTAAACCATAATCATTATTCTTTTTTTTTTTTTTTTTTTGAGATGGAGTCTCACTCTGTCACTCAGGCTGGAATGCAGTGGCGGGATCTTGGCTCACTGCAACCTCTGCCTCCTGGGTTCAAGGGATTCTCCTGCCTCAGCCTCCCAAGTAGCTGGGATTATAGGCACCCATCACCACACCTGGCTAATTTTTGTATTTTTAGTAGAGATGGGGTTTCACCATGTTGGCCAGGCTGATCTCAAACTCCTGACCTAAGGTGATCTGCCCGCCTTGGCCTCCCAAAGTGCTGGGATTACAGGAGTGAGCCAGCACACCTGGCCCGTAATCATTATTCTTATGAGTAATTTTGAGTCTGTCCTTTCAGAGGGACACTTTAATATAGAATTTGGCTTGCAGTCTTAGAGATTTCATTTTTCCATTGTCTTCTTAAAGTTTTTATTTTTTTATATATGAGGAAAAATAATTTTGTTATAATTCTATCTAATAGCATACACATGCACACAAACACCTACACAGACACACATACAGGCAGCATTGTGTTGCAGTTAAGGTTGACGACTAGTTGCAGTTAAGTAAAGCAAACGTGGACTCTACCAGTTTCTACCTCTGTAGGTTTGTTACCTTGGGAAACTAGCCTAACATTCTAAGCTCGAGGTTTCTTTTCTTTTTCTTTCTTTTTTTTTTTTCTTTGAAGACGGAGTCTCACTCTGTTGCCTAGGCTGGAGTGCAGTGGCGCGATCTTGGCTCACTGCAACCTCTGCCTCCCAGGTTCAAGCGATTCTCTGGCCTCAGCCTCCCAAGTAGCTAGGATTATAGGCATGTGCCACCACGCACGGCTAATTTTTTTGTATTTTTCGTAGAGATGGGGTTTCATCATGTTGGTCAGGCTGGTCTCGAATTTCTGACCTCAAATGATACACTCACCTCAGCCTCCCAAAGTGCCAGGATTACAAGTGTGAGCCACCTCGAGTGGCCTCTGGGTTTCTTTTTCTATCAAATGAAGATAAAAATAAAATACTCATACAGTAGTTGTGAAGATTAAAGAATATAATGGTTGTAAAATCTTAACATAGTATCTGGCACCTGAGAAAATAATGATAGCATTTTCTACTTTTCCTCTTTTAATTATGACAAGGAAGACGATGATGTATATGAAAAGAAGAAACATCAAGAAAGGCATATTCTTGAACATTCATGGTGGTTGTCTCTGGGGGTGAGATAATGAGTCTTTTTTTTCTCTTTTTTATCCCTACCTTTCTTGTTTCTCTGCATTGCTCATTTTTCTACGGTGAACATGGTGGGGATAAGGCATAAAAGTCTGTTAGAAGCCAAGTGTTACAGTTCAGAGGAAAGCGAGCCTATTTCCAGCTGTGGGTGATTAACTGAAAGTTACTAGATAGGTAGGATTTCTCTAGGTGGAAATGGAGGGAGATGATTGCAGATAAAGGGGATGGGGCAAAGTTTCAAAGCAGAAACACTGTCTGTAACACAGGAAAGTAAGCAGGCCTGATGCGCTGCACTTGAGGGTCCGTAGAGGGATAAAAGATGAGGTTGAAGAATTGCATAAGAGATTTAAAAACTCAAGATTTATTCTTTAGGTAGTAAATGGCCACCTAAGTGGTTGAGAAATGGGACTATGGAGTCCCAAATTAAACAGTGCTTACCTTGTAAAGTAGCATGTAAGGCAGAAATCAAAGATAGGTGAAATTACCCACAAAAATCATTTACATCTCTCATAATCTACAGAATGGGGAAGATGTATCTCATGTGATTGTTATATATACAAACCTGCAGAATAATTTTTTTTTTGAGACAGAATCTCTCTCTGCTGCCCAGGCTGGAGCGCAGTGGCATGATCTCAGCTCACTGCAACCTCCACCTCCTGGGTTCAAATGATTCTCCTGCCTCAGCCTCCCGAGTAGCTGGGATTACAGGCGCATGTCACCACGCCCGGCTAATTTTTGTATTTTTAGTAGAGACGGTGTTTTATCATATTGGCCAGGCTGGTCTCAAACTCCTGACCTCAGGTGATCCACCTGCCTCGGCCTCCCAAAGTGCTGGGATTACAAAAATACAATAGCGCCTGTAGTCCCAGCTACTCCGGAGGCTGAGGCAAGAGAATCACCTGAACCTGGGAGGCAGAGGTTGCAGTGAGCTGAGATGGAGCCACTGCACTCCAGCCTGGGTGACAGGGTGAGACTCTGTCTCAAAAAAATAAAAATAAAAAAGAAAGAAAGAAAAAGAAACCAAGGCCAGAGATTGAATGATAGAACTCATGACTGAATAAATGATTGCATGATAGTCTACAGGATGGCTTAGGGACTTAGGAAAATAATGGGATCCACTGACATATATTGGAAAATGTAGTCGAGCATTGCTTTGGCTGGTGACTGGCCTGAGATGTTTTGACGTGTAGAAGTTGAAGTAATTGCCTATGTCAAATTTCAGTTATCCAGAAAAACAGCAACTCTCAAGAGGGAGGCCAGGCTGAAAAATAAAGGTTTCGGATGTAGATGGAATTGACTAGGTGGGCAAATACTTTCAGAGTTAGAGTTTAATTTTCCTGAAGCCTTAATTTATGGTAATCTTGCTTGTGTAGTACTCTTAACTAGCTAATTTTAGCTAACGTTATTGAGGATGTCATCTGCAGAGGGCTCATATAAGGAATAAGGAATTGTGTCTTATCTCCACCATTAAATACTCCATGAAGTTAAGTAAACTCTTGGTCCAAATTAAAAAAAAAAAAAAAAAAAGAAATAGTGACATTCTATATAAAATAGTAAAAACAATAGCTAAGAGCTATGACGAATGTACAGTGTGTTAGCTGCTGAATAAAAATATTTATAGAAGGTGTTATGGGTTGATTTGTGTCCTCCCGAATTCATATGTTGAAGTCCTAACTCTCAGTACCTATAATGTGATTGTGTTAGGAAATAGGGCCTTTAAAGAGATGATGACCGTAAAATAAGTGTACTAGGGTGGAGCCTCCTTCAGTAGGACCATGTCCTTATAAGTACAGGAGATTAGGATACAGATACACAGTCAGCGGGACTACCATGTGAAGACACTGGGAAAAGGTAGTTCTCTGCAAGCCAAAGAGAGAGGGAGGCCTCAGGAGAAAGCAAACCTGTCCACATGTTGATCTTGGACTTTTGGCCTCTGGAACAGTGAGAGAATAAATTTCTATTGTTTAAGGCACCCAGCTTAAACACTTTATCATGGCAGCCCTAGAAGACTAATACAAACTACTTAATCCTTCAACTATATCACAAAGCAGATATAATTATCCTGGTGTGTTTGTTTGTTTCTTCGTTTTTGAGACAGACTCTTGCTCTGTCGCCAGGCTGGAATGCAATGGTGCGCTCTCGGCTCACTGCAACCTTCGCCTCCCGGATTCAGGTGATTCTCCCACCTCAGCCTTCCGAGTAGCTGGGACTACAGGCGCGTGCCACCACACCCAGCTAATTTTTGTATTTTTAGTACAGACAGGGTTTCACCATGTTGGCCAGGCTGGTTTCAATCTCTTGACCTCATGAATCACCTGCCTCAGCCTCCCAAAGTGCTGGGATTACAGGCGTGAGCCACTGCACCCGACCCATTATCCCGATTTTTAAGGAAAGAGGAACTTAAGACTGAGGAAAGTGAATTAATGTATCTGAAGATCACATGCTGGAAAAAGGTGAAACCAGGATTCAAACTCATGTCTACCTCCAAAGCTCAACTCTGTACACCATAGGCAACTGCTGCCCTAATTTTCTTGATACTATTAAGATGTTTACTAGATCCACTTATTATACTTTTAATTTTTAAAATATTAGTCAAAAGTTAAGGCCGGGAGCGGTGGCTCACGTTTGTAATCCCAGCACTTTGGGAGGCCAAGGCAGGCAGATCATGAGGTCAGGAGATTGAGACCATCCTGGCTAACACGATGAAACCCTGTCTCTACTAAACATACCAAAAATTAGCTGGGCATGGTGGCATGTGCCTGTTGTCCCAGCCACTCCGGAGGCTGAGGCAGGAGAATGGTGTGAACCCGGGAGGAGGAGCTTGCAGTGAGCCGAGGTCGCGCCATTGCACTCCAGCCTGAGTGACAGAGGGCGACACCGTCTCAAAAAAAAAAAAAAAAAAAAAAAAAGTTAAAACATCTCTGTACAAAGCAATTACTCAGAAGAATATGGGTAGGGGTTGTGGGTTGCAAACACCACTCGAATAGCAGCGAATAAACCTGAATCTTATTTTGAGATATAGTTTCTTTTAGATTGAAGTACTTTTTAAAAATAAATATAAGCTCTGGACAAGCAGAGTATAAGATTGGAAACTCTTCCAATACTATCCGCTTACTAATAAACATGTGCAGAGAGTGGAACAGACCAGAGGAGTTATAATTCTTTGACTGTACCTGGTAGCAAAGATTTGTGATATCATCATGTAAAAAAATTGAAGAATAAAACCTCCCAAGAAGCTGATGTAGGAAAACAGGGCAAACCAAAAGATAGGTGGAGAGCAGGCCATGAAGAACTGTTAACAACATAGAGCCACAAAAGCAAGAAAGAAAATAAAAATGACCGGGAGAGAATGTTCAAGAGTCTTCAGAGCCAAAAAATAAAGATGTTAATCTCATGATAAACATAACATGTTGAGGGAGAAAAAGCACGTAAAATCTCATTCCTCAGAACTGAAATGATTCAGTTGGGAGAAATAAATTTTTAAAGATTCAAAAGAAAAAGGACCACAGAAATAAAGTGAAAGGCAATCCAATACAACAATAAATGACAAAGTGGGCAGAGAAATATGGTATTGACAAGAGAGATTGATTGTCTACATCAGAATGAGAGAAACTGAGTGAGGGGAGATAGTTCCTTGTTTCCAAACGAGTGGTTTGACGGAAGGGAGAAAGCAACTAAGGAAAAAAAAATCAAATAAAAATCAAGTGAAAAGTGAAAATTATTAGCAATTGTGTGTTACTTGGGGAAAATGCTATCACAATTAGGATTTAAGTCGGGCGGAAATACATAAAGAGATACCATTAGATTGTCAAAGAACTCCAACTGTACAATCAATAAATATAGGTGTTTAGTATATTCACATATTTCAGTGATTGAAGGTAATCAATAAACTGTAAAGACCCTTTCCAAAAGAATAAAGTTAAGATGTTTTCATTAACACCAGCATTAGTTTTGCTAAACTCAGTTCCGAGTGGTGGCGAGAGCACTAAGTCACACTGAGACAGTGAGTTAAATCTCATATCTCATCTGCTTTTAGAGATTGTCGAGGTGGCCAGGTTATTTAACTTTCATAACTTTCGTGTTTTTATTTATTATTTATTTATTTATTTATTTATTTATTTATTTATTTATTTATTTTTTGAGACGGAGTCTCACTCTGTCGCCCAGGCTGGAGTGAACTGGCGCGATTTGGGTTCAATGCAAGCTCCGCCTCCCGGATTCACGCCATTCTCCTGCCTCGGCCTCCCGAGTAGCTGGGACTACAGGCTAATTTTTTTAGATTTTTAGTAGAGACCGAGTTTCACCGTGTTAGCTAGGATGGTCTCCATCTCCTGACCTCGTGATCCGCCCGCCTCGGCCTTCCGAAGTGCTGGGATTACAGGCGTGAGCCACCGCGCCCGGCCTCGTTTTCCTTTTTATTAAACAGGAATAAACCATCAGCCCTGCCTACTTCATGTTCCGGGGGAAAAAATGAGGCTTTTTATGAAATGCTGAGCCTATTTTTGCTTTGGGAAGGCAATCTGGTAAAATGGAATGAAGCAAATCTGGTGCCCACCGTCTGCGTGACATGGAAGACTGACTTATCCCCTCTGATCCTCAGTTTCTTTATCTATAAAGTGAGAGTAATAATATCACAGCTGAGCATGGTGGCTCACACCTATAATCCTGCACTTTTAGAGGCCGAGGAGGGAAGACTGCTTGAGCTCAGGAGTTCAAGACCAGCCTTGGTAATGTAGTGAGACCCGCCACATCTGTACAAACATTTTTTAAAAAACATTAGCCAGGCATGGTGGCATATAGCTATAGTCCCAGCTACTTAGGAGGCTGAGGTTGAAGGATCACCTGAGCCTGGGAAGTGGAGGCTGCAGTGAGCTGTAATTGTGCCATTGCACTTCAGCCTGGGTGACAAAGCAAGACCCTATCTCAAAATAATAATGATAAAAATACACATTTCACAAAGAGGTGTGAGAATTAAATGAGCTACATAGTAACATAGTAGGCATTCATTAAAATGAATTATCCATCATGATTAAAAATCATTATCTGGCCAGGTGTGGTGGCTCACGCCTATAATCTGAGCACTTTGGGAGGCCGAGGTGGGCAGATCACGAGGTCAAGAGATTGAGACGATCCTGGCCAACACGGTGAAACTCTGTTTCTACTAAAAATACGAAAATTAGCTGGGCATGGTGGTGCATGCCTGTAATCCCAGCTGCTTGGGATTACAAGCTTGGGCTGAGGCAGGAGAATCGCTTGAACCAGGGAGTTGGAGGTTGCAGTGAGCTGAGATCACGCCACTGCACTCCAGCCTGCCGACAGAGCAAAACTCTGTCTCAAAAAAAAAAAAAAAAATCATTATCTATCACATAGTAGGTGTCCATTAAAAATGATCCCCTTTTCCTTAATTTCAACTATCACGATGACCATCATCATTCTCATTCTGTGGCTAAAGCTGACATGTTGCTATTTTTCAAAATGCCTGTGTAGTAATTGTAGGTCTTGTTTCTGATTATGTAGCATTTAAGCCTGGTTTCTAGTTTTCAAAACAATATTCTGTGAGTTCCTCAATATCTTTTTAAAATAAATATTTCTTGCTGTTTTTCAGGGGGGTTGTTTGAAATAGCCAGGGAGACTTTCTGTTGATGACAAGTAAAAACTTTGATCTACACCCAGCTCTGCTATTAAACAAACTAGGTTTCTTCCAATCTTACCTTTGTTGCATGTATTCATTTATTCATTTACAGATCATTTAAAAGTTTCCACTAGGAATTAGACTTTCACTCATTCCCGTGGAGATTTCACCCAGTCCCGTGCTTTGGATACTCTCTCTACACTAATGACATCATATTTATATCCCAAGCTCCAAACTCTCCCATGGACTCTAGAAGGCTCCGCTATCTAATAGCCAACCTAGGATCTCAGGTAGGGGGTCTAATAGGCATCTCAAATGTGTCATGCCCCAGACTCAACATTAGATCTTTCCCCCAAAACATATTGTGTTGCAGTTGATGGTGCCTCCATCTTTCCACTTTCTTAGGCCAAAAACCTCAGGTCGCCCCTGACTTGCCTAGCACACTCATGCCCCACATCAAACACCATGTTGTGAGCTTTACTTTCAGAATATATCCAGAAGCTCAATACTTTTTTTTTTTTTTTTGAGGTGGAGTCTCGTTCTGACGCCAGGCTGGAGTGCAGTGGCACAATCTCGGCTCACTGAAACCTCTGCCTCCCCAGTTCAAGTGATTCTTCTGCCTCAGCCTCCCGAGTAGCTGGGATTACAGGTGCGCACCACCACACCCAGCTAAATTGTGTATTTTTTAGTAGAGACGGGGTTTCACCATGTTGGCCTCGATCTGCTGACCTCGTGATCCACCCGCCTCAGCCTCCCAAAGTGCTGGGATTACAGGCGTGAGCCACCGCCCCCAGCCCAGCTCACTACATCCTACCACCTTCACTGTTTCTCCACCTCATTTAAGCTGAATGTGATTGTGTATGTCTGAATTCTTTCAATACTTTCCAAACTTCCCTCCTCCTGGTTCTGTTTTTGACCTCTTTAAGTGTCTTCTCAATGTGGTAATGTGATCATCTTACAAAGAGGTAAATCAAGTCATGTTGTCCTTTTGTTCGAACTCTTCATTGGCTTCTCATTCCCCAAAGCCAGGGTCATATATTGGCCTATAAGGGCCTAGAAGGTCTTCTTCCCTCTCTTCCACCCACTGCTTGTCTGATTGCATACCCTACTACTCTCCTCTAATTCATTCCTCCCCAGCCACACTGGCTTCCTTGCTATACTCAGACATGCCAGGTTCATTTCCATCTCATACCTACAAACTGGCTGTGCCCTCCGCCTGGGATGCTTTTCGCTTTGATCTATCCTCAGAGCTCCCCACTTTGCCTCCCTCCGCCAGGTCTTGGTTCTACTGTCACTTTCTCAGCAAGGACTTCCCTAGCCACTCTCTCCTTACCCCTTCCCTAGTGCCTTTCTCCATCTAACATTCTATACATTTTTACATTGTTTTTATCTTATGATTTGCCTTTCTCCACTACAGTATTGTTTGCTTTTAGTTTTTTTTTTTTTTTTAGTGTTCAGCATATGTTGTGCACTCAATAAATATTTGTTGCATAGATGTCATGAATGTACCAAGCTTTGGAAATACAATAATTAATAATATAAACAAATTCCTAGTCCTCATGGAGCTTAAGTTCGAGGAGCGGGGATATAGTAAACTAGTGATTACATTACAGGGATGCTCGTCTCCAACTCTGATGGTGATAGAAAGTCTTCCTAGCAGTAAATGTATTGGCAAGTCACTCAATCACTCTGAATTTCAGTTTCCTTGCCTGGAAACAGGAGACAACCAGTTTACCTCAAAGGATGACTATAAGAGTTAAAGGACCTGAAGGATATAACATACCTGCTAGAGGAATCAGTGCTTCAAAGATACACAAAATGTGGGCCAGGCGTGGTCACTCACGCCTGTAATCCCAGCACTTTGGGAGGCCGAGGCAGGTGTATGATGAGGTCAGGCGTTCAAGACCAGCCTGGTCAACATAGTGAAACCCCATCTCTACTAAAAATACAAAAAATTAGCCAGGCATGGTGGTGGACACCTGTAATCCCAGCTATTAGGGAGGCTGAGTTAGGAGAATCGCTGAACCTGGAAGGTGGAGGTTGCAGTGAGCTGAGATGGCGCCATTGCACTCCAACCTGGGCAACAGTGTGAGACTCAGTTTCAAAAAAAAATACACAAAATGTGTTCAGCATCCTCGCCATTCTGCCTGAAGTGCTTTGATTATGGGTCTTCCTCTAATCCTATCTGTGAAATGTTCCACCTTTCACTCTTGATGTTAAATTTTGAACGCCGTAAGCAGGAGAATTCTGTGGACTACTGCAGGTCCAAGTAAACAATCACACTTCGTGGAATCTGTTGAAGAATCCCTGCTTGTATATTTCTACTAATCACCTGATTACTGAAAATGAACCAAAATTAAAGCAAAATGGCCTAGTGGTTTACAATTTGACTGTCTCACAAGTGTTATTAAAAAGATATTACTAGGATCCTCTCACCTCTTGAAAACTCTCAATTGCAGTGGGCTTTAAAAAACACCTTCTGGGGCACTGTTAGGGGAGGCCAGTGGCCATCTAACTTTTGGAATTACTATTAGCTTTGCACTCAGATGATATTGAAATCCAGGAAGCCCAGCTGAGATGTGGTTATTGCTGATACCTAGATATGTTTTTCGCCTCTGCCATATATATATCCTCAGAAAAGGTTAGAGCTAAGTTATCCATGCTTCCTGATGCCACAAGTGTTATTTGCACACATACACACACACACACACATCCTTTTAGTAAATGGAATACATACACGTGCTATAAATATCTACCTATTATAACTGGATTATGATATATAAGTACAATAATAAATGTATAAATATGTGATGTCTTGACCAAGTAAGTCATTTTGTGCTAGCTTAAACATATATAATTGTAAATTTAAGTGCTCTATATATACTCTATGTATACTTATATAGTATATATTGACTGTTTATGATCAAAATATGAATATGTACCTTTAGTCATCCTATAAATACCTGCTTAGATTTTTTTATGAGACATTAAACATTTTATTATGAGACATAAAAAATGTATTATGACACAATTTCCCATGGAAAACTTTCCAAGAATAAAAACAGTGAAGTTGCAAGTTAGTATTCCCTCCAAATGCTTCCTTACTGGCCACCTTCTCCTTCTACAATTCACCTTTACCCTTAAGGAGTCAACTCAGGACTGTTTCTGTTTCTCAAACAGCATTAAGGTAATCTTACTTCAATTTGAAAAAGAGTTACCGAGTGTTTTTATGAATAGCCAATAAATTGAGAATAAAAAGAATAGGAAACATCTGTCCCCGAGGAAGTTGATCAACTAGGATACCATAAACTATTATTCACACCAGGTAAAATTAAAAGCCGTAAGAAATATGCATGATTATGAAGAACAAAATGTGAAAACATAGTCAAAATTCAGTGAGGCATATATGCAACATATTGATGTAATTTAATTAGGAAAAATTTTCATTTAATTATATTTATGTATACTTTTTTTTTTTTTTTGAGATGGAGTCTCACACTGTCACCCAGGCTGGAGTGCAGTGCAGTGGCGTGATCTCTGCTCACTGCAGCCTCCGCCTCCTGGGTTCAAGTGATTCTCGTGCATCAGCCTCTTGAGTACGTGGGACTACAGGCCTGTGCCACCATGCCCAGCTTTTTTTTTTTTTTTTTTTTGTATTTTTAGTAGAGATGAGATTTCACCATGTTAGCCAGGATGGTCTCGATCTCTTGACCTTGTGATCCACCTGCCTCGGCCTCCCAAAGTGCTGGGATTACAGGTGTGAGCCACCATGCCCAGCCTCATGTATGCTTTTTAAATGTCTTGTGGACCAAAGCATTACACTCAGACCTACGCATCTAATTTTTGGAAAATTCTAGAGTCAACTATAGCATTGTAATGTTAGAATCCAATGTGGGACACTTTGAAATTGAGGAAATGAAGAAGAGTAGAACTCTAGACCCTTCTTGAGGTAAAACAGATGGTATCCACTCACAGAGCAGGAAAAACTTAAGCTTTTTCTTCACATGTTTGACAAGTGACAGAAACACTGAATGAAATCCTATGAAACAATTTTCACTTGGGGTCTCTTTTTACTTCTAGAAGTAGAGACTATTTTGTTAATGCTTCATTTTTAGATCTATGAGGCTAATTTTCAGAAATTTCATTCTCTCACAATAGCCCAATATATGTTTAGGGTCATAGTCTTCTGCAAAAAGTATTATGTAGAAAACAAAATCCATTAAGGTGAGGAAACTAACAAAGTCTCATGCTTGGGGACAAGAATAATTTATTTTGTGGATGTGGGACAATGAGTTATTTGGTCCTTCTTCACAAATGAGATAACTGTCAAATCCCATCATATCCCACTACATGAATTATATATAACAACATTTGGTGAAATATGAAATTCTAAAAATACACTGAAATGCTAGAGTCATCTTAATGGTTTATTATGATAGGTGTTCCTAGTTTTGAAATATCTTCTTTCATAGAAGACAAATGGGGGCGACATTATTTTAGAAAGTCCACATCTTTTAAAAAGATGGATTAAAAGCTCTTTGAGACAGCTGTGCTGTTTTATTAGAAGAACAACATTTTCTTTCTAAATAGTTCTTGAGGGCAATTTCATGGTCTAATCAGGGGGTGCTTTGGGCTCCATTCAAAACTGAAGAAAAGGAAATGTTGCATAGGAGAAGATGGAGACCTAATTGTTTTTGTTGTGAATGTCAGCATGTGAATAAGGACAATTTTAAAAGTCAGACTTAAAGCAATGATGCTATATTTTCATATAAAAAAAATCCTTTCTGTAGCACTGCTTCATTGTGATTAAGACCTGGGCTTTGGAGTCAGAGAAAACTAGATTTGAGCACCCTCTCTGTTCTGTAGTAGCATGTGACCTTGGTCAAGTTCATCATACTCTTCTAACATCTGTGTCTTGTTTTGTGAAATGGGGAAAGTAATTTGTAACTCTCTTGGTAGTTGTAAGAATTAAATGAGATAATACAAGCAATGGACTTACCAAAGCGACTGTGGCTTGGAGAGGTGAAAAAATCTGCTCTTTTGGAGACTATATAGCTTAGTAGATAAGGCTCACGAGCTCTGATATTAGAGCCTCAAGATCTACTCTCTTACTTTCTGTGTAATTGTGACAGATTGACTCTATCTCTCTGAACATCAGTTGATACATCTAAAAAATAGAGATGATATAAGAAGCCACCTCTAAAATTGCTTAATACAGTGTTTGGCACATAAACATAGTAACAGCTAACAGTGACGGGAATAGATGTAACCTAAAATAATAATACAATTAATATATCCATAATATAATATTCACAACTTCCAAGCTTTTTTTCTATCTTAAGGGTCTTTTGGTTTTGTTCCTGGTCTATTTTCATATTGCTGAAGTGCCTCTGGGGAAAAATCCTAAATATATAACAGATACACAAGGGCACTGTGGAACATGGGCACTGCACCTGTCAGCATGTCACTCATAATCACTTTTCTCTGCTCAAATGTGCACACCTGGGGAAGGTTGAAAACTCAGTCTCCTACATTATCCCCCATTACGGTTGGGTAGGGAACATCTGGCCAATTAATTTTCAGTAGTCTAGGAGGTTGGATCACCAATTACAGCATTCAAGGGTTCTTATTTTCATTACTTTCCTATCGTCGGCACACACTACACTCGGGTAGCTGCTTGCTGTGAGAGCTTGCATTGATAACATTCTAGAGAAGGATATAAAAGACCACAAATCATACAAGGCAGAACTGTAATTGGATATGATATTCTCTTCAGGTTTCTCTTACAAATATCCAAAGTGCCTATACGTAAGCCAAGTTACCCAATTTATGGATTTAAATATTATGCCCAAGACAGAAATGCATTTCCACCAGAAAACACTAGGATTAACCATAAGGTCAGGCAATAGTTTTTCAAAACATTCTCACTCTTCTTTTTCCTAATAAAGAAAACAAATTCAGTTTTCAAGATAAGTATTAAGAATCCCCGAAATTTATCCTGAAGAGGGTGGATCATTCTTAAATAATAAATTATCCCTTCCTACTACAAACAAAGAATGACTCTCTATTGGAATAATACTAAGTGTCTTGGTTTGGGCCCATCATGAAGCAGAAATTTAGGGGTAGGAGATGTTGATGTAACCTGCTTCTCTCTTAGGACGCTGTATTCCATGTAACTACCATTTGCCTAATAAATACAGGTCTCAGACAGTTCTATGGTGAACTCAGCAGGGTCCAAGCTGTTATTTAAGGCTTTTTAAAGAATAAATATCAAATAATCTGAAAAGGCATCTTAAAGGGTGAAAGTGCAGCCATTTTTTTTTTACGGATCCTAGCTGCAGGGAGTCGAATGAGAATTTTCTTCCTCTGGAACACAGACTTCCACTGTGGCTGATGGAGAATCTGCACTTTAACAGTGCTTGTGTGCACAAGGCTTCACCATGCCCATTCAACACCTGTAATCACACTACAACAGGCAGGAAGCATGGGTGCTGGAATAGCGGACAAAAATTTGATAACTACAATTTTGTAACGACGTATATACCTGCATATACATGTGTAGGTTATATGTTATATGCATGTGTTTATACACATATATATAGCTTTAGAGTAGATCAAAATGTGCATCAGCTTTCTGAAATTTTTTACTTGAACGATTTCTCCCCCACCAACTATCGGTAGGACTGAAGAATGTTACCTCCTTTGTCAATGAATGGTTGTATGAATCAAGCTAGACCAGTCAGATCTGGGAATTGGGGATTTCCATCTAAATAACAGTAGGAAATAAAATGGTAAGTGCTGAGTCATTCTGATGCTGATGCCTCAGGGGATTCTCTACTGGCTTCTGTTTTCTAGATTTCAGAGCTGCGTTAATTCTTACCTTTTTGTGAGGCCTGATTACTCAGCCATTCATGTGATTGTGAGGATAGCCAATATGTTTTATTCTTTCGGTTTTCTGCTTTCCTTAGTCAGTATTTTTCTCTATTGCATGCAACCAATGGTTTTCTGATTCATGATGTATATACCTTCATATGGTTCCCGCAAGCACTCATTTTGCAAAACTGGACACAGAATATCCACCTTCTCTTCCCCCGACAAGAAAGCAGACTATTTACTTTGGATGAAACTTTTAAAACGTCTTCGTGAGTTAAAATCACCATTTAGGTACATTAATGAAGCACTCCCCCTTTAAGATCAATAACAGTGATTTTAATATGTATTTTTTTAACTTTTCTGCAGACTAAAATTTTTTTAAAAATTAACTTCGTTGGTTTTGAAACATGACTCTTTTCTCAGCACTTGGACAGAACCTGACTATATGCAAATAGGTTAGTTTCTGTATTTGGACGTTGGTAGCAATATTTTTCCAAGTTCTAAATCATCCACCTAGCATGTTAAATTATAGTGCCTCTGTTCTTGTCTGACAGATTCCAACCTTTTGATTCTCTGCCTTCTTTCTTTGCTACAGTAAATTGATCCTTTAAAACATCCAGGTGCAAATGAATTAATGGTCCTTCTATTGTGAGTGAGAGTGATGGAGTTTCCTCCTCCCTCCTTCTCCACACTGAAGTCCTTTCCCCCTCTGAGAAACCCACATATCAATTAAACTCACCTGCTAATTAAAAGCTTGTTTGGAAAAATCCTTGCTAGTTAGAAGCAAAGGGAAGTGTAAAGGTGTCTAAAAATAGAGGCTTTGAATGTCAATTACTTCCTTCCTCCTCAGTTCCTGGTTCCTTCGGTTGAATTGGCTGGAAAGAGCTGGGGAGGGGGGAGAAAAGAAAGAAAAAATAGTAAGTATCTTTTCACGTACATTTCCCTGAGAGTATATCATTGGTTTAGTAACTTCAGCTCTTTGTCAGCAACATCAGGATACATAGTTTTTATTCATGAGAGGAAACACCATTTCTCACCCCTTCTTATACAGCCGCACTGATTTTCTGTATAAAGGCGGTAGCAACCACAGTTCTCACTCGTTGACTGTCAACAATCAAGCCAGAGCTTTTGCGAGCGGGAATATCAGAGGAATGAAAGTGAATGTGGAAATGATGCCCTGTTCTCGTTTTTATAATGACACCGCCTGCTCTTAGATCCTCAACCACTACTCATTCCTGTCTGCTTTTCCTGAGAAATAGGTCCTAAGGGCGGATTTATAACAATACTAGATTGTCTTCTCTTTCTTTTCTATCACAGACTTAAGAGCTATGTTGTTCTGAAGTAACATGCTAAGTATCAAACTATATAAAATAAAAGAGAGTCACAAAAATAGAACTCAGGAGACTGGGAAAGTCACAAATTATGCACAAAGCCCCCTTTTTAATATGCCAGATGATAAGAACAAATTAAATTACAATCTGCCTTGGAAAAATGACAGCTAATTTATTCATTTATTCATTCATTCAATGTGTTTTTATTAAGGGTCTCTTATTGGGTAGTCATTGGGTTAAGAGGTAGAGTTGGAACTGTCCCAACGAGTCCCAGCCCTCAGGGAGTTGATAGTCTATAAAAGAATTTGAGAATAAATAGAGAAATTACAATGGCATGTGATAGTGCTGGTAATAGGAAAAACACAAGCAACTAACCAGATATGGGAGGTCAAAAAAGATTTTTAGAGATAAAAGTTTAGTTGAGGTCTGAGAGTTGAAGACAAATTACCTAGGAGGGAGAATAAGAAGACAGAAAAGACATTCCAATGTTGAATGGGTACCATGAAACAGACCATGGTACTTTTGGGGAACTGTTCACAGTTCTCGTGACCTGGAGAACAGAGAGTGAAGGAAAAGGCCAGCAAAAGATCAAAATACAACAGCATTTTAAGCTGCCTTCTGCAATAATTGAAAAATAGTTTTATTTTTTCTTATAGGACGTATAGCTGAAAATGGAAAAGGACAAAGGTTATCCATTTCATGACTTTCTGTATGATGTGCAAAAACAAAATAGGGCATACTTAGGTGACTATGAAAATAAATTGTTTAGAAAAAAATTGTGGGTTTAACTGACTTCATATAATTTAAGTCCAAAATAGATATACACCATAGAGAATTAAATCCATATGCTTAAGGTATAATGCATGACAGAATAAAGATAATATAGTGATTAATATAGTAAAGCCCTAAAAAAAAAAAAAACAGTCTTTTTGGAAAAAAATGGTTTCCCAATATATTAATCAAAAATAGGACACAGCGTTTTTTTTTAAAGGAGATACATTCACAAAATAGAATATTGTGTATCAGTCAGATTAGAGCTAATATAATAATCTTGCTCAATTCGGTTTGAGAATTATTGAGTATCTACTATGTGTGAAGCATTTTACTAGGTTGTAGGGCTATCGCAATTGATATATAATGCTGACATGTTGTAAAGTTGAAATACTAGCAAGGACCGTAAATTTTTGTTTTGTTTTTGTTTTTTGAGATGGAGACTCGCTTTGTCACCCAGGCTGTAGTGCAGTGGTACGATCTCGCCTCACTGCAAACTCCACCTCCCAGATTCAAGCGATTCTCCTGCCTCAGCCTCCCGAGTGTCTGGGATTACAGGAGCTGGCCACTACACCCAGCTAATTTTTGTATTTTTAGTAGAGATGGGGTTTCACCATGTTGGCCAGGCTGGTCTCAAACCCCTAACCTCAGGTGATGTGCCCACTTCGGCCTCCCAAAGCTCTGGGATTACAGGTGTGAGCCACCAGGCACAGACAGATTTTATTTATTTATTTATTTGGAAACGGAGTCTCGCTTTGTCGCCAGGCTAGAGTGCAGTGGTGCGATCTGGCTAACTGCAACCTCTGCCTCCCAGGTTCAAGTGATTCTCCTGCCTCAGCTTCCTGAGTAGCTGGAACTAAAGGCGCCCACCACCACGCCCAGCTAATTTTTGTATTTTAGTAGAAACGGGGTTTCACCATGTTGTCCAGGCTAGTCTCGAACTACTGACCTCAAATGATCTGCCTGCTGCGGCCTCCCAAAGTGCTGGGATTACAGGCATGAGACACCACACCTGGCCCAGATTATTTTTTTAAAACCCTGAATAGCTGCTCAGTGTTACAGTATATTTATTTCCTTTATTCTTTAACCTAGAATTTAAGAAGAATTTTATTCTTCATAGCTGTATCCCTGGTGCCTAAAACAGTGCACGTCACAATGATTAATTGTAAATGTATCTTAATGAGTTAAATGTATAAGATGTATCTTAACAAGTAGAATCTGGATATGAGGGCTTAAGCTCTAGTTTCCAGGCAGCTCTATGGCTCACAGCACTCTTAATGTTTTTTCTGTGTCATGTTTTTGTTTGAGGCTTCCAGAAACTGTTCTAGCTGTGGCATCCAAAGTTCTTAGATAATTTATATAGCTCTGAATTAATCCTCCAAGTTGCAAATCGCCCTCCAATGACTTCTTATTGCAATTAAAATAAAGTCCAATTTTTTACCAAAACCTATCCCCATGCCTATATATACTTCCTCTCAACATTCATCTCACATTTTCTATGCTCTAGTTACATTGGCTTGCTTTCTGTTCTTCAACATACCAAACTTGTTTTTATTTGATGGCCTTTGCCCTTGTTTTCTCTGCCCAGAATGTTCTTCCCCCAGAATTTTGCATGGCTCATTCTTTATCATAAAGGTGTCAGATTGAATGTCACATCTTCAATGAGGCTTTCTCTAACCACCCTTTTTAAAATGGCCACATTCACCCATCAATTTTATTCTATCTTGTCACCTTGCTTTATATTTCTCATAGCAGTTCATATTATTTGAAATTTTCCTATTGTTTGTGTCTCTGCCTCCACCCGCCCGACTAGCCTGTAAGTTCCATATATAAAAGAAAATTATATTGTTCATCACTAAAGGCGTGCCTTGTATACTCCCCACCGCACCGCCACCCCTAATGAGACTGTAAACAGGTGCAGCGCCCATATTCCACAGTGCCCTTGTGTATCTGTTACGTATTTTGGATTTTTCCCCTTAGGCATTTCAGAAGTATGAAAATAGACAAGGAATAAAACCAAAAGACCCTTGAAATAGAAAAAAAGGATGTAAGTTGTACTATTGTATTATGTCTGTATTAATTGTATTATTACTTGAGGTTATAACTGTGCCTGTCATAGTTAGCTCTTGTTATAATCCTGTGGTGGCACAGTACTATGAACTCTATGTATCGTGATTAACCTTCCCAAAGTTAGAGGTGTGTGTTTATATCACCTATACTCTTTTTTTTTTTTTTTTTTTTGAGACGGAGTCTCGCTCTGTCGCCCAGGCCGGAGTGCAGCCGCACGATCACAGCTTACTGCAAACTCCGCCTCCCGGGTTCACGCCGTTCTCCTGCCTCAGCCTCCCGACTAGCTGGGACTACAGGTGCCCGCCATCGCGCCCGGCTAATTTTTTGTATTTTTAGTAGAGACGGGGTTTCACTGTGTTAGCCAGGATGGTCTCGATCTCCTGACCTCGTGATCTGCCCGCCTTGACCTCCAAAGTGCTGGGATTACTGGTGTGAGCCACCGCGCCAGGCCTATCACCTCTGTTTTTAGATGAGTGTCATTGTGGTTTTCATTTGCATTTTCCTGATGGTTAATGATGTTGAGCATTTGTTCATATACTTGTAGCCATTTGTATGTCTTCCTTTAGAAATAACTATTCAGGTTCTTTCCTTGTTTTTGAATTGGGTTATTTATTTTCTTGCTATTGTGTTGAGTTTCGTATATATTTTGGATGTTAACTTCTTATTAGATGTATGGTTTGCGCATATTTTCTCCCATTCCATAGGTTGCCTCTTCACCCTGTTGTTTTCTTTGCTGCTCAGAGGCTTTTTAGTTTGGTGCAGTCCCGTTTGTCTCTTTTCGCTTTTGTTGCCCATGCTTTCGAGGTCATATAAAAAAAAAAAAATCATTGTCAAAAACAAGGTTAAGAAGCGCTCCGCCTCCCGGGTTCACGCCATTCTCCTGCCTCAGCCTCCCGAATAGCTGGGACTGCAGGCGCCCACCACTACGCCCGGCTATTTTTTTTTTTGTATTTTTAGTAGAGGGGGGGTTTCACCGTGTTAGCCAGGATGTTCTCGATCTCCCGACATCGTGATCCGCTCGCCTCGGCCTCCCAAAGTGCTGGGATTACAGGCGTGAGCCACCGTGCCCGGCTTTTCCAAAAGTTTTATAGTTTCAGATCTTATGTTTAAATGTTTAATACTTTGAGTTGATTTTTGTATATGGCATGAGATATGCGTTCAATTTTATTCTTCGGTATGTGGATGTCCACTTTTCCCGATATAATTTATTGAAGAGACTGTCCTTTCTTCATTGTGTGTTCTTGGCCCCTGTGTCAAATATTAATTGACTATAAATGAGTCAATTTATTTCTGTCCTCTCTATTCTGTTCCATTGGTCTATATCTTTATTTTTATGGTACTGCTATGCCGTTTTGACATAATCTTTTATGTATAGAAAATGCTAATGACTCCACCCAAAAAGCTGTTAGAACTAATAAATGAATTCAATAATGTTTTGCATGGCACAAAATCAACATACGGCATCAGTAGCATTTTTATATATTAACAACAAACTTTCCAAAAAAGAAATCAAGAAAACAATCTCATATGCAATTTTATGCCTATATAAATAAATTTTATATAAATGAAGAAAACTTCAGAATAAATTCAACCAAAGAAGTAAAAGATTCATGTACTCACTGATGAAAGAAATGGAAGAAAACAACAAATAATTGGGAAGATATTCCATGTTTATGAATATGCATAAATAATATTTTTGAAACGTTCGTACTACCCAAAGTAATGTACAGATTTAATGTATTCCCTATAAAATTTTCAATGACATTTTCACAGAAATAGAAAAATGAATTATAAAATTTTTGTGGAACCACAGAAGGCCCCAAACAGCCAAAACAATCTTGAGCAAAAAGAACAAAGCTGGAGGCATCACACAAACTCCTATCAAAATATAACTGTACCATGAAGCTGTAGTAATCTGAACAGCATGGTATTGGCTCACTTAAGTTGAGAAAAACACACACATTGCTGTCTATAACAGAAAATTAAGGGCAATAGTTATAATATTACAACCTATCCCATTTTTACTGGTATAGCTATAAATTGTAAGGCTGCCATTGAATAGATTTATTATTAAAAGGTATTTAAAAATTCATAAACTTTGTTCTCCTGCTCTCAAATAAAAGTGTTTACTTTTAAAATGAGTTTATTCTGAAAAACACTTATGAACTAACAAATGACCCAATGGGCACAAGGCTATAAAGGATGAAAACTCCACTGTAATTTTCCTCAATATTTTAAACTTCAAGTAGCTTTAAAAAAAATGAGCATAAAATGCCTTTATTCTTATTGGCCATAAAGAAAAATATAGTGTGAGAAGTGTCATTCTGTAAGACCCGTGAGTTACTCTCTTATTTTTTTAAATAAGTACTAAAGCCTAGATTGTACCAGTTACTAGATAATTGTAGGACAACCCTGACACAGAAGAAGACAAAATATATAATTGTTTGTTTATATAGCATCATGGTTTGGGGCAAACAGTATTCTGATATGGACAAAAAGAAAGACACCCAAACCACTTTATCAAATTTAATCATATAACATTTCAAGCAATATATTATGGTGACTATAGCCTCCTACAAGTGGATTCATATGAGCAAATTTTATATTAATCAGTTGTTTATTTTGTTTTCATGGAGAAAGTACAATTTAGGTTAGAGAGATAGCAGAGGGCACTAAAGATATAGATGTTGGAGGAAGAAACCCTTAGGCTGATCATTCATCCTCTAACTATCTATGAGTTCTCTGGTCGACTTACTACAATTTTGTGACACAGTTTCTTCATGAAACTGTGGAGTCATGAGCTTAAATGGAATAATGCACATGTTTAGCATAGTGTCTGACATAGTGAAAGCTCACTAAGTGTTAGTTGTTATTATTATCCTATTATTACTTTTAGAAAAAATTTTAATAAAGTGACATTGTAAAACATGTAAAATTAAACCTTAACTTGAATGACTGTAATTGACCTTTGAAGTTTAGATCTAAAAACACAGTCTTTGTTATATTCTCTTTTTGTGAATATTTTCTCTAATTTCCAGATTATGCATTTGCCTGCTCCATGTCCCAGCTTTTAAATATGCTCACATTTCATGATGACTTCCCAATTCTTTTTTGTGCAATAGTAAAAAGGCAAGCTTCATTTTATTTTTTTATTTTCTGTGCAGAGGCTATACATCCAAAATTTCTCTAGTATTCACACAGTGTTCTCTCATATCTCAAGGCTCTCTTAGGAGTTTCCTAACATGTTTTTCATCTATTTATTAGATATGTAAGTAATTTTTGTGGATGTCATCATTTTCTTTTTATAGCAAATTTCAGGTTTATGTAAGTTGTATTCTAGTGTGTTAACTTATATTTGGTGGTATTCCATAGTTTTAGGAAGCAATCAATAAAGGCAGATTTAGTTATAAAACTTATATATGATATTGTTTTCACCTTTTCTTCTACCTGTTTCATTCATGTGGTATAGCTCTAAAAGGGCCACATCAGGCTATGTGCAATGCTTAAAAATGAAATGCAAAACTTCTTTCATCCCTTGCTATGTTAATTCTTTATTCTCTTTGAAAAACAGAATTCACCTTTTTTCTCTTGTATAGTAAGAACATTTCTGTTTTTGCAGAAATCTGTAATGTTTTCTTACCCTTGAAGCCTGTATATGGAAGACCAACAAGAGCAGGCTTTATTTTGTTTTGTTATTTGTACATTATTCAGTATAAAACTTTTTTTTAATCCACCATCATGTAGAGACCCAAAGATCTGAATTATGTGCTAACTACTCTGGTTAATTAGAGTGCTATTTAATTTTTGTAATTCAGCTTGAGCCTGAATAGTGCAAAATCCATTTGACCTGTATCTTATAGTCATCTGCTTACCACAAGTCTCAGACCTTTTAATGATGAGCTGCTCTGACTGGTAATCACCTTTGGGCCTCCTGTTCCTTCTCTTTACAAATTAAAAAGAAGCCAGCAAAAGCATCCTGGTGCAAGGTGCACAGGCAATGCAGTGAGGTTGTAAGAGTAGAAAACTAACAGCAATTCTGAATACTGATGACTAGAAAATGCAACAGACCCATCTCCAGCCCTCCTCTACTCTTTATAGACATAGAATTAAGAAAAAAAAAAAACACACGCACAAAGAAGAGACACATTGAGCTGAGGGGAGAGCAGCAGCAGGGACTGTGCTAAAGATGTAAATGTGGGCTGGGCATGGTTCTTGTAATCCCAGCACTTTGGGAGGCCGAGGTGGGCAGATCACTTTAGGTCAGAAGTTCGATGAACATCCTTAGGAGAGACGGTGAAACCCTGTCTGTACTAAAAATACAAAAATTAGCCAGGCGTGGTGGCAGGCGCCTGTAATCCAAGCTACTCAGGAGGCTGAGGCACAAGAATCGCTTGAACCAGAGAGGCAGAAGTTGTAGTGAGCCATGATCATGCCACTGCACTCCAGCCTGGGCAACAGAGCAAGAGTCCATCTCAAACAAAAGAAAGAAAAGAAAAGAAAGAGGGAGGGAGGAAGGAAGGAAGGAAAGAAAGAATATTTTGTGATTCAGGCAGAGTTGCAAGGTACTGCAGATTGGAACATCAGGAAAGAAGTGTTCTCTGAAGAGATGAGATTAAAACAAAGCAGTTATTCCTAAGAACAAGCCCATCACAAAAGCAGGAATGAGGTTGATATATTCAAGGAAAGGAAAGCTGAGGTGATAGAAGCCGAGTGGGAGAAGTTAAGATAAAAGTTTATGCGCCGAATAAACAGGACTTTTAAAGTTGGATAAGCATTTGGATTTTAAGCAAATTCTTTTATGAAAGCAAATGATGTGTTTGGAATTAAGTTTTAAACAGAAAGCTCTGGTTCCTGCGTGATCAATGGGTTGTAGAAAGCAAGAAGACATATAGATAGACCAGTTTATAATGTTTTACTTTGGCCCAAGTAAGGATGATGGACCCAGGGTAGGAGCAGTAGAGATAGAGAGCAGAAGCAAGATTTGGGAGATTTGGGAGGTGACACTGACAGTTCTTAGTAATAACCTTAATATGGAGGTTGGGAGAAAGAGAAAAATCAGGAAAAATCCTAGATCTTGGTTCTAGCAGTTAAGTGATATGGTGCCATTTATAAGATGGAGGAACCCAGAGAAGATCAGGTGAGTAGAGGAAAAGTATGGCTAAGATGTTATTACCAAGTTGCCTATCACAGCATCAATGTGGATATGTCAGATTGGAGGAAAGTGATGTGACCCTGGAGTTTGAAATAAGTTCAACAAAAAGAGATATAAATGTGATACTCATTGGAAAACTGTTGTTGTTCTAAGGCACAGAATTAGGAGAGTATGTAGATAGAAGTCTCCTTAGGTAAGCAGAGCAGAAGACACCAGGGAGAGTGAGAAGGGGAATGCATATGGCTGCAGGAAAACCGGGATGTGTCATGCACCTCAAGAAAAGGAAGAATTTCAAGAAGCAGGAAGTGCTCCACTGTGAGAAACGCTGCTGACGGCTCAACGAAGGCAATGGGTTTGCAGTTCGTCTCCCCAAGTTGATGTGGTTTTCCCTTTCATAGTACATAGAAAACATTACTGGACTGAGAACCAAAGAACGTGATTTCAGAAAGACAAGAGACATTTAACTTCATTATTATCAACTTCTGTGTTGGTAATAATGGCCTCTTTTCCTTCCAAATCAATCAAGATTTACATCTTTAGTCTATGTTCTAGAGAGGCGGGAAAGAGGGTCTTCAGCTTCCCATGACCGTAAATACCTTGAATTGAGATCTGCTTATAAAGATGGTTCATTTAAGTACCGGAATCCAACCTACATGTGTGCCCAGAACGTGATGAATGAGGCTGAAGCTGACAGCCTGATAATGGAGAACAAAATCAAAGCAGCCCTCAGACCACTGGGCAGCAGGAGAGAGGACTTAGGGAGCACTTGCCTAGGAACCCCTTGGAACAGCACAGTATGAAAAGCTGCTGGGTTTTGCCAATTTGCTATTGCTCAATGAAAGGAGGTTTTATTTATAATTATGAGTGAACTGTTTTTGTCATATTTCCCTATGGGGTCACTGCTTCCAATACTGCACTTATTAATTTGGGAAACATTTTGGAAAATAGCTGAGATTAAGACTGATGGATTATATTTTAAACTATATTCCAAAGAAAGAAGCTGAAATAAGCAAGTCAGTGCATCCTTTGGTACACTGACAGGTGGTGAACTGTAGCAAAAAGGAATTAAGCTCTAGGCCAAAATTAAGTCTCATAAAACATCCTAGCTTTATAACCATTTCTATAGCTGTGAAGCCTGGTTCTGTTAGCACAAGGATATTTAGTTTCTAAAGACATTCTGTGTGAATGTCTCTGAATTACGATACCAGTCAGTGAAGAGCCGTAATAACTTGTCAGTTTTTTTGTAAAAGCATAGATTTGTCTTTTCCTTTCCCAGGTCTGGGTCTTCATCACCGCAAACCTAGTTTACAATAGGTCTTTGAGGTGTCTTCTTTGATCTTCTTTCCTATATCTACCCCATTCTGCAAGCCGAGACCAACTGATTCTTTCTAAAACCTCACTCATGCTATGTCACTCACTGCTCTCCATTGCTAAAGAATCTACAATGTCTCCCTACTGTCCATTGAGTAAATGCCACACAATTCAACTTGACATTCAACTGGCCCACCCTATATATTCAACTTGAAGGTAAATCATTTTAGTCCTGCTGATTTCAGATTTCTCCTCGTTACATAGACATATAAACTCATATAAACTCAGCTTTACCTCCTTTTTTTTTTTTTTTTTTTTCCTCTGAGACAAAGTTTTGCTGTGTTGCCCAGGCTGGAGTACAGTGATGTGTTCTCAGCTCACTGGAACCTCTGCCTCCCGGGTTGAAGCGATTCTCCTGCCTTGGCTTTCTGAGTAGCTGGGATTATAGCAGTGCACCACCACACCCAGCTAATTTTTTGTATTTTTAGTAGAGATAGGGTTTCATCATGTTGGCCAGGCTGGTCTTGAACTCCTGACCTCAGGTGATCCACCCGCCTCGACCTCCCAAAGTTCAGGGATTACAGGCATGAGCCACCGCACCTGGCCAGCTTTACCTCTTATCTGCTCTTTCCCAATCCAAAATTTTTGTTTGTTATGTCTAACACAAATGTCACCTCCTTAATGAATCTCTTCCAAATAACTCCATACTCCTTCATTTAAATACCTATTAATTCAATACCTGTATTCAATGTGGCACATAAAACATGTTTCTAACATCCTTAATTTATTGCCTTACAATTGCACTCACCTTTTTTTCCATGTAGAAGTATTGTAGTTTCAATTAAATCATTAGTCCCTTGAGGAAACACATGAATTGTTTTTGTATATTGTGTGATTGCCTACATCCTAATACAGAGGTGGGCCAGTAGCAGGTGTTTAATAAATACATGTTAAAGGAAGTGAAAAATTTTCTATGTGGTAGAGTAGAAAGTGCACTGGATTAGGAAATTATAAAGCAGCTTCTGGTCTTGACTGCAGCATTTGAAAACTGTGTGGTCTTCAGCAAATCACTGAATTCCTCTGAGACCAAGTTTGCACATTTGTAAACTAAGAGTAATAATAGTATGTTTGCTATTTCTTGTAAAGGCTTGATATGAAGGAGGAAGGAAACAAAGCATATAAAAATATTTTATGTTTGAATAAAGACATTTCTATATTTGTATATATTTCCACATACAGCATGAAAACCAATTTTTCTCCATTGTGGACATATTTTTAAAAAAGATTTTTTACTTGGTTGACAGAGTGAACAAGGGTGAAAAATGACTTAAAATGACATAAAAAGAGTGAATTATGATATGACCAAAAGAAAGACTGATACACAGGGGTTCATGGTAACTTTATTATAACTCAAAACTGGAAATAAATCAAATATCTATTAACAGGTTAACTATAAGCACGTTTCTGGGATGTTCACCCAATGAATTAGTACTCAGGAAGAGGAAAAAAAAGAATGAGCTAACAGAAGTGAAATCCGAGAGTATCACGCTAAGAAAAAGAAGCCAGACCCTATGTAACTAACCTGCACAATGTGCACATGTACCCTAAAACTTAAAGTATAATAAAAAAATAAAAATAAAAATAAAAAAAAGAAAAGCAGAAAAAGAAGCCAGACCCAAAAGAATATGTGTTGTACGCTTCCATTTAGACAAAACTCTAGAAAAGGCAACTCTAATTTATGGGGTCAGACAAGCAAATCAGGAGTTGTCTGGTGCTGAAGTACAAATGGGGATTGGTTGGGATAGGGCAAAAAGAAACTCCTTGGGGTGACTGAGATGTTCCCTATCTTGATTACACGGGTATATATATATTTGTCAAAACTCGCATATATATTATATATATATATAAAATATATAATATTATATATATAATATACATATATGTAAATGTATATGTATATATTATATATAATATATACATATATATTATATATAATATAATTATATATTATATATAATATGTATCTTTATATATATTATATATAATATATTAATATATATAATTAATTATATATATTAATATATTATATATATTATATATAAGTATATATAATATAATATACTTATATATGTGCATTTTATTGTAGGTAAATTTTACCTCAATAAACATTATTGTTTTGAAAACAAACTACATTTGAAACTGATATGTAACTTCATTATAATTCCTGCAGAAATATAGAGCTTCATATGAGTATTATATATGGCCTTATTTACAAATGAGAGAAAAAACAGAATTACTTTCCCTGTGGAGGATCACCAAAGATATCAACCAATAAGGTTTCCACTTTGGCAGTGAAGAAAGTAAAGTAAGATGGAATTTGTTCATAGGCCTTTAAGATCTAATACATCTGCCAAAATCAGATGCATTACTTTCTTCTTATTGATGAATTAAAATCAAAATCCTTTTTTTTCCCAAGATTAAAAGAAAAATATCTCATTGAAAACAGTAGTATCTATTTTAGGTGAGATTTCAACAGTCCATAAAATGAGCAACCCCCACATTGTAGAATCTACATTTCTAGACTCTCAGAAAATCAGTAAAAGCTGATAACTGTACAGCTTCTGCACTCTCCAATTATCTCCTTTCAGAGCCAGAACACACAAACACTTTTTTGCATTTAATTAAGTATTGCAATTCCAGATTATCTTTGATTAATGAAGAGCGATACAGCGTATAGCTAGAATTATGTGATTATTTCACAATTGATCTTTAATTATTCCATCTGATAATAATTTCACTAATTTTTCATAATGTTCTCATCTAAATTCTTATAAATGAGCTATAACAATTAATAATTTTCATTAATTTTCCTTGAAAATGATGTGAAGTTTTTGATAGAACCCTTAACCTTCAAAAACTGTTTTAAAAATTTTGATTAAAGGATAAGCCGTACTGTCATATGGAAAAACTGTATGACTTCTTCAGATATAGCAAGTCAAGTAAACATTCAAAAGTTTTTCTCTTTTTGTTGAGTTTGGGACTTGTTGCTTGGGTGTGCCTAAATCTGCCTCTCCCTCTGCGTGTTTAACTTGGACTTCAGTGTCAGATAAATGTAGGTTTTAAGCCAGCTTGACTACATTATATGTGACTGTGGCCAATTTAGCCTCTTTAAACTATTGTGGCAGTGTTAGGAAGTTGGAGGTGAGAGCTCTTATTAGGAAATAGGTGGCATGAGATTGTAGGAGGCCACATAGCTCACGGGAGTACACGCGGCCACCTAGGGAGACTGGGTAGACAGAGAAGAGAAGGGCCGAGGTCAGAATATTTAGGCACTGTCCGTTGGGTGCGGTGGCTCATGCCTGTAATCCCAGCACTTTGGGAGGCCGAGGCGGGCAGATCACGAGGTCAGGAGTTCAGGACCTGCCTGACCAACAAGGTGAAACCCCGTCTCTACTAAAAATACAAAAATTAGCTGGGCGTGGTGGCGGGTGCCTGTAATCCCAGCTACTCAGGAGGCTGAGGCAGGAGAATCGCTTGAACCTGGGAGGCAGGGGTTGTAGTGAGTGGAGATTGCACCATTGCACTCCAGCTTGGGTGACAGAGTGAGACTCCGTCTCAAAAAAAAAAAGAAAAAGAAAAAAAAAGAAAAAATAATATTTAGGCACTTTCTTTCCAGTGAATCATAGCAGAAGACTGCCAGGGATCCTGAGAAGGGGCAGCCCACGTGGCTGGAAGAAAACTGGAGGTAGTCATAGGAGCTAGAAGAACGTCCAAGAAGAAGCTTACAATATGCTAAATACTGCCATAATGACTTAACATTCATTATTCTACTTAAACCTCACAGCAGTACTCTGAGGCAAATATATCATCATCAATATTTTAAAACTGAGGAAAAGAAAGCATACCAAGGTCATCCTGCTAACGAGGGGCAGAGCTAAGACTTTAACCTAACGTGATCAGCTTTAAAACCCATTTTTACGAACACCATGCTCAACGAGCTCCTACACACATAACGGTTATCCTAGTGCCTAGTGCCTAGCATGTATTTGGTAAAAGCAATCTTTCTATGGCCGTACTGGTTATAAACACATCAGGTCCTTTTTGGCTGTCATCAGATCGAAGCTGTGCAGGCACTGATGAGGCCAAGGCAGAGAACAATAAGGTGACCCCAACACGATTTGACAACAGTGTCTCATCTAGCCTTGGGATTTCTGAAGGCTGTTTGAACTGCTGGAGATCATGAAGGACACAGCAGGACTAATGACTATCGATGAACTTACACCTTTGTGTTGAGTTTCATGCTAATTATATTTAAAGGGCATGACTTCAAAGTTTTTGGAAAATAGATTGCCATTAATTACTGTTTAGAAACTCATAGATTGTCACTAAATACAGTAATTCTTCATGTAAAGCAAAAATATGCACCATTTCTTAAGTCTGCCCACTGCGCCAGACACTGTGTGATGTATTCAACTTATACTTCACAACACTGTGAGATAAGCATTATTATCCCCCCATTTTCTACCTGAGAAAATTGAGATTTCCAGAGTTTAAGCGACATGTTAAAGGTCACACAACTTGTAAATGGCAAACCAGGACTGAAACTCTGAAATTTAATTTCAGAATTAATTCTATACAGTTTCACCAGAATAGATTAATTACTTGGGGAGCAATATATTTGTTTATTGGGCATTGAACATTGTTGTAGATAATTATATCTTCCCCAGTAGTTAATATAACATTTCAAAGAATCAAATATTAAAACTGTTCTTTGCTGGGGAGCAGAACTCTTTCTAAAATTGTTGAATGCCTTTCTGCCTTCTATAGTATAAAACACTAGATAACACAGAATGGTTAACATTTTCTTGATAGCATAAGGTATTCGTTATGTTCATTAGTTATGGTTCTATTCACAGGTGTGAGGCCCAGTGGGTTGCAGATTAAATGAATATAACTCCTATACCAAAAATTTATTTTCTTGAAAAAAATCTTTTAGTATTAGCTGGCTTTATTTGGAATATTTGCATCTTTCTTTAAAAATGGAGAAAAGGGGCTGGGCACAATAGCTCACACCTGTAATCCCAGCACTTTGGGAGGCTGAGGTGTGCGGATCACGTGGTCAAGAGATGGAGGCCATCCTGGCCAAAATGGTGAAACCCCGTCTCTAGTAAAAATACAAAAAAAATTAGCCGGGCGTAGTGGCGGGCGCCTGTAGTCCCAGCTACTCGGGAGGCTGAGGCAGGAGAATGGCGTGAACCCGGGAGGCGGAGCTTGCAGTGAGCCGAGATCCCGCCACTGCACTCCAGCCTGGGCGACAGAGCGAGACTCCGTCTCAAAAAAAAAAAAAAAAAAAAAAAAAAAAAAAATACAAAAAATTAGCCGGGTGTGGTGGCAGGTGCCTGTAATCCCAGCTACTTGGGAGGCTGAGGCAGGAGAATCACTTGAACCCGGTAGGCAGAGGTTGCCATGAGCCGAGATTGCGCCATTGCACTCCAGCCTGGACAAAAAGAGTGAAACTCCAACTCAAAAAAAAAAAAAATGGAGAAAAGGATGTTTATGTGTCAGACTTCTGGAAAGACATAACACAGCAAACATTCTACAAATTATATTAGAGAATCAGAGTTCAAAATCTCACTCTTTCAAGCAATTTCCCCCTCCTCTGGAAAAATGGCCTTCTTCCGTGGTACTCTCTTTCTCCTTTGTGTTGTCAACAAGAATCAGAACATAGGGTAGTATTCCTACATTAGTAACATAAGGACTAAAATCTTCACCTTATAAGTCTACATCTAGAGGTTTGTTTGACTTACTCACCATGTGTTCACTGGTGGGGACAGTGCTTGAAGAATATACAATTTCAAGAGAGCTTTAAAGAGAGGATACTTCAAATCTCACATAGTGTTTATAAACAGAAGTTGATAGCATAGAGATGGGACGTACATTCATGGTTTTGACAGAAGACTCTTGGATACTCAGAGAAATTAAGATATAAGAAACATAAACATTTGATCTTTAAAGTTATAATGGGATTGAATATTCTTTCTATATGGTACCTTAATGTTCTGATTAAGATTCTGGTGCTATTGTAAAGCAATATTAACACCTATTAAGAAAGTTAAAAACAAAAGAGTGCATGGCACCATCTCTGTCCCCACATGGTAAACTCCATTTTGTTCACACAGTAGATTAGCTTAACTTTCCTCAGATAAGTCTGCCATTCTGAAAGGATCATTCATTGAATGGACCAAAAGGTCAATGAATTGACCAGAAATGTATATTCTAACTCATTCTGTCAAATATTTGGCATATTAGAAAGCTGAGGAATAATGATAACTCCCAATTACTTATCATTTTTATGAAAATCTAGGGTGAATGGAAGATTAATTGAGGTTCAATTTGACTAATTTAAACTAAAACATATGGATTTAATCGGCCATTTAAAACTGTGGAAGTATTGGCTGTGTTTAAAGGTCTTTTCTCTGAACTAACCATAAAATAGTTTTGTGACTCTATGAGTTACTTGTTGATTGCTGCCAGTTGCATTAACTTTCTATCATGTCTTATTTAAAAGCACTAAAGTTAACAGGAATACAATACTCACCTAATTACAGTTATTTATACATATTTTCCATCCTCTTTTCCTCTCCTGCCTCTCTTTCTTCCTTTCCATCTCTCTTCCCACTTTTCTCTTTATTTTCTTCCCTCTTTGTCAATTATATGCCAGGTAAGTACACTGTCCAGGTTTGTTCAAAGAGAAAATTAGAATTTCCCTAGAGGTATACGCTAAGGTTTTCCTTCAATTTGAACTGCACATTTGGGGATGCATTTTAAACTTCAGCTTTTATGTTACATATTTTCAGTTATAACTCGTATATTCGACTATAGCATAGTTTAGTTTTCCACTGCAGTAGAATGAATGGCTTCATGTCATTCCCAATTAAGCCTTCCCATGATCTGTCCTGATTAGCATAAAGTGGAATTAGGTGACAATGATGACGCACGCTCTCAGAGGCTACAGCAGAAAACAGAACCTGGCAGGCCAGTTCACTAAATGCCCCAGCGCCTGCCTCCACTGCAGATCTGTCCAATGATGGATGTGCCTTTAATGTGGCATCGAGGTGCCCCGAGGGGCAACGGAGATTTAAGCAGCTAGTTGAAGAGCTCTCCTCTCTTCTTTCTCCTTGGAGCCAGCATTCTTCTCTGCACTTCAAACCTGCAAGCTCCTTCATCTCTCCATGGCTGTTTTTGTTATTAGGAGCCTCACTTTTCTATCCCTTGTTAGCCTTCTCCCTTCTTAGAGTTTTCCTGCTTCTCCCCTGACTCTCAACTTTCTGGCCGAGCAACTTGACTTTCATAGCAGCCAGAGGATGCTCCCATGCTTTCCTTTGAGTCGTGTAAGCAACAACATTTTACTTTTAACAGTTGTCTATTAGGACCTCTGACCTATTGACTTGCCCAGTTGGGAAGCTATACCACACAGTGATAACGATCTCAGGCTATGAATCAGATTAAATCTTGACTCCACCATTTCTAGCAGAATGATTTGGGATAAGTTGTTCAAATATCTCTGAGAGTCAGGTTTTTTCATCTGAGAGATGGAAAAAACAGCAATAATAGCACCTACCTCATAGGTTTGCCATGATGATTAAATAAAATACCACACACGAAAGCATTTATTACTACAGCAGTAACTGTGACATGGCAAGCATTCAATCACTCTTAATTTAAAAAGAAAAAAAAACTTTTATTGCATGCTGCTGAAGACTTGTTTCTTTTTTTCTTGATGCAAAAGATAATTTTGAAAAGACAAATATTTGCAGGTTTTGATTTCCTTATGATGCTTGATATCAAACCCTCATATACTTAGGATATCTGTTGTAATTTTCACAATGATTTTTGATAGTATGTGTCATATTTAATCTTTAGTTTTTCCCCAAAAAACAAGAGGCATGTACACACACACATGCACAGACACACACACACACACGCTTTCTCTCTCTCGCTCTCACTCTCTCTCATTGCTAAGCAGATGCTACTCTGCTACTTTCAATTAAAGTGGGCACATTCGCTGGTTGACATGCTAAGAAAGAGGTTCCTTTAGATTAATGTTTGGAAGCACAGTCAACTTGAATTCACTTTTTCTTTTCAATGCCATAAAAATTTTCTCTGCCACTTATTAACATTGAGAAATTTGATCACAACTTACACTTGGTTTAGATCAATGCTTATAAAAAGCATACAATCTTTTATAAGTGCTAAAAATGAACTAAGGGCAATGACATATCAAGAAAGAAAGCAGCATGGGGGTAGTTTTGTTAAGGGTGGTTTAAAAGCCTGTATTGTACTACTGCCACGTAAGTAGAGGAAGGCTGCTGTCAAACACGTTGCTGAAATGAGAATTGTTTAAAATACAAAAAGCAAGACAACTCCATGTGAGTATCTGAAAGTCCCAAGGTCACTTACAAAGGAGAACCAGGTGGTGAGGCACTCGCGAGACAAACATCATAGCCATATTTTGGCACTAGCGACCCTCCGAGGGGAGGCATACTAAATATTTTCAAAGACAGATTTTCTTCTGCCTCTGGATTAATGCAAAACTTCAAGAAATGGAATATTAAGAGTAATTGTTGGTTAGTATAACTTTTTTACCTGATTACTTTTTAGGAGCTTTGCATCAGAATACTATTGCATCAGAATAACTCAGATTTCAAGACCCTCAATAAATACCATAAAGACAGAAGCTTCATAATGCTAGGTCTGGCCTCGAGCAGGTTAAAAAACATTTCCCCAGGTGTGTTGAATGTGCATCTCTTTTAAGACTCACTCATCTACTCACATAAATTTTACAAATGAGCTAAATGAAGGCCCAGAAATTTGGGAGCAAAGAGAAGTGATTCTTTGCTCTCAAATTCTTTGCCTATCTATATGCTACATGGAAAGCCAAAATGGACCAGTCACTAAAAGCACAGGTTCAAATAACACTGCAAAGAATTACTCCTCTTGCAGCCTTGAGGAAGTTGACGCTTTTTCCTGCCTGAATTTCCCCATCTAAGCAGGGTATAGTCATGTTACTTGGCACACAAGGTTATAATGAAAATTAGCTAAGACCCAAAAAATACAAAAAAGCCTAGCCAAAAGAAACTACTCAATAAACAATAGCTGACTGTATTAGGTGACAACCTGTTGCTAAGATTTTACAAATTATTAGGTTGGTGCAAAAGTAATTGTGGTTTTTCCATTACTTTCAGTGGCAAAAACTGCAATTACTTTTGCACCAACCTAATACATGCTTAATCACCACATCGTCTCTGAACGAGGCTGTATTATCCCTATTTTACAGATGGACACACAGATTCAGAAATGTTAAATAGCCTAGCAGAGTCCAACCACCAGTGAGCAACGGTACAGACATTCGAACTTATTTCGGAAAAGTCAAAAAACCCAATTCCGTGACACACAAGTCCGTTCTCTCTTTGACTTCATGAAAAGTACATTTGGTTTTGAATCTTTTTGGCCATTGAAGAAATTAAAATAAACCAAAGTCTTTAAAAAGTTACAGCATAACTTTTCTCCTCTGCAAACTAGAGTGATCCATTTTATACTTTAGCGTTCTATTTTTAAAGTGATAATGCTGAAATGAGTATATCTAAAAGGACTGCATGCTCTTGGGCACATATAAATGTCCCTGGCATGAATTGCATGTGTAATTGTGGTTGTTTTGGGGAAGAAGAGGAGAGAGAGAAAAAAAAACCACAAGTGCAAGATAACTGTTGCCATCTGCCTTTAGGTGAAATTCTATAAGGTTATTTTGAGCTCCCATTGGACGTTGATTTCGACGTGTACTGAGAAAACTGCCGGACCACCTGCCACCCATCCATACTAATACTAGAATTGACCATGATGGCAGATGAAGCTTCAGAGATTGTCCTTTTCCACCACTGTGACTTGACAGGACCTCCACCCTGTTACACCCCCTTTACCCTAAATAACTCTGGAGGACAACAGGTCTCCAGGTGCAACAGTGTGAGGACTTTATCATAAGAAAGCAAAGAGTAGTAATGCATGAATTTCTTAAATCCAAGCTGGAGTCCAAAGGGAGATTTCATCCAGTAGAAACAAGCCGCCCATGCAAACCATCTGCAGAATAACCTCACAACAGACCCAGTGGTGATTTCACAGTTGCCAGTAAAACAAGCTTAGAAGCCTCCCAAGGAGACAAATGCTTCTGAAAAATATCTTCCACCGCTTAGCATATGGGTCTGCGAATGCTGCCCAAACAAAAGGATAAAGCAAGGTAGGACAGAGCTCTGGCTGAAAAATATTTCTCCTCCATTCTTTTGTGATAATAAAGAGAGGCATTTCTTGTCATTAATTTTTTTCCAAAGGCCAGAGCTCATAGAAAGATGCCCAGTTTTTCTGACCAGTGTTGGGGTTTAGCCGTTCTTTCCAGTGCTCAGGGGGAACTAGATTTATTCAAGAAGACACAGCTCTTGATATTTCCAACCATTTTAAATTTCAGCAGCTTGATACCTTCTCCTGCTGAAGGAGATAGTAGGCCAATAGAGGAGCTGGCAAAAACGTTTTTTTCCACTTAAGTCTGTTTCAATTTTCGCCACTCTGCAACTTGGTACCAAAGCAGCTTTCCCTCTCCTTCTTGCATGGGCTATGGGATTGTGAGACCAGAAGGTCTAGTCTGCAGGGCAGAGCAGCATCATACATTACCCTGCCATGCACCCTGTGGCTGATAGGGTAGAGGAGCTTACTAGCTTGGAAGGGCATATGATTGGAACCTCCTTGGCCAGAGGCACTGAGAAGAAGGGATGTCTCCTGGCAGAAAGTAACAATGTCATCATATTCTTCCCCTCCTTCCAGTTCCCACCCTTTGGCTTTTTTCTCTCCCTCTGAAAAAAAAAATAAAAAATAAAAAAATAAAAAATAAAAAGCACAAATGAAAAATCATATACAATATTTGAGCAAAAAAGGCAGGGTGAAGAAAAGAAAGTATAAGTCTCTCTAATCTCTAATGCAACAGAAGACAAAGTATCTAGAAGTAGAAAATCTGTATTTGAATGACCAAAATCAGCCTTGCCAAATGCTACCCAATTCATTACAATTAACTGGGTCGCTAATAAACTCCAGTGAAAAAAGCAGCCATCATGTGGTGAATAACTGAGAATCCATGAGATATTCAAAAGGGAACCCAGACACTCAACCTTAAAAGGACATGTTCTACCTAAGTGTAAGGTCGAAGATTTGCATTAAAAATTCAACAAAATAAACTGCTGTGAAAGGTAAAATCTGCCTGTGTCACCAGAAGCAGTGGGTTCAGCCAGGGCTGGAACAGTGATATTATAGAAATTAGGCATTAGGAAAAATGGACTATGTAATACATCCCCCCAGTGGGTACAGAGTATTTCGTCATATGGAGAGGTCTGTACTAAGGGTCAGGATCAGGGTGGGATCCAGGATCAGGAATACTGTAGATTTGATCTGCTCGAGTGACTGTATCAATCAACAGATAGGCGGGCAAAGTGATGTAGGTTATATTAGAAATAAGCAGAATCCAGAAGAAGCAGTTCTCACCATCCCTCCCTTTACAGGTGATTGCACTCTGGTTCCCAAGACAAGACCTATAAATGTGGAATAATTAGAGAATGAAACAATGTCATATACAATAAGGTGCAAAATTATATTAGACACTAGAAAACTGTAATTGATATTAAAAGTGCAGAAAAAAATCAGCAGGGTCTACAGTTCTTAGGAAGGGCCCTGGAGAGGTTGAATTTAACCAAAATCAGGAAATTCTGACAGCGTTTCATTGAAGTAAAGTTAGAGCAAAGATTTTTCAGATAAGAGAAAGCTCATGAGCAACGACATTTCAGTGGAAATGAGGAAGTTATGAGCAGGATAGGGTAAAACAAGCAGATAAGTATTTGACACACAGAGAGGAGAACGTCGAAAGTTTAGGATAGACTGGTTGATAAGACAGTTTTAATAAAGCTGTGTAATTTGAACTTTGTTCAGTAGGCTCCCTGAAGCTATTTAATAATATTAGTCGTAGTAGTACTATTACTAATAGTTAACTTATTATTATTATTATAGGTTGTTCTGCTTTGTTTTGTTTTGAGAAGGAGTCTCACTCTGTCATGCTCAGGCTGGAGTGCAATGGCGTGATCTTGGCTTGCTGCAACCTCTGCCTCCTGGGTTCAAGTGGTTCTCCCGCCTCAGTCTCCCAAGTAGCTGGGATTACAGGTGCCCACCACCACTCCCAGTGAACTTTTTTAGTAGAGACGAGGTTTCACCATGTTGGCCAGGCTGGTCTTGAACTCCCAACCTCAGGTGATCCACCCACCTCAGTCTCCCAAAGTGCTGGGATTACAGGCGTGAGCCACCGCACCTGGCCAAGTTTTTATTATTGAGTAATCCTTCAGGAATAGGCACCATCTAAGCATTTTACATGCAGTATTTCGTATAACCTTCATGGCAACCTCATGTGGTAGGAATCACGATTATTCCCATTTTAAGATAAAGTGTTGGCCGGTTTCAGTGGCTCATGCCTGTAATCCCAACACCTTGGGAGGCGAGGTGGGTGGATCACGAGGTCAGGAGATGGAGACCATCCTAGCCAACATGGTGAAACCGCATCTCTACACAAAGAGACAGTGGTGCATGCCTATAGTCCCAGCTACTGGGGAGGCTGAGGCAGGAAAATTGCCTGAACCTGGGAGGCGGAGCTTGCAGTGAGCCAAGATCACACCACTGCACTCCAGCCTGGGTGACAGAGTAAGATTCCGTCAAAAAAAAAAAAGAAAGAAAGAAAAAGAAAAGAAAAGAAAAAAAGATAAAGTGTTAAAAAGTCAAAGAATTTTAGAAAATTCCCCAGGTCTGTACGATGGGATTGGAATCAGAGATACGTGACCTCAGAACTTTAGTTCTTCACTCTGGTGCCATAGCTCCTTGAGTAAGAGAGTAAAGAGATGAAATCTAGTCTTTTCCACATTAGCAGTAATTAATGAGTGATTATTAGTTGCTGGTGTTCTTATGGTTACATACGAGAGACATAATATCTGATTTCCCAGAACAGAGGCATGTCATAATTCTGGAGCCCCTACTGGATCAAGATACCATGCTAGTTGTTCTACTTATGATAACTTATCAAATGTCAAATACTCCTGCAACAGGTAGATGGTTTTCTCCTCCCTCTCTCCCTTTCTATACCTCTCTCTCTCTTTCTCTCTCTCTCTCTCACACACATGCACACACACACACACACACTTACTTAACTGTTAAACTAAAGTCCAGAGATGCTAAACAATCTATCACTAGGGTCATCTCTATGACAGAGCTGGGATTCATATCCAAATCAATCTCTTTCCTAAACTAGAGGTTGGCAAATTATAGCCTGCAAGCCAAATCTGGCCGACAACCTGTTTTTGTGTGGCCTGTGAAAAGAATGTTTTTTATATTTTTAAAAGATTGAAATGTTTAAATGAGGAATATTTCATGACACATGAAAATTCTATAATTCCAATTACTGTGTCCATAAATAAAATTGTATTGGAACACCATGCCCATGTGTTTAGGTATTGTCTATGGCTGTTTTCATACTATAACAGCAGAGTTGAGTAGTTGCAACACAGACTGTCTGGTGTGCAATGCCTAAAATACTTACTGTCTGGCTCTTTCCAGATAAATTTTTCCAACCCTGTCCTAAATCGTGATCTTTCTACTATGTCACCCTGCTTCTCATTGTGTCTTGCTATCCCTAAAACATATCCATCCCACAGAGTTGAGAAAGAAGGTCAGCTAGGGTACAAGAATATCACAAAAAAGTGAAGGACATTTCCTCGTCACTTCATTATTTATTTTTATTTTTATTTTATTTATTTATTTATTTATTTATTTTGAGACAGAGTCTCGCTCTGTCACTCAGGCTGGAGTGCAATGGCGTGATCTCGGCTCACTAAAACCTCCGCCTCCTGAGTTTAAGCGATTCTCCTGCCTCAGCCTCCTGAGTAACTGGGATTACAGGCCCAGCTATTTTTTTTGGGGGGGGCGGGGGGGTATTTTTAGTAGAAACAGGGTTTCACCATGTTAGCCAGGCTGGTCTCGAACTCCTGACCTCAGGTGATCCAACCGCCTCGGCCTCCCAAAGTACTGGGATTACAGGCATGAGCCACTGCGCCTGGCCTTCCTCATCACTTTAAATTTGAGACTTGTAATAACCAGCATGTAGAAGGCTATTTATTCCCTCCTAGGCTGCAGACCTGAAATGCAAATGCAGAGCGATGGAAAAAAAAATATGTGCTATAAGGAGTATTTTAGGAAGATTTTTCTGGAGAAAAGAAGCGAAGTGGATCAGAAACAAGAAGACCAGTTGGATAATCAGGTGTCGAAGTCTCAAGCTGCTGGAATGTTTGTAGAATGATAGTTATTCCCCTAATCTGAGTCACACAACCAACTGCTTCTGCAGGAGGATATTTGGGAAAAATAAAAGTAAAAGGCCTGGTATTATAATTTAAGTGTCATTATTACCAGGTTTCAAACAACTGGCCACTTACAAAGATATTTTAACTTGGATATGGCAGCTCTTTAGCTATTCACATTAATCCAGACATCAAGAGGACCATTTTCTGAGATCCTTCAACTTCATGTGCTACACCTCTTGTGACAAGTTTGACTAAAACCTATGCATTACAAAGCCCTTCATTCAAGCAGTTTATGTCTTGGTGTTCGGAGACAATGATAACCTTTGCCAAGATTTCAATCAGCAATGTGGAGACATTGAGTGCGTTCAGCAGTTTTGTGTTCACTGTGTACCATGATCTCAAAAATTAAGGCAGAGACTGGACAAAGTGTGTATCCCATTGCTGCATGGGGAGCAAAAAACCAAGGTTTTGACACCCAACACACTAATTATCAACCATGAATTATGGAGTGTCAGACTCCAGTCCACAATCTTTTACAGAGAGCAAATCCTAATAACAACAATAACATTTTTAAAGAAAAATACTGCTGCTTGGTATGGATCTGATTCTGAAAAATCTTTTTTTTTTTTTTCTGAGCTAATGTGTCACGTTGTCAAGGTTGTGTCAACCATAAAGGTGATATGTCAAAATGACAATCAGTTTACTAAGGTAAAAATAAGTGTATTTTCCCCTAAACTGCAGTTTGCTTAACCTCATTTTAAAAATAAACTGCCCAAAGCAGACAGAAAGAAAATTTGGGCATTATCAGTTGTCCACATTTGAGCACTGCTATCTAAAAAAGCACACACCAAAAGCTTTTAAGAAGGGGCTGTGCAATGCTTTTTCATTAGGGTCAGTCTGTCAGGTAATTATCCCCTGTGAGTATCTGGACTATAGTCTTTTTTTTTTTTTTCTGTGCTAGAGGAAGCCAAAAGAACTGCTCCATGCCCAACCGCACTTTCTGGTTCTAAGTGAAGTTTTTCTAGTGTCAGCTCATGCCCCAGGTTCTTTGTGGGCTTGAGGGCCTAAATGTTCTTCCGCATCAGGTCATCTTTTCATTTCAAGATGCCTATTGAGCAGAGTCAAAAGAGCAGCCTCCATAGAGGTTGACAGGAAGAAGTGAAGGGGATTTGAGAAGAAAGGGACAATGGGGTCTTGCATTTATTTGAAAGGGGCCAGGGATAAAATGTTAGGCATAGTCAAACAAATGCACTGTTACAGGACTTCCTCATCCGGCCCACTTATCCCTGGGCCCAGATTGAAAGAGATTGAAAAGTTGTTCATACTAGATTTAGACACAAATCGAATAAGTAATATTTCCTATACATAAGTGGAATAGTCTTTCCAAGTTACAGGAATGCTTTGATTAATAAAACAGAATTTTATTTAAAGATGACAGTTACTTAATACATTTTTACCATTATGTATTTTATTTTAATAAACAGCAACTATTAAAGTACAACTACCAGACTTTGGGGGTCTGAGATAATTTTTGACAATTGCAAAAATTGCTCACACTCAATAACTTTGGGAACCATGTGCCTGAGACCTTAGAAAATTAAATATCCAAAAGATCAGAGAAAAAATACGTATTATTCTACTGTGAATGATGCACAGAGCAATGGAATTTGTCTAATAAACTAGTTAGCTTTTATGGTAGATTATTAAACAGATGGTATTAGAAAAGAGATGATCACTGTAAGCCAGCATCAATTTACTACAGACAAACAAATCGTGGCTAACAAATCTAATTTTCTTAGACAAAAGGGTTACTAGAATCATTGGCCAATAAAGCATTGTAGAGATCCTATATCTGGATTTCTATAAAAGAGATGACAAGATTGGGCATGGTGGCTCATGCCTGTAATCCTAGTACTTTGGATGGCCGAGGAGGGCGGATCACCTGAGGTCAGGAGTTCGAGACCAGCCTGGCCAACATGGTGAAACGCCATCTCTACTAAAAAAAACACAAAAATGAGCCGGGCGTGGTGGTGTGGGCCTGTAGTCCCAGCTACTTGGGAGGCTGAAGCAGGAGAATCGCTTGAACCTGGAAGGCAGAGATTTCAGTGAGCTGGGATCACACCACTGCACTCCAGCCTGGGCAATAGAGCAAGACTCTCTCTCAAAAAAAAAAAAAAAAAGAGAGAGAGAGAGAGATGACAAAGACACCAGTGATATTCCGGTCACCAAAAGGAAAATGTGGACTAAGTAACATGGCATATCAGTTGGGATATTTTTGGCAAACGTCAGAAACCTAATGCTAACTGTCTGAAGCAGAAGAGTTCTTCTTCTGGTTCATGTAACGGAAAAGTCTAGACCCGGCTTTGATTCTAGAATGACTGGATCTAAAACTGTGGGAGGTGCAATGAGGATTTGGGTTTTTTCTCTTTATCTCTTTGCTCCACTTTGGCCTCGGTCACTTGCATGCTAAGCACGGTGACTCTTAACAGTTCTAATCTTACTTCTTCCCAGTTTCAATTCCAGTCACAAAGTCTCTCTTCCCAGCACTTCTACAAAGGTCAGGAATTTAAACTCAATAGACTGACTTACATTATGTTTCCAATCTTTTAGCTAGTGGAAGTCGGTATTCTCATTGACAAGTTTGATGACATGACAGCATGGGAACCAGGGATAAACTCAGCCCTCAAAATCATATAGAGTGAGAATGCAGAACGGTGGTTCCTCAAGAAAAATATATGGCCAGAGGAGGAAGAAATAGATGTTGGATAGCAAAAACAACAAAAGTCTAGTACATATAGTTAAGTATATGAATCAGTAAATCAACTTGAACATGTGTTTGATACACACCTCGTGGTCCTACCTTTGGTTTGGTACTTTCCTGAAGTCACTGAAGTAACATTGATCACATTTTTCACTGACACAAAAGTTTACTAAATGTTTCAACTGTCTTAATTATGACTCAATAATGACTTTGACATGTTAGACATTTAGGGCCATAACCAAGATGATGGAATTTTACAGGCATATCTATGAGGTTTTCTACTGATGTTCAAAAATTAATTATATAAGCAGAGAAGAAAGTTAGTATGACAGTAGTTCATTTGAAAAAGACCCAGAGGTTTGAGTTAACCACGTGGTCAATATGAACTTGTGAAAGCAATCTTTAGGTTGCGGTATTAAAAATGTAGTATTCAGCTCAAGGTCAATAATAGTTTCTTTATTTTCTGTGCAAGTCTGATCAGATAGAGAATTTTATGTAGCATTCTGGATATTATATTTTGATTGGGGTAATGTCCTTTTTCACATTTAACACAACTTATAATGGTATATTTGTGTTGTTCTTTGATACATATTTACCTTCCCCCTCTTGAATATAAATTTCTTGAGGCCAGAGTTCATTGTGTGTGTGTGTGTGTGTGTGTGTGTGTGTGTGTGTGTGTTTCCACTGGATCGCTGTAGAGTAGCATTGATAAATATGCTTTACAGAACGAAATAAAAGAAAACCTAAAAGTGCCCTGGACCAGGGACGGTGGCTCATTCCTGTAACCCCAACACTTTGGGAGGCTGAAATGGGCCGATTGCTTGAGCTTAGGAGTTTGAGACGAGCCCGGGAAACATGGCAAGACCCCCGTCTCTACAAAAAATACAAAAATTAGAAGGACTTGGTGGTGCCCACCTGTGGCCCCAGCTACTGAAGAGGCTGAGGTGGGAGGATTGCTTGAGCCTGGGAGGCTGAGGCTGCAGTGAGCCAAGATCATGCCAATGCACTCTAGCCTGGGTGACAAAGTGAGACCCTGTCTCAAACAAAACAAAACAAAACAAAAAAGTGTTCTGAAGCAGAGAAGATAAAGAAGGGAGTTAACTTAAGAGCTCTTTTATGAGAAGAATAGATGAAGGAACACACACGCTTAGCTTAGCAAAGGAAGATATTAAAATAATGTGATGTATGTCTTCAAATGTTTGAAAGACCAGTAGAACGAGCAAGTAGTGCCCACAGAATATTGCCCTCTCTTTTTTATAAACCATTCAAACTGAACTTAGATGAACCACTGTAAATAATATTGTACAAGGAGTTTCAACTGGGTAGGAGGAGAGATGACTAGCTTGCACAGTTCCTTGCAATTTTGATGGAATAAGGCATGTTAATTCTACAAATATTACCAAGCTCTTGGGAACCTCATTTAATGCCTTGGCCAGTCGTGTCAAATTAGTAACATTCTGGAGATAGTGTTGTACTGAGCCATGGGTCTTAGTTCATTTTTTGCTGCTATGACAGAGTAACTGAGACTAGGTAGTTTATAGGGAACTGAGATCTATTTCCTACAGGTCCAGTGGCTGGGATGTCCAAGGTTGAGGGGCCCACATCTGGCAAGGAGTTTCTTGCTACATTATCCGTAGTGAAAAAGCAAGAAAGCATAAGTGCTAGAGAGAGTGAGCTTGAACTTGCAGGCTCAAGTCCTTTTATGATGTCTTTCTGGCATTAGTTCATTCATGAACATGGGGCCCTCATGATCTAAGCACCTCCTATTACACCCCACCTTCCAACATTGTTGCATTGGGAATTAAGTTTCCAAGACATACTTTTGGGGACACAAACTATAGCATTACGCAAAAGTCAAAAATTCATATCTGACTATGCTGAAGGTTATAATTGATGGTTTGCCCAAATGAGATGCAATAGAATCTCATTCTCTTAAATACACAGGAGTGAGGCAATCATCACTTGGGCACATGTGGGAAAGAAGCATGAGGCTTCAAGTCAAGTTTCTCCATCGTTTTTCCTCTTCTCCTCCTTCCTTCCCAAGAATAGAGTTTAAAACACTTTTTGAAATAAGTGACCCATTGTCTGGCATTTGGATAATTTTTTGTGTATCTGTATATATTTGGAATTGTGTGTGGCTTAAAGTACTTGTTTATGTAACTTGTTTTATATTTGCATATAGACTAAAGCATATATAAATATATATGTAAATGTTAAATTATTTATGTTGAGAACAGAAACTAGGCTTTGTATGTTGTATATATTCTAAAGGAGATGGCTGTGATCTTTTATTCAAATACCTCTCCCATCTAAAGGGCTATCCCCTCTCTTCTTTAAAAATATAGATTACATCCACCCTACTCAAGTCATACCCTACCATATTTAGAACTTTTATCCAATTTTGCTGTCTCATTATTTTTTGACAATATAAATCCAGTTCTCTGGGTAGCATTATGTGCCTAACACTGTGCCATAAATGTTGCAACTCCATGGTAGAAATTTCAGTTTGACTGTAAGCAATTAGAGGCCGCCAGGGTGCTGTCTTCCTGTATAAAGCCATGAAGAGCTCCACACATTCCTGGGCACGTAAAGGTTGTTTAATAATTAAAATCATTTGAGACCAGACTGCTAACATGGTGAAATCTGGTCCCTACTAAAAATACAAAATTTGGCCGTGCGTGGTGGCGCATGCCTGTAATCCCATCTACTTGGGAGGCTGAGGCAGGAGAATTGCTAGAACCCAGGAGGCGGAGGTTGCAGTGAGCCAAGATCACGCCATTGCACTCCAGCCTGGGTGACAGAACGAGACTCTGTCTCAAAAACAAAAATAATAATAAAATAATAATAATTAAAATCAAAGCCAGGCTTTTTGGGAGAAAAGGATCCTCTTCTCCTGGTACTTTCCATCATTTCTTCAAATGCATCTGTGGAAAACCCTGTGCTTAGATTCTTTTAAAAGTGTTTTTACAAAGAAATTCATCTATAATCAAAGCAGCAAGAATGAGTCAACCTAAGAAACATCATAATTTCTCCTAAGGGTTAAATTGTTTCAAATCAGGAGTCAAAATTATATTTATACTAATGACAACCTTAAAAATGTAACACAGCATTCAATTTTTGCATTAAAATTACACATTTTAAATACCAAAAGCTTGATGTGAATTTTATACTCTGTTTATGTTAAACCAAAAAAGTGAACTTAAAAGTAATCATGTAAATTGAATGATAATAAGAGTTCTTTTATATCTTTAGACTACTTCAAATGAATAATTTAAAAGGCATCAAGCAAAATATTTTATTAACATAAAGTTAATGGTATATTTTTATGGTACCTGATTTTCAAAAATTTGCTCTAAGACATTATCATAATCAGCTCATGTCAGTTGTGCGCCATTTTACATACACTATTTTTGAATAAAGTTAATGCACTCATTGGCACAGAAGCTCAGTTTAAATCTTATTCCTGAACTATCACTGTTGGCCTTATTAACATACTTTTAATTTGCCAATTTCTACGTAAATCCGAAATGAAGATGGCATTACTCTTTGAAATGTAATATCTATCGAAGTGTTTTTGATATAAAAATGTCACATAAAAATTTGGTTGTTTTTGTTAAACCAACCAGGATGAAAATCCTAAGAATCAGCAGATTACCCACCATGAAATGGAGCAGGAGGTATTTTTACTCAGAAATTACATCACGATACAAATAAAACTTTACAGTAGTGACTCTCCTGTAAATTAGATATGTATTCCTTCTCCATGAATGTGGCTTTTCTCAATATGTTGGCTTGGACTGTAACATAAACCTATAAATTACATATGCAAAAGAAACTGGCTTATTTTCAAATATGAATTTTCATATATAATAATATTGCAGCAGATATTTTTGATTAAAAATCAGGCAATTATTCAGTAATTTCTCTCATATATTAAAAATAGTGGAATAAATAGCCATTGACACTACAATTTGTCCTGCCCTTTTGTATGACATGAGGCCTATATTACTATAATTTTACTAATATTACAGTAAATAATAAAAGACACTTAACTTACAAAATTAATGTGAAATTTGACTTATGACATCAGCCCCTTTCTCTTTAGTTGGCTCTGCAAGTTTCACCATCAAACAATCCATTTCCTAAGTATTTCTCATAACAAATGCCAGAATCTATGGAAATCCAACTGCATGAGCATCAGGCCCATTTTCTTGAGTACAAAGGGAAAAAAAGACCGTCCTGTTGGAGAATTCTAAACATTCTTAGCATCAGTCGCTACCTCATTTTGTGTATGTATGTGTATGCTTTATCTTTCGTCTACTACCCAGAATGCCAGAATGAGAGTCATATTCCATCCTTGATTAGACACAAATCTCAGTGGTGTTTTGCACTTAAATCAAAGGCCCAGAATAGTCCTTTAGAAACCTTTAAATAAATAAATGGATGTAGGAAAAGATATATTTTCCTATTGCTCCTGAGAATTGTCTTCAACTCCCATTGGTTGTCCAAGAACAAAGAACATTTTTCGTATTTCTCTTGATGTTTTTAACTTTCTGTTTTCTTAGCATCTAGGTTTTTTTTCCTCCAGTGTATGTGTTTTAGTCTAATAGAGCTTTTGAGTGCCCAGGTACCGCTGTGATAAGTGCCACAGAAATACTTATGTAGAAAGATAGATTGCTCTGAACTCACTTCCATTCTCTTTTTTCCAAACAAAACTTCCAGTGATAGAAAAAAAAAATGCCACTAGTTTATAAAAATCAATGGTGTTTTTGTCTGCATAAGGAGTATGGGATTATGTCAAAAAGAGTGATATAATCAATATTGGATTCCTAGAAAATGGAGCCTTCTCCTTAGAAGAAAAACAGTTTTAAAAAATGCCTCAGAAGCATGGCATGTCTTTGAGAATGTCACCCACCTAGCCTGTAAGTGATCGGGTTTCTTTTTCTCTAGCTTTGGTGCTAAATTTATGAGAAATTAAAAGTGAGTAGATTTCTCAAGCACCATAAATTAAAAAACAGAAAGCAGTAAACTAAGTATAGTAATAGAACCAGTGGAGGAGCAACTGCAGGCTCAGAGCTCTAGAAACAAACGTGGCATGTTTAATTACCCTTATAAAAGGACTTGGAACTTTGATAATCTAGTATGTAAAATTGTTGCAACATTGGAGAATAGCCTGAATTAAAAATTCCAATTGATGGCGCGTCAAAATAAAATCTAAGAAGATGATGAGGGTGAATATCGTGTCCCGGGAGTTTCCTTTCAGTACTTCAGCGTGTTTATAATCACCCAGTAAACATTTGAAGCCCCAACATGTACAAATGATTAATTTAAAACAGAAACAAAGCAGGAGGAATTTGGTATGTGCAGTCCAGTGGCATACTTCAAAGATTCCATGAGAAGAGAGTACTTTGTGATGGAAATTCTTTTCCTTTGGGCATTCTCATTGCCACTCGATATTCAAGATGCTTTTCCCATATTTTCCCTGGCACAGTATAGCCTTTTCCTCTAAAGAAGTCAGACAATTCTTGGAAATAAAAGAGGAAGATGATACAAATCATTACAGAGTCAGTTTTACAGAAACTGTATGACCTTGGGGAGCAAACACTATGTCAATGCTGGGATGGTACACGTGGTGGTACGTTGCTTTGCATACTGTTTGTGTGCTTTGAAATCGAAGAGGAGCATTTTAATTAATTTGAAGTTCTATTTTGCTCATTCCTGTCAACCATAGACTATTTATGAAACTATTTAAAAGCCAGCTTGTCCTAGGAACATTTCTAGTCTTCCTAACTGGATTTTAACTTGACCCTGAGCTCCAAGCTTACCTCCAAAACTCACAAAGTGTGTTTCTTTGTCACTTCAATATTATTCTGATGTATTCAGATCTTGTAAGAGTTGTTTATTACCCACCGTGTCTCCACTGCTAGACTGTGAGCCTTCAAGAGCTGGAATCTTCTTCCCCTACAAGCCCTGCCACTCTGACCACCCTGCCACTCTCATTGGGTCTGGGCCTCAGTGATTATTTTCATGACTGTGGGATTAGCAGATACTCTCCTTCTTTCTGAGCTGCATTTTCCTCCCTTGTTCACCTGGAAGTTCTGATTACCTTCTCTGGAATTCTGCCACAGTCCTACTCCACCCCGACCAAGTAGGATAAACGGTGTCATTGCTTGTGCTGTGCCAGCACTCTGCAGGTACCTTCTGTTCAGCATATGACACACAATAGTCTAAATTGCCTTCTCTCCTCCATTCCTTGAGTGTGCTGTTTTCTATGTCTTTATGACCCAAGGATTTAACAAAGTTTTTGGCATAAGGATAGATATTTGGTAAATGTTTCTCAGTTGCCTTTGTATCTTACTCATTACCTCACACAATTCTTTGTTCTGAACAAACACTGAATAACATTGGCTAGAGAAAATGCTATATTTTCCTAAAATTATCTTCTCCGTTGCAGAATCAAGAAGGGAGAATAAACATATTGGGTTGTGTGTCCAGTTTCTAACAATCTTCCTTTTTCTGAGCAGCCATTTTTTAAATTTCTTCTAGAAAAAAAACCAAGCAAACAAAAGACAAACAAAAACAAACAAACAAAAAACAAAATACATGTTATAGAACGTGCAGGCTTGTTACATAGGTATATGTGTGCTGTGGTGGTTTGCCTCATCTATTTACCTATCCTCTAAGTTCCCTCCCATCACCCCCAACCCCAACAGGCCCTGGTGTGTGTTGTTCCCCTCTCTGTGTCCATGTGTTCTCAATGTTCAACTCCCACTTACTAGTGAGAACATGCGGTGTTTGGTTTTCTGTTCTTGTGTTAGCTTGCTGAGAATGATGGCTTCCAGCTTCACCCATGTCCCTGCAAAGGACATGATCTCTGAGCAGCCATTTTATGTCAAGCATGACCCACCCTTCACCACGTATGATGGATAGGTCCAGGGCAAGGCATCTGACCCAAGCTAGAACTGTGAAAATTTCTCTCCCAAAAATAAGGATGCCAGAGAGGATTGAGAGAGACAAAGAAAGAGAGAAGTTTCAGTTGAGATTCTACCTTTGGGTGGCTTTACTTGTAGCAAGCAACCTTGAGATCTGACAGTTCCTGTGAAAGTGTCAATTGTATTCAGTTGTACAGAGGGAAAACCCTAGGAAAGGTAGTCTGGAGAAATATTTTCAGAGGAGCAGAAAGCAAATGTGAAGGGCAACCGTCTAGACAATCTTCCTGCTCTTGGTTCTGGATCTGTTTTACTGAACTAGCAACACTGCTCTCCTTAAGTTTTGTGAGATATCCCTGTATCCTTATAATAAGCTCTCCCTGTTCTATATAGATCAGTTTAGTCTGCTACCTATGATAAAAAATATTCCTGATTGTTTCAGGGGAAAATGTATTTAGGTATATAAAATGTCTTAGGAGATATGATTGTCAGCAATGATCTTTTCTACTCTTCTCCCTGTCTTTTTTAGTTGTTTATAGCTGTTGTAACAAATGACCACAAACCTAGTGTCTTAAAACCACACTGATTTATTATCTTACAGTTGTGGAGGTCAAAAGTCTGACATAGATCTCAATGGGGTAACATCATGGTATCAGCAGAGTAGCTGATATAATGGTATTTCCATTCTGGAGAGTCTAGGGGAAAATCAATTTCCCTTCTTTTTCTAGCTCCTAGAGGCTGCCCACATTCCTTGGTCCATTTTCCCCCTCCTCTATCTTCAAAAATAGCAACAGTAGGTTGAGTCCTTACATTGCATCACTAACTTCCTCTTCTGCCTCTTTCTTTCATTTTTAAGGACCCATAACCCAGGATAATATTCTTATCTCAAAGTGCTTATCTTAAGCACATCTGCAGAGCTCCCTTTGTTAGGTAAACTAACATACTCACAAGTTCTGGGGAATAGATGTGGACATCTTTGAAATGGTTGGGTGGGCATTATTCTACCAGCCACTTTCTCTCTGAACTCCCAAAACATAAACTATATTACTGGTTTTATTGTAAATCCCAGTCCTCTTCCTCAACTCCCCCCAACACACACGTGCACACACAATAGAATGTAGGTTCCACCGAAGCCTGAAATTAATTTTTTTATTTATTATTTTTTCCCAATGCCTACCACAAAGCCGGATACAGTGTAGGTGTTCAATAACTATCCAATAAATATTGAATGTAATCAGTGCCTCCATAAACCCTGCTACTTTTTCTGTCTTTTACTAGGAAAGAGTTAAAGCAATAGCACATCAGTATACTATTTCTTCTATTTACAGTCTAATCTTGTTAGAGACTTGTAATGTTTACATGCATAGGCTTTGGGTCAATCAGACCTGAGTTTGACTTTCTCCTTGGAATCACTATTTCCTGGAAAGAGATAGAAAATGAAAAAACAAACAAACATAAAAACCACTCAGCATAGTTTACCATGTGCCAAACATTGTTCTAAGAACTTTATATGCATGTTCTCATTTTACTCTCACAAAGGGAAAGTGTATCTGCCCAGTGAAATCATGGAATCACGGGAGATGAAATAGTACGTTAGCAGGGTTTTCTGTCTATTTCATAGTAAGAATAATGTCTGATTCCAAATGTGCTCATGTACTAATCCCCAAAGATGTCTGTGTCTTAATCCTTGGAAACTGTGAATATGTTGGATTACATGGCAAAGAGGAATTAAGGCTGCTAATCAGCTGACCTTAAAATAGGGAGAGTATCCTAGGTCGTGCAGGTGGCCCCAAAGTAATCCCAAAGCTGCTTAAAGTTGGGGGAGGGCAGAAGAAGAGAGAGTCAGAAGAAGATGTTATTATGCATAAGTGGTCATAACAATGCAGCACTCCTGGCTTTGAAGATGAAGAAAGGGGGTCATGAGCTGCAGAATGTCAGCAGCCTCTAGAACGTAGAAAAAGAAAGGCAATGAATTCACCCTTAGAGCCTCCAGAATGGAACACAGCCTTGAAGACACCTTGGTTTTATCCCAGTAAGATCTATGTTGAGACCTCTGACAATTCTGACTTCTACAAAACTGTAAGGCGATAAAGGTGCTGTTTTTATCTACTATGTTTATGGTAATTTATTATGGCAGCAAATAGAAAACTGATACTGAGCCATTTTTTATTAAAACTTAAGCATATTTCACTACATCATCCACCTTTAAAAAATGGACTCCTTTCATATTCTCATTTTAAGTGAAATTAAACTTTCTCAAATATAATTTTGTTTGGAACAATCATTGCTGGACTCTCCTTCTCTCATTTCTCTTGTTTCATGAGACGAATAAGAGCAGCATGCACTTTTCTTAAGTGTATTGCCAGTTTTTCCCCTAAGAATTAAAAATCCATTGTCTGTTTAATAACTTAGCCTCACAGCCTCTAAAAAAGTTTTAGTATACAACAGCTCCAATTCCTTTCCTGTTCAGGAACCAACACCAAGGTCTCCATTTGGAACCAGAACCTAAACTACGGTGTAGGAGACATGGGGGAAGGATCATCTAGGTTGTTGACTTGGGGAAGATAAGCTACTCACAGGTCCCTAACTCATCATTGTTTCCTAGTAACAACAATTGCTTGAAAATCAGGTAAAATGGCTCTCTTCTACCTACTTAAAACCTCTATGTACAATAATAATGTTTGACTATTTCATTCATCTTTTTTTTTTTTTTTTTTTTTTGACAGAGTCTCGCTTTGCTGCCCAGGCTGTAGTGCAGTGGTGTGATCTCAGCTCACTGCAAGCTCTGCCTCCCAGGTTCACACCATTCTCCTGCCTCAGCTTCCTGAGGAGCTGGGACTACAGGTGCACGCCACCACACCCAGCTAATTTCTTGAATTTTTAGTAGAGACGGGGTTTCACCGTGTTATCCAGGATGGTCTTGATCTCCTGACCTCCTGATCCTCCCACCTTGGCCTCCCAAAGTGCTGGGATTACAGGCTTGAGCCACTGCGCCCGGCTCATTCATCTTCCTTATTTCCCTCAACCTGCTGTCTCTCTTTTTCTGTCATTCCCTTCTGCTTTTTCCCAGTCCAGGTTTGAATACCCGCCTCCAAGTGATAGGAAAGAACAGCCAAGTTTGAATGCACACTGATGTTTCAGGACCATGGACAGTAGCATCGGTTGCCCAGGAAAGTACAAATGGTATATCATTATTTTAAAAGTTATTTTATTTTAAAAGTCATTTATAAATTTGTCTATTTTCTTTGAGCCTCTTTCTTTACACATGACCTGCTCTCCCAAACCAACCCTCTCTGGTTTCAAATACCCCATTACTAATTGATCAATTGTTCAAAGACATTCGGCGAGGGCATGCTGGCTCACGCCTGTAATTCCAGGACATTGGGAGGCCGAGGTGGGCAGATCACGTGGGCAGGAGATCGAGACCATCCTCGCCAACATGGTGAAACCCTGTCTCTACTGAAAATACAGAAGTTATCTGGGCGTGGTGGCGTGCACCTGTAATCTCAGCTACTCGGGAGGCTGAGGCAGGAGACTCACTTGAACCCGGGAGGTGGAGGTTGCAGTGAGCCGAGATCGCGCCACTGCACTCCAGCCTGGTGACAGAGCGAGACTCCATCATAAATAAATAAATAAATAATAAATGAATAAATAAAATCATTGGCACCACGTATTATTTATCCCTTAATATTTTGATTTGACTCCTTCTCAGGATCACTTCCTGGTTTCTTCTTTCTGCTTCTTTTCACTGTTTAATCCTCAAAGAATTGCAGAGAATATCTTTAGACTTCAAATTCATGTTAGTCAGTCTCAGTTGAATCCCACCAGTGACTAATTTATAACATTAGTTTAAACCATGTGAAATTTTACATAACAAAATGTTTTAAAAATATGGATATGGGAGGAAAAAGGTCAAATTATAAGCAATTTTATAAGATTTTACCCAACTAATTTTTTATTCCAAATAATATTTTCAGTAGAGTTTTGAAAATCTTTTCAACACTCTCGAATTACCAACCCCTCTTTGAATAAATTATTTTATTTCTATTTCACTGGATAATTTAGGTGCTCACAAGAAAGAAACTCCCTCTATTTTTATTCTTTAGAACTTGTCTATTTTTTTCCTGATATCTACTTTTTCACTGATTTCAGAAATCCCGCCAGCTTCACATCTACTAAGACCCACCACATTTTTATACTCAAGCCCTAAACTCACATCTGAAATGTTGTTCCTTAATTATCCATCATCTTCACTCTCACCACTTGACCATGCCCTGTGTTTTGCCTTTGCATCCATTCAGATTTTTCTTTCTTAACTGAAGCTGCCCTTGACACTGCAACTGCTTCCTGAGCTATCAGCCAACTTAAGAAAAAAAACAGAAAGGATATTCTACATTCTCTACCTTTACTTTTCTTAACCCCACGTAATGTAGTTTCAGCTCTCATGGCTCAAGATTCACTGAAGATTCTTTAATTGACAGATTTGGTGCATTTTTCCCCCCTCAGTGTCATCCCAACCCTTGCCACGTTCACAACAATTTTCACTGTGCATCCATTCCTCAATGCTATCAATTTTCTCTTTTGTTTCTCTACTTTTTGGCTTCTTCTAATCCCAACTGAGATGGTCTCTACAAGTTTGATCTTCTGTCATTATAGTGCTTTCTCTGAGAAATTTCTATTTCTTTAACTTTATTGCTTTCTGATTATTCCTATGTTTATTCAGAAAACTAGCATTTCCTCTTAGTTCCATACTCTTTCCTTTATCCTTTTCAATTTTTGTATTTTCCCAATGCATGGTTAAAATTTTACATTTTAACTTTTTTCTATTCTGTCCTTCAGATCCTTTTCATTTTATCCTTTCTTTCTTTCTTTTTCTTTCTTTCTTTTCTTTCTTTCTTTCTTTTCTTTCCTTTTCTTTCTTTCTCTCTCTCTCCTTCCTTCCTTCCTTCCCTCCCTCCCTCCTTTCTTCCTTCCTTCCTCCCTTCCTTTCTTGCTTTCTTTCCTTCTTTCATTTTTGAGACGGAGTCTCATCCTGTCACCCAGGCTGGAGTGCAATGGCGTGATCTCTGCTTGCTGCAACCTCCGCCTCCTGAGTTCAAGTGATTCTCCTGCCTCAGCCTCCTGAGTAGCTGGGATTACAGACATGTGCCACCAGACCCGGCTAATTTTTTGTATCTTTAGTAGAGGCTGTGTTTCACCATGTTGGCCAGGATGTTTTCGAACTCCTGACCTTGTGATCTACCCGCCTTGGCCACCCAAAGTGCTGGGATTACAGGCGTGAGCCATCGCACCTGGCCACCCCTTCTTTCAACTTACTACATTAAAATATTAAGTGGAGTAGGCTTGTCAATGTGTATTCAAGGATCAATACACTTATACCATATACTATGTGGAGGGTGGGGTGCGGGATGGTGGTAGATGTGGGGTTCATCAATTAAATATGCCTGGTCAATATTTATACTATATTATTTCCTTGGAGCTTTACTTTGCATATTAAAGGCTCTGAAAAAGCCTTTCAGTTAACAAATATGTTTAACTGTTCAACCCAATGTTTCTGAACTGATTTGACCTCACAACATCCTGTTGAACGGACAGGAAAATGTCATCACAACATACAGAGACATTTTCTTCAGAGTCTGATAAACCTGTTTAGATCCTGAATTTGCTACTTATTAGCTCTGTGGGCAAACTACTTAGCCTCTCTGATCTTCTGCTTCTTCAGAAATAGTAACAACTACTTTGAAGCCATCTCCTAAGGATTAAAGAGAATAAAGTAAATAAAATACATCACACGGTATCTATCACACAGAAAGTGCATCATAAATGTTGGTATCAACAATGTCATTATTATTGTATGAAAATTATGCAAGTCTCTTACATAGGTTACATTACAGGATTTTTGTAGTCTCTGTGACTCAGATATATATATATATTTTTTTTCTTCTTTTTTTTTTTGAGACGGAGTCTTGCTCTGTCGCCCAGGCGGGAGTGCAGTGGGGCGATCTCGGCTCACTGCAAGCTCCGCCTCCCGGGTTCACGCCATTCTCCTGCCTCAGCCTTCGGAGTAGCTGGGACTACAGGCGCCGGCCACCAGGCCTGGGTAATTTTTTGTGTTTTTAGTAGAGAGGGGGTTTCACTTTGTTAGCCAGGATGGCCTCGATCTCCTGACCTCAGGATCCACCCGCCTCGGCCTCCCAAAGTGCTGGGATTACAGGTGTGAGCCACCGCGCTGGCCGACTCAGATATTTTTGATAGACTGTCTTGTACATTGTTGTACTCAATTAATACAGGGTCGAATGTATGATGTATATATTAGAGGGATGAGATACAGTATAAGGAACAATTATTTAAATCATTCTCCATTGTCATGTCATGTAATGACCCAATCTCAGTTGAAGAGGTAAAATTTTTCTACAAATAAATGAAAACTCAGGCTTTGGCTGTGTCTAAAAACCGCAACAGATTTTTCAGAGGAAGAATTCCCACAGTAAAATAGATGGGTTATAAGCACTTTGGAAAATATCTAGGAAATTAAAATATATTAATTTCATCACTAACTGCTGTTTTCAAAATAGTTACTTGAATGAATTCATTTCCCTCTCCTTTGTAATATACTACTATGTTTGGTATTCTTATTAAATCACTATGCATTCATGGCCACAGAATGATGCAATTTCTAATATACCTTCCAACAACACTTAAGACATTTCAAAAGGATGCCATGTAATTGTTCTGACAGTGCAGTGATGCACACATCTTCAACACAAATGGAAGTTCTAGGACCTCTTTGGTTTTTATGTTGATTTGGCTGAGAGAATCTCTATGGTTTAGTTACTTAGGATATAAATTAAAGCCAGAAAAACAGTGACACATTATGTATGATAAAAGAACAAATTTGTTTTAGAAGCTAGCAAAACAAATAAATAAGCTAATAGAAAGCATAATTTACTTTACATCATCAATATCAAAGTTTGAATCCAAATGGTCCAATTCGTTTAAGCAAAAATGGTCAAACCAGTTTTCCTGAAAATAACTTCAAAGAGTAATTTGCACCAGTATATCATTTTTCAATGTGGTTGTAAATTAGCCTCATTATCTTTTTTTTTTTTTAAATATACTGTAGTGAGGGGGTTTACACAGGCTGAATTACACCCAACATGTTGGTCATGATGACAGCCCAACCAACATCCCCCTCTCACTAAAACCATTTCACCAACAATATCCAGCTCAAGGAAGCCACTGCCCGTGTCAGGGCAAGACTGACTCAAAAAACCGATTTTGCACTTGTTTTTTTCTGCTTGGAATGTTCTTTTGTCTCACTGTAATGTTTTAAATAAAAGCTAAGATTTAGGTTGCAATTCTGGGCCTAACATTTATAAGCTCTGATCTTGAGCAAATGATTTAATCTCTATGTATTTCTGACTTTTGTCCGCAAAGCTTGTTAATAATACTATCTACCTCCAAGAAAGATTCTGAGGATTAAATTAGTTGGTGTATGTAATGCATTTAGAGCATTATCTGCACTATATGTGTCCATTTCTATCATCATGATCATCAACACCACCACCATCACCACCATCTTCACATGTTTAGCCCCTTCACATCTTGCAGGTCTGGGTTTGAATATTCCCTCCTCAGAGAGTCCTGCACTGGCCAATCTATCTAAAGCAGTTCTCCAGCCATTTTCTTCCTATCACTTATCCTCTCCAAAATATCTTATTTATTTTCATTTTTTCCTTCTACTTTCTTCATAGAGTAGGGTCTTCTGCTTTGCTTAATGTTACATCCCCAGGGCATAATGGATGACCTTGCCTATAGTATATACTCAATAAATATTGAGCTGGTGCTCCACGGTATGGTTGGTTTAAAGGACTCTGCCTAATAATGTCAAAATCAGTAGAAATGGCTCTTTCTAAGACTTACTGTAAATACTGCATATGTACTGGGCATACTGGATGAGTGAAAGGAAATCTCAGTGGACACTAACACAAAGTCAAGATGTGGCAAACTGGATTTCAGGAAGCCTAAGCTTTCAAGTCACAGGAGACTTCCATGTGTACCATACAATAAATCCTCGTTTAATTAATTTGGCCTGATTGGGTCTTTATTCCTATCAAATATGCTTAAATAACACAACTGTAAGTTCTTTGTTCCAGAACTCTATTTCAACTCAGACTAAATTATTGTACGCTGAGATAAAATAAAATGAAATGAAATGAAATGCATGCTATGTTCTATTCACTCAAACATGAAAGTTAATTTAGAAAATTGGAAATTTGCAACCAGCATGGATAATCAACTGAAAATGGAAGAGGAGTCAATACTTTTCCATGGTCTCATGGGACCTTATATTTGTTGGTTAATTAAAATGACCTGAAATGTTGAACTTTCTTTCTCTAGAGGATATTCTAAAAATTCCTATATTTCCCAGAGGAATAGCCATATTGTTTCACTCTCATTTTTTGATAGGGAAATAAGGACACAAGCAAGCCAATTAGCATTTCTGGATTCAGAGTCATTGGAATTTTAGAGTGGACCTGGCCTCCCACCAACTTTATTTCAAAGGTGAAGAAGATGAGACCCAGAGAGAAAAACGCCTTGCTCAAATTTATGCACCATTAGTTTAGGTCTTTTTCCTGTAATAAAATTGTGCTTTTCTCACTATAAGATCAAAAAGTAAGCTTATGTTAGGGTTCAGCTCAAAGTCATTAACCTAGAACGTTACATCAGTTGGTCAAAACAATAACCAGCAATGGTTGTAATGGCCAGTAATTGGGCATTTATTTGGTCCAAGCACTACCATTAATACTTCATGTATATTAAACTCAGGGCGCTCTGATGGAGTTGTTATCATTATTACCATTTTCAGATAGGGAAAGAGAGGCTTAGAGGGGTTGCCTTGCCTGGAATCGCTCAGCTAAATATTCTTGAATAGGTGTTTGTTTAACTCCCAATCTGACTGCAAACAAATCTCATACTTTTAACCATGAGGCAAACTATTGCCCCAGCAGCCAATTCTGGCTCATCATCTGTTTCTGTATGTTCTAGATAGAGTTAAGAATAGTTTTTACATTTTAAGTGGTTCAAAAAAGAAACAAGAAAAACATTTCATGACATATGAAAATTATATAAAATTTAAATTTCTGCCTCTGTAAATAAAGTTTTATTGAAACACAGCCACACTCATGTATATACATATTGTCTGTGGTTGCTTTCACACTTCCATAGCAGTGCTGAGTAGTTGCAACAGAGACCACTTAGACTGCAAAGTCTAAAATACTGTAGTTTCTTATCGGCAGGGGGATATGGTCCAAGACCCCAAAGTGGATGCCTGCAACCATGAATAGTAGCAAACCCTACATATACTGCTTTTTTCTGTACATACACACCTATAATAAAGTTTAATGTATAAATGAGGCACAGTAAGAGGTTAACAACAATAACTGTTAATAAAATAGAACGATTATAACAATATGCCAGCATCACCATTCTTAAGCTTTGGGGCCATTATTAAGTAAAATAAGAGGGACTTGAACACGAGCACTGCAATACGGCAACAGTCCATCTGATCACCAAGGTACCTACTAAGTGACTAACAGGTGGGCGGCATCTACAGGGTGCAGATGCTGGACAAAGGGATGATTCACATCCCAGGTGGATGAAGCAGGACAGCATGAGATTTCATCACAATACTCAGAACAACACACAGTTTAAAACGTATGAATTATTTCTAGAACTTTCTGTGTAATAAGATCAGACCTCAGTTTACTGCTGATAAGTGAAACTCCAGAAAGTGAAACTGTGGATATGGAGGGACAACTATTACATATTTACCAACTGGCCCTTTACAGAAAGAGTTTGCAGTCCCCTGATTTTAACCATTAGGCTATATTGTCTCCCAAGGGTTACAATACAATAATGATAAAACAATTGGGATGAAAAACATCAGCTATACAAATAGTACAAATGCATATCTCTCCAAACAAAGGACAGTTCCATTTATGAATGGAGAATAATGTCTAAGAACAACAAGCTGGGGCAAGGAAAATAAGCCTTCACTATATTCTAGCCAAGATAACCATATGATCCTTAAACAGGTCATAGCCATTCCTGTTAGGAAATGTTTTCTCACACAGCTTGCTCAACAAGAGCAAAATCAAAACAAAACAAAACAAAATGTCCCTTCTAATTCACAGCAGTGATTCACAAATTGTGCTCAAGATCTAGGGACCCCTGGGAATCCCTGAAACCCTTTGAGGGGTCTGTGAGATCAAAGCCATTTTAGTAATGTTATTAAGACATTATTAGCCCTTTTCACTTTCATTCATTTACAAGTGTACGGTGGAGTTTTCTAGAGGCTGCATGATAAGTGATATCACAGCAGACTGAATTCAGACCCAGATATATGTCTTATATTGAGTCGGCTATTAAAGAGAGCTGCAAAAATGTAAGACAATGGCACTCTTTTAACTTATTTCTTTGTTTTAGAAGATATATACACTTAGTGATAAAAAACATACCTTTTATGTCAACACATACTGGATTATTATTTTACTATACTAATAAATATTTTCTAAAAATCTCAGTTTTACTTTCTAGAGTAGTAACATTGATAGATACAACTTAGATGTACAAAAGTTCCTCACCAAGTTGAAAGAGTCTTAAGACCAAGAAATTTGGGAACTGCAAGCCAAGGAGACGGACCTTAGAAGAAGCCATCATTCCAACACTTCAATTTAGACCTCGGAGAAAATAAATTTCTATTGTTTAAGCCACCTACTCCGTAGTATTTTGTTATGGCAGCCCTAGCAAACTAATGCAGCCTCCTCCTCTAAAATCCTGCTCTTCTAGTCTGTACTCTATTTGTTCGCATAAAGATTTTCACAATCTTTCTTATTACTTTTTTTTTGTCATCTCCCCCACTATGATATAAGCTCCCTGAGGGCTGAGAGCACATCTATTTATCCATCATGGTATTACTGATTCTTAATACAGTGCTGCTACATGGTAAACAATGCATAGTTGGTGGCTGAATCTATGAATGGATGTTAACATTCACACACTTATTTACTTAATTACATCACTGCTTCTAGCATGTGTGTCTCCTTTATTCAAGGAGATTATCAATGTCTGGATTGCAGACACTGTGGCTTCTTTTTCTCTATTTTTACACTTTGTAGATTGTACTTTAAAAAAGAAAGCTGCTGAATGAATGACTTGACTTATGGTTGGGGAGCTGGTCTGTTTCCAGGGCTAATGATAATAGAGAAAAATGAATGTTTACTATGTTTACTATAAGTACTTAGTGTATAGCTGGTCTATCTGAGTTTAAAAGAATTTAGGTTTATGTCAATGCATCTGCTGGTGACTAGTCAGTACCACAAGGATCTGTAGTATCTATTTGCATAAGTAGACTTGCCTGAAGTTTCTTGGTTTTTGTCTGAAAGCTAAATCAGGAAGTTTGTGCATATGTGTGCATGCTCTGGGGATTCCAAGAGACCACTAAAAAGAAAGAAAGAACATCTTTACCTTGCCTAGAGTTTTTGAATTGGTTTCAATCCCCATCAAGAATATGGGCTGGAGAGAAAACCTCAGGGTTAATTTTCATAAGACTCTCTGCTTATAAATGCTTAGGACCTGAAGCATCATGATGAAGGTCAAATTATAGTAGAGAGATGCTCACTGTTTTTGCATGGAACGTGCAATTTCTACAAGACTGGTGGCTGAAGGAGAATGTCTAGAGATAATATCCTTGGAAGAAATGCATCTTCAAAGATGTCTATGGATATAGGTCACTAATAAGGAAATAGTTGAGCAAAAGAGGAAGAAAGAGGATTTAGCTCTATCTGATGGCAGGCTCATGAGCTCATATGAGGCATAACTGAGGACTCTCATCAAGGCCAGCTGGGGAGGTGTGACTTCACAGAAGGTCTGGAGGCCTTGAGTTACCCAATGAAAGGAAGAACACAGAAAATGTATGTTGTTAATATGACTATCTGCAGTCTGTGGAGTCCTGGAGACACTTTTTTCTTTGTGATTTTCCTGATATAATTCTCACAACAAGCTTACAGGGTAGATATAATGATTCCATTTTCTGTGCTTGCAAAGTGGAGCTCAGAAAAGTTTAATTACTTGAGAGGTAGCATTGTAACAGAGAGTTAGTGGTTATACATTGCGGTTAAGAATGAGGACTGGGACCGGGCGCGGTGCCTCACGCCTGTAATCCCAGCACTTTGGGAGGCCAAGGTGGGTGGATCACGAGGTCAGGAGATCAAGACCATCCTGGCTAACACAGTGAAACCCCGTCTCTACTAAAAATACAAAAAATTAGCCAGGTGTGGTGGCAGGTGCCTGTAATCCCAGCTACTCAGGAGGCTGAGGCAGGAGAATTGCATGAACCCGGGAGGCGGAGCTTGCAGTGAGCTGAGATCGCACCACTGCACTCCAGCCTGGGCGACAGAGTGAGACTCTGTCTCAAAAAAAAAAAAAAAAGGAATGAGGACTGGATTAAGTTCAAGCTTGCCGCTTATTAGCTGAATATGTCATTTATACTCTCCGCGCCTTGTTGCCTCATTTGCAAAATAGCGATTATAATAATAGCAATACTACTACTAGTAATTATGATAGAATAATGTGTATTTCATAGAGCTGTGAAGGTTAAATAAATTTACATGGGTAAATCTCTTAAACAGCTCCTGGCACAAAATAAGAATTCAGTAAGAGTTGTTTTTGTTCTATCAGGTCACATAACAAGGACACAGCGTAGTCAAAATTCAGAACTCTGATCTATTCGTCTCCAAAGCTTCTGATCCTAAGTACTATGATATATTGTTAAAAACAACACGGTTTTACCCCTTTCTCCTCCTCTTCCTTCTTTCTCTTCTTCTCCTACTCCTCTTCCTTCTACTTCCTTTTGTATTCATCCACATAGTGTTTGGTAGAGGACTCAGAGGTCAGTGATGGCAAAGTAATGTTTGGCTGACTCACAATAGACATTTTCCGTCATTTTATTCATTTATTCATTTCTTTGCAAATGCAAGAATACAGCCAGAAATTCTGCTAGGTTTTGAGCTACCAAAATAAATAAGTTGCCATCATTATTTTGGAGCACTGCTAGTGTTTAGAAAACTTTTTTTTACCATGCATATGAAGGCAGCAAGGCCCTCCTCCCTCACCCTCTATATCTTCTTTATATCTAATAGGAAGAAGCACTGACAAAACGATTTTCAGGTAATCTCCAGCTTCAATGCAATAAATGTGTAGGTGCTGAACTTGAAAGCTTGTGACATTTGACAGAATATCAATGGAATTGTTATGCACAGCTACGGTTTGGACCAACTATGTAAAATTACATCACAGGAGATGAATGGCACCGTTTCAACAGCTATGAAATGATTAACTTTGTTGACTATGTTTAAGTGTGAGAGACATAGAAAGTAGAAAATGCCCCCTGGAACCACTTGAAAATGCAGGCAAGTCATATTTGCAATTGCATGGATATAACTTCTCATGAAACAGGCTTAAAATATATCAAGGAAATGAAATTAAATACAAAGTGGCAATAGTTTCTCAAATTGTTAGCTATGCATGACAATCACTTTGTTCCTGCTGTAATGATTTAATTGTTCCTGCTTTATATAATTCATTACTGTAAAAGGGTCACAATCTTAAAGGTGGTACAAATAGAAGTTGTGGATCATGTTTCTTTATTCTTTTTAAGATACCAAAAACAAAAAGCCACTAATATTCTTGATTCTCCAAAGCCAGTCCTATTAACACAAATATAATTCCTGAAAACTGTGGAATGCTACTTTGGATTTTGTTACGTAAGAATCTTTGACTAATCCTAGTTCTTTCTCCTACCACAATTCATCACAGACAGACCTTAGTTCTTGCTTTCAATACTGTCAGAGCAGCAGTACTTGTTACTAGAAAAGTATGCAAGAAGGCCAACTGTTATGACTAGAGAGGGCTTTACTGTACAAACTGTGAAAAGGCAGAGTTCACCAAGCATAACTGGCAGGAAGATCACTCCAAAAGAATACCAACACACAAAGTAATCATTAGGAAGTGAAAAAGTTACGGGAGGCAGATTTCCCTTGAAACTAGGGAATCTGGGCCAATGAATCCTGCCTTAGACTAGAGCAATCCTCTGTCTATGCAAAATTGAGTATATTCAAATTTGTGTGTGTGTGTGCATGTACACATGGGGGTATTCTGTGAATCAAATGAAAAAAATAGAGTGGATCATTCATGATTAACTCACTTTGAGAAGTGCCTATGAAGTTTATTTGAAAATAAATATGAGGGAGGAACATGATCTTTTTTTCTGTGCTATGATAGCCTCTTCCTACCAACAATTTTTTTTTGCAAGATAATTTGTAAGAATTACAGAATCATTGCTGTAGTGATTAAACATGTTCAAATGGACAATGGAAAAAGGAATAAACAATGTATCCAGATTTTCTCTGTATTAGAAGAACTTTTATTAAACATGTAACTCACATTTTGTGGAGAGGGGTAGGTAGGGGGGATTAAATGTAAAGATTCTCTTTTTCTGGCCGGGCGCGGTGGCTCACACCTGTAATCCCAGCACTTTGGGAGGCCGAGACGGGTGGATCACGAGGTCAGGAGATCGAGACCATCCTGGATAACACAAACCCCATCTCTACTAAAAATACAAAAAATTAGCCGGGCGTGGTGGTGGGTGCCTGTAGTCCCAGCTACTCAGGAGGCTGAGGCAGGAGAATGGCGTGAACCCAGGAGGTGGAGCTTGCAGTGAGCTGAGATTGCACCAATGCACTCCAGTCTGGGCAACAGAGCAAGATTCCGTCTCAAAAAAAAAAAAAAAAAAAAAAAAAGATTCTTTCTTCTGTGAATAGAGAAAAATTGTGCCACAAGAGATGATGTATTCTGGTCATTAATGCATCTACATATACAATTTAGGATTTTTAAAATTCAAGTTACTAAGAATTTTGCAGAAGCCAAATGCTACTAATAGACTATTGATACTAAGAAAGTAAAAATTATATAATTTCCTTGCTGCTATTATACTAGAGACCCCAAGTGAGTTCTTCACAATAACATTTATTTTAGGGTGCTTTATGATTAAATTTTTTTATTGGTATTTGTGGGGTTTTTTGTTTATTTTGGTTTGGGATCTTAAGTATCTCACTTCACAGCTGTTAACATGGACTTGTGAGAGATTCTTTATTTCTCTGAGATAAGCACTCAGAAATACATCTCCGAGTGACAAAATATTAAGACACTTGGCTAGGTGCAGTGGCTCACACATATAACCCTAGCACTTTGGGAGGCCGAGCGGGGAGGATTGCTTGAGCCCAGAAGTTTAAGACCTGCCTAGGCGACATAGTGAGATCTTATCTCTACAAAAAATTTAAATAAAAAATTAGCCAGGCATGGTGGCACACACTTGAAGTCCTAGCTACTCTGGAGGCAGCGGCTAAAGTGGGAGACTTGCTTGAGTCTAGGAGGTTGAAGCTGCAGTAAGCCGTGATAGTGCCACTGCACTCCAGACTGGGTAATAGAGCAAGACCTTGTCTAAATAAATAAATAAATAAAAATAAACAGACTTAAATTCATGAGTTGCTGCCAGCTTCGCCATCAAGAATTTGCTCAAATGCATATGAGACAGGAGGTGAAGTTTCCTGTTTGGCAATACCCTCTGCAATACTTGATAAAGTCCAGATTCTTAATTTTTGCTGATCGGATGAATGTAAATTGGTATTTTATTCTTGCTTTAGTTTGCATCTTCTGATTAGTAATGATGTTGAGAATTTCTCCACAAATTTGATAATAATTATTATCTCCCCATTTGTTAATTGCCTCTTTATGTCTTTTATTTGCTATGTAAATTAAACTTTATTGGGCTGGGCTCAGTGGCTCATGCCTGTAATCTCAGCGTTTTGGGAGGCCGACCCAGGTAGATCACTTGAGGTCAGGAGTTTGAGACCAGCCTGGTCAATATGGTGAAACCCCATCTCTACTAAAAATACAAAAATTAGCCGGGCATGGTGGTGCATGCCTGTAACCCCAGCTACGGGGAGGCTGAGGCAGAAGAATCACTTGAACCTGGGAGGCAGAGGTTGCAGTGCGCCAAGATTGTGCCACTATACTCCAGCTTGGGGGATAAAGCGAGAACCTGTCTCCAAAAATTAATTAATTAATTAAACTTTAGTTATGAAAACAGTAAGTACACCAGATTTGGCCCATGGACTATAGCTTTACAACACCTGATTTTGACAGAATAAGTTTTTGCTTTGCTTTGTTTTGTTTAACGTGAGTTATATACCTGTGTGGTCCAATTCTATATTCTACTTTTCTTTTAGAGTCGTGTAGAATATCTTGATTTATATAATCGTAAGTGCATTGTCAGCGCTTAGTCCACATGCATGTTATCTGGTAACATAATGGACTCATCCAGACATATATCCCTTTCCTTTTGTCTGGTAGTGCCTATGTGGTCACATTGTTATAATTACAACTTAATGTTCCATTTTATTTCTTTTTTTTTTTTGTAGTTTTCCCCCAAAGTCAAAAATTGTTATATTTCATCAATACACAATATTCACACGTTTTAGAGGACATGACTATTGACTACAGAGTTAAAGTTCTCACTTTCCATGACACAATGACTTGATGTGTATTATAGCTTTATTTTTTCTATAATTACTTATGATTATTGAATTATTTCAAGAATCACATGGTATTTGCTTAGTATTCCTGAGACTAAGATTCTCTGCATTTAAGGGCTCCCAAGTTTATTAAAAATTTAAATCTAGACTGCTAATAGATATCTTTACATACAACTTTACATTTATTGGTGAATAATGTATGAAACTAAGATTATTAACAATTATTTCTAATTCTAAATTATTGGATATCTCCATTACTCTTTCAATTGTAAATTATAAGGCATTATGAACCATTATCAAATATTTGAATAAAAGAAAGAAATCCATCCACATTTCCCTTTAGATTCCTTGTTTTAAGTCACTTGTTCATGTCCCTCCTATTAAAGTGTAAAACCTTGAAGCTAAGAGCTTTAATTGACAAGCAATTAGGAAGTCTTCCTTAAAAATTAGAAATGATTGCTTAAAACAAGCACTTTTCATGTGTCTTCGTGTACTGAAATCAAATGGTTCTGTAAAAATAAATTAAGAAGAAATATATAGATATCTATCAACTCTGAGAATGTCCAACTGGGTAAAATTGCTTTTTTGTTTGTTTGGTTGGTTTTTGTTTTGAGACGGAGTCTGGTTCTGTCACGCAGGCTGGAGTGCAGTGGCCTGATCTCCGCTCACTGCAAGCTCCGCCTCCCGGGTTCACGCCATTCTCCTGCCTCAGCCTCCCGAGTAGCTGGTACTACAGGCGCCCGCCACCACACCTGGCTCATTTTTGTATTTTTAGTAGAGACGGGGTTTCACCGTGTTAGCCAGGATGGTTTCAATCTCCTGACCTCGTGATCCACCCTCCTCGGGCTCCCCAAGTGTTGGGATTAAAGGCATGAGCCACAGCGCCCAGCCTAAAATTGCTTTTATACACAATCATTAGTCAAAACGTATATGCTAAAGAAGAACAGCACATACAATGTCTATCTGCTTACATTTATCTTCACTTCAAATAGGATTAGTTTTTAAAATTTTCCCACATCATTAAAAAAAAAAAAGTAGGCTAATTTCCTCACTCTAATGAATGTGAGCTCTTGTGTTAGTCAAACAATAAAGGTACTAATGAACATGATACCTGGGCCTCCTCCCTTCAAACTTAAATAACGTCTCTGAGGCTGAGCACAGTGGCTCATGCCTGTAGGCTTGGTAGGCTGACGTAGGAGGATCGCTAGAGGCCAGAATTTTGAGACCAGCCTGGACAACATCGTGAGACCCTGTCCCTACAGAAAATTTAAAAATTAAGCAGATATAGTGGTGCATGCCTGTAGTGGTAATTACTAAGGAGATTGAGGCGGAAGGGTGATTTGAGCCCAGGAGTTTGAGGCTGCGGTGAACTATGATCGTGCACTGCAGTCTGGGCAACAGTGGGACTCTGTTTCTAAAAAAAAAAAAAGAAAAAAAAAGAAAGAAAGAAAGAAAAAAGAAAAAGAAAAAAAATTATGAAAGAAGAAAAGGAAAAAGAAAAAAAAAGTATCTGTATTAAAAGCTAAAATTCACTCACTTAAAGCCTGATAGCTGTGAAATTGTTCAAAATCTATACTTTATTAGCTCACACATACTTCATATGTTCATGTATTTCCTACAGAAGTACTTTCTATGTCAAGTGGTGCCCGTGACACAAAGGATCAATGGTGTACAAAGCTAAGAGACTTAGACTTATTTTATTTAGAAGCAGAGGAAGAGCATCGCTGTTCTACTTTCTGGTCAGAAGATGATAACAATGTAAAAAATATATATCCATTTTTGAGGAGTCCACCTGATCCTCTCCACCAGAAGGATAAAAGTTTCAGCCAGATTAAATTAGACGTTGCCCATTAGAACCTAAATTCTATCTCCACAAATTCTCATCCTGCAACAACAATAAAATAAATGACTGAATTTTTAAAGCGGTATTTAAACAATGAGGAGTCGTCCGTGAGCAAAATCATCTTTACCAAGTAATTTAAAACTATAAAAAAGTCATACAAAGTACACCCAGATCTTTAGCTTTATCTGTTGTCCTCTCATAAATTTCCTCTTTCCTCTAGTCTAGGGGTTGAGAAACTTTTTCTGTCAAAGATCAGCTAGTGAATATGGTAGGCTTTGTAGTTTGTAGGTCACAATTACTGAACTTTGCAACTATAGCATGAAAGCAGCCACACACAATAAAATATGAATGTGTATCTATGTGCCAATAAAACTTTGTTTACGTGTGTAGAAATCTGAGTTTCATGTAATTTTCATTTGTCCATGGAATGTTTTGTAGTTTTTTCGAAACATTAAAAAATGTAAACGTTATTCCTCGTTTACACGTAGTACAAAATATAGGTGATGGTCCAAATTTGGTTGGTGTGATTTAATTTTTCAACCTCTGCTCCAGACCACACATTCTATGTGTCCTACAGTGTGATGCTTTTTTTTTTTTTTTTTCTGAGATGGAGTCCTGCTCTGTCACTCAGGCTGGAGTGCAGTGGTGCCATCTTGGCTCACTGCAACTCCCTCCTCCTGGGTTCAAGTGATTCTCCTGCCTCAGCCTCCCGAGTAGCTGGGATTACAGGCACCCACCACCATGACCGGCTAATTTTTGTACTTTTAGTAGAGATGGGGTTTCACCATGTTGGCCAGGCTGGTCTCGAACTCCTGACCTCAGGTGATCCACCCGCCTCGGTCTCCCAAAGTGCTGGGATTACAGGCATGAGCCACCGCACGCGGCCAATGTGATTGCTTTTATTTTAGATGACTGCTGTTGCCAATCTCCATTGTAATCCTGAAGATAATAAACACTTTCTTCTCACCCTTCCCCTTCTGTTGGATACTGTGGCAAGAGTAACCTACACCATATTCTGTTGTTCCATTGTATTTTTCTTTCCCTGACTCTACAAACGGTGTAAAGGCTATTCATTCACTGTCAGGAAATCACAATTTTGGAGGGAGAAGCCTGGCTTCCAAGCAGTATCTCCAGGAATACAAATCTCCAGGAAAAAAAAGAGTGTTCTCTCTATGGTGCTTTCTGTTCCTTTGATTTAAAACATCTCCTGCCACAGTAGAGTGGCAATACTTCAAACAGAGTCAGCTGGATCCTGGACGCTTTCATATCTAACCCTGCACAGTCCACTTCATGCAGGTTATACCAGCAAGATAGCCTCCTACGTGGGAGAAGATAGGAAAGCTGACTCTGAAAATTATAAAGGACGGCAACTTTTACCTGGAGGGGATTTTAAAAAATCATAATCTGCTCTGAAATTGCCAGCGTTTCCATTAGGATGTGATTAATTCCACGTACAACAACATAGAAGGGAAAAAGGATGTGGGGAGTGTCGTATTCAGAGGCTAGTTACCATCCGGGAAATAGATGCAGCTCAACACACCAATCTACAGAGGGGAATCCACAGGCATTCTGTTTGTATGAAGGAAATAGCTCTCATCAGAAACAGAATAAAAGTTGCTTTTTCTTTTCCTTTTTCCCTCACTTACAACTCCTGTGTGGCATTGGAAGCATCTGCCTTACTTAGCAGAAATGGCAAGAATTAGCTAAATTATTAAAAGCTATATATGCTTTATCTTTTTGAAATAAAAAGATTGCTATGTTAAATATTCAATCTTTTATTAAAATATTTTCTTGACTTACATAGTAACTGGTAAACAAGTTGTCTTATTTTCCTGCATTATTCCTCTTATCCCATTTCTACTTGTTGAATAATCGGTTTATCTTAAAATATCACACCAAAGCTAGTCTTTTTTTTCCTTCTCTTTCTTTTTTTTCAGGGTAGTGGGTGGTGGATATGGGAGATACTCTATGGTTTTTGCTAATTTGTTCACAAACTATTTTTGCATATTTTCTAAGTAGTGAGAGTATTTTTTTAACCTCTTTTAGAAAGAGTTTATAGCAAATGGTATGTTTTGCATTTGATGTTTATGTATCCATCTAAATCTTTGCATCCCCAAAAGTTCAGTGGTTTAAAAGCTGTTCTAACGCTATACACAAAGCGTTAAGTTGACAGAAGACATGCATGATACACATATGTTGTCTGGGCTACCTAGCATCTATGCACCCTACTTTAGACAATAATTTTTGATCATCATTAAGAAATCTGCCCATCCAGTACTTTCAGTGTCTACCACTTCTGGGGGACTTTGGAAATGGTGTATGTGATTTGGGCCTAAACCTATTAGTGAATTCCATTCCTCTAGTCACGGTCATTGGTTCAGGGATAGGCATGTGACCAAAGCTTTCCAATGAGAGAGAATCTGAAGACATCTGTGCATATCATCAGGAAAGAGACTGACCTGTTTCTCCTGGACAATAATATTCACAAAATCTGCTAGTAATCATCCGTATCACCGTGAAGGAAAATTGCCTCTAAAAATGACGTCAAACCATGGAGGAGGGTGAGACCAAGAGATCAAAAGAAACTAGACCTTCTTAACATGATTGCCTGGTGCGCTTGAAGCCAAATGACCTGCTGAATATTTCATTTGATTTAGCCAGTAAATTCTGTTTTTTGTTTGTTGTTGTTATTGTTGTTGTTGTTTGAGCCAGAGTCTCACTCTGTCACCCAGGCTGGAGTGCAGTGGCACGATCTTGGCTCACTGCAGCCTCCGCCTCCTGGGATCAATTGATTCTCCTGCCTCAGCCTCCCAAGTAGCTGGGACTACAGGCATGCACCACCACACTCAGCTAACTTTTGTATTTTTAGTAGAGACGGGGTTTCACGGTGTTGGCCAGGATGGTCTCGATCTCTTGACTTCATGATCCGCCCAGCTCAGCCTCCCAAAATGCTGGGATTACAGGCGTGAGCCACCACACATGGCTAGATAATGATTTTTAATCATAATGGATAATTCATTTCAACAAATGCCTACTATGTTAGCTCATTTAATCCTCACGCTACTTCGTGAAATGTGTATTTTTATCATTAAAATGATAAGTCTTGCTCTGTCACCCAGGCTAGAGTGCAGTAGTGGAATCTCAGCTCACTGCAGCCTCCGCCTCCTGGGATCAAGCGATTCTCCTGCCTCAGCCTCCTGAGTAGCTGGGATTACAGGCATGTGCCACCATGCCCAGCTAATTTTGTATTTTTAGTAGAGATGGGGGCTTCACCATGTTGGTCAGCCTGGTCTCGAACTCCTGACTTCAGGTGATCTACCCGCCTCGGCCTCCCAAAGTGCTGGGATTGCAGGTGTGAGCCACCATGCCAGGCCTGTTTGTCTTTTGTTTACATCAGCTGAAACATGGTTCTACCTACTTGCAACAAGTATTACTACCACGCTTCATGCCTGTAATCTCTGGTTATGATCTGATTCTACATATTATTCATCTACATATTATTTAACTAGATAAGAGTATTTCAGAGCATTTTAAAATCCTTTTAAGAGGGGCATGTGCTGTATGCCTTGTGGTAGTGTGATTAGTCTGACGGATATGGGCAGGCTGGGAGAGGCCATACTCAGAGAGACAAACCAGAGCGCAGTTTTAGCATTCTAAGTGGGACTCGATGAAGGTCTGTCCTTAGGGGACAGAGGAGACATGGCTGTTATCCCTCTAAGCTAAGAGAGAGAAAGCCAGGAAATCGCCTGAGGATGCACAGCAATACAAACCAGAAAAAAGAACACTGAGAAATCTTACTGGTTTCCTTCGTGGCTTTCCAGTGGTTTTTATTTGCGGATAACAAGCATTTATGGAGCGCCCCCACTGAGGTCCTAAGTAGTATGTTTCGCATTGGGTACCATAGGAATTACATTTAAAATGTAATTCAGTTTTCCAAGTTTTATCTTGTCCTTTCTTTCAATTTAATATCTACAGCTAATATTCAGAAGGCACAGGGAAACTGGAAAATTATTTCAAATTTTATTCTAAAGATAATCATGTATCCTGACCCAGTTGCATCGTTTACAGGATACTTTCAGGTTCTTTACAGTTGCTAAATTATGAGTTTTCTGTTATTCAATTAGTTCACACTGACTCCTGGAAGCCAGAGTTCAGAGCTGAAAGCATGGTCAAATTCATAAGATATTTACATATATTCATCACAGCACACCCTCTAGAATGACATTAATTAGAGTAAAATATCTGAATCTCACTGTGTTATGATTAGAGATACCACAATAATGTAGACTCTGCCACAAGGGTGGAGATATCTATAGCAAGATAATGTTCTGAGCACTTAGAGGAGGCAATGGTAGGCTTCTTGAGAAGAACATTAAAACACTGATGACTTTTTCTTTTCTCTGAGGCTATAAAGGGGTCATCATCCTTCTTATTAATATTAACTTCAGTGCCCCCAGTGTGGTGCTCAGTGAGAACCCATTGTCTGAGTGTCTGAAAAAGATGGAATATAATAATGATCATTCCTGTCCATGCTTGTTTAACTTCCTTGTGAGCTCCCCTAGAATTAGGGATAACTGGAAGAAATTCTTCTTAAAATAATGACTCAAGTATATCTTCTGTTTTGCTGCAGAGTCATTTTTAAATAGTGATAATATAAAAGTTCACTTTGCCCTTAAACTTTTCATATAAATGTACAATGTATGACTCCTATTATTTTATTATATAGGTGAAAAACATTAAAGTTCAAAGGAGTTAAGTAGCATGTGTAAACTCACAGTTACAGGTGGAAGGGCTAGGAATTACCTAAGCAAATCAATGTTCAAGTCCAAACTCTGCCAATGTGTGGAATTAGCCTACAGGGTAAGCCTCAGATGGAACATCTTTAACTGTTGCTCTCATTTCCTCTATCCTGTTCTTCCCTCCCAACAGTAGTTAGACTGGAGCATCTGTGAGGTGTGAGGGCAGGGACTGTTTTTTAGTTATCTTTTTTTTTTTTTTTTTTTTTTTTTTCTGAGACAGAGTCTTGCTCTGTCACCCAGGCTGGCATGCAGTGGCACAATCTCGGCTAACTGCAACCTCTGCCTCCCGGATTCAAGCAATTCTCTGCTTCAGCCTCCTGAGTAGCTGGGACTACAGGCACCCACCACCACACCCAGCTAATTTTTGTATTTTTAGTAGAGATGGGGTTTCACCATCTTAGCCAGGCTGGTCTTGAACTCCTGACCTCATGTTCCACCTGCCTCAGCTTCCCAAAGTGCTGGGATTACAGGGGTGAGCCACTGAGCCTGGCCAGTCATCCTTTTTTAAAACCCACTCCTGGCACGTAGTGAGGGGCTGTAGGAAATGAAAAACTAGCAATTAGAGAGATGTCACCATATGGCAAGAATGTTATCTCACTTATTCTTTACAACTACGTTGTACAGAAGGCTACTAGTATTCCCAAGAAAAAAGTGATGATCAAAGAGGCTAACATGTTTGCCCATGGTCACAAAGCCAGTGTGTGGCCAAGATGGTGTGGACCCAGAATGGTACCTTCCAAAACCAAGGTCTTCCACTTCAGCGCTGTGGGTGTCTGCTCTACCAAATGCATTTCTGCATGGGTCTACTGCTGAGTAACTCTGGCTTTTATCACACAAATCACTTGACTTCCCAAAGTCTGGTTTCTTCAGCTCTTTGTTAGATTTTTACCTGTCTCTAGGGAAGGAGGAGATTACATCATACATAGACACACATATACACACATCAAATTTGTGTTTGCTCATTTACACTGCATCACATTTGAAATATAATTCAAATTGGAGGTTAAAATTAGATTATGTTTCTAGAGGAACCCTTGCGCTCTTCATACTCTTCAAAATATCTACTTAAGATGTTGACAAACCACCAAACAAAGAGGCATACACTGGTTAGAATCTTTAAAATGAGATCTTATAATTTAAAATTAATTCTATTTGTTTGATATGAAGAAAAGAAGTGAAACAATAGTGCATCAGGTAAAATAGAAGAAGATTCTGAAGTTAGACTGCCAGGTTTAAATTATACATGATGATTAAGCATATTCCCATTTTGCTGAAATTAAATATTGAAATAAATTGTGGCAGTTGATTTGCCAACTGCATGATGAGTTGTTATAATAAAACAGAGAAATGACAATGATTTGAGTTAACATTTACAGATTCCCTCTATTCTAGACAAATGTTTTCTCATCCTCACCATTCTACAAAGTTATTAGTAGCATGCTCATTATACAACGAGGAAGCTGAAGTTGCCAGTGGTGAAGTAACCTGTCCAAGCTGAGAGAGCTGGGAAGGGAAAGAGCAGGTAATACAAGCCCAGGTCAGCATGTGTCCAAAGTCCATTATTTTATCAGTATCTTTCATCAGAGAGTGCATTCTGGTGGACAAGGCAAAAATATTTTCTTCATTTTTCATTTCTTCTAAGGAAAGCAAAACAAAACTAAAACAGGAAGCAGTAAGAATGATGAATCAATTCTAATGAAAGAATCTAACTAGAGAATAGGCCAAAATGAGTAGAAAGGACATTGTCCATATATAATATTGTTATTAGTAAAAACAGGCCAGGCACAGTGGCTCATGCCTATAATCCCAGCACTTTGGGAGGCCAAGGTGGGTGGATCATTTGAGGTCAGGAGTTCGAGACCAGCCTAGCCAACATGGTGAAACCCTGTCTCTACTTAAAAAAAAAAAAAAAAAAAAAAAAAGAAAGAAAGAAAAAAGAAAAAGAAAATACAAAAATTAGCTGGGTGTGGTGGCAAGTGCCTGTAATCCCAGCTACCTGGTAGGCTGAGGCAAGAGAATCTCTTGAACTCGGGAGGCAGAGGTTGTAGTGAGCCAAGTTTGCACCATCGCACTCCAGCCTGGGCAACTGTGAAAGACCCTGTCTCAAAAAAAATAAAAATAAAATAAAATAATAAAAATAAAAACAGTAATCTCTAAAGGAAAAAGACAACATCTTGGGATAGGAAAAATAAATTAATGATGATATGAGGAGATGAAGGAATGAAAGAAGAGATGGACTTCTCCCTGTTACTTGAAAAATAAAGACTAGGTAAAAACAAACAACAACAAAAAACAGGAAAATAGATTGTAGGTACATAAGCAACTAAATGCTATCAAATAGAGTATTGCCTGGAAAATAGAGACTTGATTTAAAAAGAAAATAGATTTTAGAGACGTAAGCAACTAAATACTATCAAATCAGTAAATACTAATAAAGCAACTAATTAATAAATACTAATACATAAATAGGAAATATTGAATACCTCAGTGTATCAAAGTGTATCACTGAGTATTGAAAGGTGTAAACAAGGTAATTGCCTTCTGAAACAGTAGAAAATGGTAAGAAAATTAAAGAATCAGGACTAAGTTGTTTTCTAGCTTATAATAACCTTTGAATAATGATAAATAATATTTTTAGTACTTTCTATGTACCTGACTTACGTTAAGAGCTTTCTATTTATTTTCTCATTTAGCTCTCAATAAATAGGAGGAGATAATGGTATTGTCCCAATTTTATGAATGGAAACTTCCCCAAGGTCACGAATTACTAAGCAGTAGAGCTGTGATTGGAACCCACTCACACATTTGCTACCATTGCAATGTATTATCTTTTGTACTCTTTATATATACAGTAGCTTTTGCCCTTAGATACATTTATAATAAATTTAACAACTTTTCTGGAACCTAGCTTTGGGTCATTGTGTAATGATGATGATCCTGACTTCAAACACAATGCTCTACTTTTTTTGTTGTTGTTCTTATATACTGTGTTTCTTTACACATGAATAACTTTCTAGCAGTAGATATATTTTCTCAAAGAAGTCTGAAATTGAATGGAATATGTAATTCTTAAGAGTTGCTTACTCATATGAAGGGTGCTTTATACACTTCACAAAACTCTGGCATAGAAGCATAATAAAGAATATATTTTCATTTAAAATGCTAAGTCTTTGATCTATGATCTAAATCACATTAATTCAGACTCTGCCAATTTGAAATTCATTGACTTATAGAATTTTAGAAATGAGCAAATTAGAAGGATAAGTAGAAGTTCAGTGGGAATATTTATCCTCCTTAGGAAAACACATTTGGGGCACTTAAAAAAATAGAAATCTTGTAGCTGTTTACAAACAGTATGCCAATCTCAAATGATTTTTACATCACTATTAAAAGTAGTCTAGTAGTACCTCTTCCTTGTCAATATATTTGGGTCTCATGTGTACCCAAGAATAACAAACAGGCTGAGCGCAGTGGCTCACGCCTGTAATCCCAGAACTTTGGGAGGCCAAGGTGGGCGGATCACCTGAGGTCGGGAGTTTGAGACCAGCTCGAACAACATGGAGAAACCCAGTGTCTACTAAAAATACAAAATTAGCCGGGCGTGGTGGCACATGCCTGTAATCCCAGCTACTCAGGAGGCTGAGGCAGGAAAGTCGCTTGAACCCTGGAGGCAGAGGTTGCGGTGAGCCGAGATCATGCCATTGCACTCCAGCCTGGGCAACAAGACTGAAACTCAGTACCCCCCTCAAAAAAAAAAAAAAAAAGAATGACAAACATATTTTATGATTAGTATACTTTAGCTTCGACTATTTATCTCTATAGATTTGTCTTAAACTGGTGAGTCTGAGATGCATTTAAAATAATCTAAAATAAGCAACTTAATTATAATCAAAGCACATAAGACTATATAAACCCTATGAAGCACAAGTATTATCAATATTTTAGTCCTGAATAATCTCAGAAAGCTCTGACTTCTTAGAACAGTATTTCTCACACTGTTTTTCTGCAACAAATAAATAGGTATGCTTCAGAAAAAGTATGCTGTCATATAAAGTTTGGGAAATATGATGGTAAAAGAAGCCACACAACTTGCTTTCTCATAGAAGTCCTCAAAGGGTCTAATGGGTTAATGCATGTGATAAATCTCCAAGAAGTAAATTTTTATAGACACTTTCCCAAACTTAAATGTCTTTGGACACATCTATTATTATATTCTGAAATTGTTTTCCACAAAACGCCATTTTGTAAAAGTTTCTTTTAGGTTAATCATGACTTGGACAGAATCCTATCTTATCTACAGTTTTCTTTTTCTTTACACTTCTGACAGCTTTCTGGAGAAGCAGGTGTTTCCCCCAACAAATTAGAGTTGCTTGCAATAACCCCATCCCCCAGCAGCTAGTCTGAAGCCTATCATTGGCCTTCATTGATCTTGCAAGAAAAGACAATTAATTACAATATTTATCCAGGCTTTGAAAGCCTTGGTATTTCTTGTTTTATACTCTAGAGTTCTGTAGGTACCTCTAGATTAAGATTTTAATGCTATATGGTTTTTAACATTCCATTGTCAGCCTCCAAGACTTTCCAAAACAGAGGCTCTATCTGATTCTACAGGCTCAGTTCCGACTATCTGCTTGCATAAGTGACCGTTCCAACAAGACTATTTTGTCACTGCATTTTGTTCATTTATTCATTCATTCATTGAAAACATTCATCCATGTCCACAATTTTCCAAGCACCGGATTAGACTCTAACGATATGAGGATGAATATGACAGACACAGTCGCTTACACTCAAGAGTGTCATCTTTGAATGGAAGGAAGCAGACAATTAAAATAAGCCATTTAAATCCAATGAAAGTGATACAATGTTAGTGGTAGCATGGATGCAAACAGAAAGGACAGCTAGCTCAGTCTGAGTGATTCAGGGAAGGCTTCCTAGTAATACTGTCTTCCAAAATTGAACATAAGATGAACACCTGAGTAGGTGATATTTTTTAGTCAAGTGAAGGATGTGTATTCTAGAGAGAGAAGAATGATAGGGAAGGGGTGTTCCAGGCATAGGGCAGATAAAATAACAGAAACAGAGGTACCCTTGCCCTGTTTGAAGAATTGAAAGACATTCCATAGATGGTGTTCACATCAAGAAGATAAATGAAAAGAGATGTGTCCGGAGAGGTAAAGAGGAACAGATCTTGGGCCAAAATATAAAAGTATTTTAATCACTACTTCCCTCCTTTTCTCCCCAAATGCCAAGCACATTAAAATTACTTTGCCCATTTTCCAGTTTTCTCTCCCTAAAATGCTTTACCTGAATTCTATCTTTTTTTTTAAGACTTAGGCAAAAATCACCAACCTCACAGTGATCTTGCATTCCACTAAACTACCATAAGAGTTTCTATCATCCCCACCCATTACTAGCAATCACTGACAACTAGAAATATAAAGAACAATGCATACTCTCTCATCCCAGCCAACCCAGAAGGACTGAGGGAAAGGGCTGCATTGCGGAACCTTTGAAAAAGAAAGAGAAAGGCATCCAAAAAGAGCCACAGATATTCTACACAAAATGATTAAAAATAGAAGAGAAGGCTGACATATTTGGATATATTTTGGGACAATTTTACATCTTATCCACAAACAGCCATTTTAAGAATGTCTCGAGATTCTAGTAATTTATCCAAAGAAAATAGCAGGACCAGTGCACAATGGTGCACAAGGATGTTCATTAAAGCCTGCTTATAATAGCAAAAAGTTGGAAACAATTTCAAGGTTCTTCAAAGGAGAATCAGTGTTAAAAATGAGGGTTTATCCACACAAAGGAGTACCATGCAGCCATTAAAAATAACGATGTAGCTCTAACTATGTTGACATAAAAAGGTGTCCATGACTTTTTGTTAAATGATAAAAGCAGCTTGCCAATAAGCCAGTATGGTATGATCTCTATTATGTAAAATATTATAAATACCTAGTCATAGACAGATGTTGAAAATAATAGTCACCAAAAAGATAACAATGGTTAATTCAGGGTGGGGGATTTTCAGCCAACTTTTTTTTTTCTTCTTTATCCTCTGCTGTATTGTTTGACTTATTTTAAATAATGGGCATAGTTTTATAAGGAGAAAAATGAACAATATGTATAGTCCAATTTTATTTCATAACAATTCCATTTTTAATGGACAGAGTAGTCTGCTACGTTTTTGACGTGTAGCTCATTAGGCAAGCAGTTCTCAAGTGTTTTACTCCTCGGATATACCCAACAGCTGCCTTGCTTGAGCCCTGGTAGACATGAGAAAGGCTGTGGGTCCTGAGCCATGACAGGAGGAGCTGGCTATAGTCCCACGTTTCTCTCTTTCACGGATCGCAGGCATGAACTGCTGTATTAGATGGTTGTTCTTACATGCCCACAGGAAATTAAAGTCTTCCACAAGGTATCTGGGTCCTAGGATTTGGAGACATTCCTAAGAGCACAGTTGTAAATTTTGATTAGTGTTAAAGAGTAGAGTGAGGGGATATTTTTTCTCCTTCAAGAAACAAGAGCTTAAATCTCATGAGAATTTGGTTGCAGAGGTGCTTTAGTAATATTTTTATTTTCTTGGCCGGGCGCGGTGGCTCACGCCTGTAATCCCAGCACTTTGGGAGGCCGAGGCAGGCGGATCACAGGGTCAGGAGATCGAGACCATCCTGGATAACATGGTGAAACCCCGTCTCTACTAAAAAACACAAAAAAAATTAGCTGGGCGTGGTGGTGGGCGCCTGTAGTCCCAGCTACTCAGGAGGCTGAGGCAGGAGAATGGCGTGAACCCGGGAGGCGGGGCTTATAGTGAGCGGAGATCGCGCCACTACACTCCAGCCTGGGCGTTTGTATACATCAAACTAAGTTCCATGAAGGCAGACTTGAAAAGAACCAAGGAAAGATAACTTACTATCTTATCATTTCAACTGACAGCCTTGGTATGTGTACTTAATTTTCTTCTCTGAGATGATATCCTCCATTTTCCAGAAAATGCATCATCTTCATCTCCTTTGAAGCCGGCTCTCAAATTTTCTCAATCAGAAAATTTCTCTTCGTGATCCCTCTTGGCTTAATGTGTGCTGTGCCACTAAACCTGATCTCCTCAGCACCCCATCTATTCAGTCTCCTACCGACTCATTTGCACATTCAGTTAATGTTGTTTTGTGGGGTTTCCATGTTTAATTCGTTACTTGAACGCTTGGCTTCTTTGACAGTTACATATTGTAGATTGTCAAATGTATTCTGTTTTTAGTTTTTTATTTTGTTATTGATTTTTTTTTAATTTGAGACAGAGTCTCACTCTCTCGCCCAGGCTACAGTGCAGTGGTGCGATCTCAGTTCACTGCAATCTCCGCCTCCCAGGTTCAAGCGATTCTCCTGCCTCAGCCTCCTGAGTAGCTGGGACTACAGGCACATGCCACCAGGCCCAGCTAATTTTTTGTATTTTTAGTAGAGATGGGGTTTCACCATGTTGGCCAGGATGGTCTCAATCTCTTGACCTCGTGATCCACCCGCCTCGGCCTCCCGAAGTGCTGGGATTACAGGTATGAGCCACAGCACCCGGCCTGCTTTTTAATCTGGCACTTTCCCCCAACACATTCTTCTAAAATACCCATTAGTGATTGTTATGGGCCCAGTTGTGTGCCTCCCTCAACCTTCCAAAATCACAAGTTGAAGTCCTAAACACTAGTACCTCAGAATATGACTGCATGTGGATATAGGGCCCTTAAAGAGGTGATTAATTTAAAATGAGGGTATTAGGGTGGGCTGTAATCCAACATGAATGGTGTCCTTATAAGACAGGAAACTTGGACACAAAAAGTGATATCATGGTTACATGAGCACAGAGGAAACACCAAGAGAAGACTCAGTGAGAGGGTGGCCATCTGCAATACAGTGAGAGGCCTCAGAGGGAATCAAATCAGCCAACACCTTGATCTTGGACTTTCAGTATACAGAACTGTGAGAAAATCAATTTCTGCTATTTAAACTACCTAGTCTGTAGTATTTTGTTATGGCAGCCCTAGCAAACTAATACAGTTTTATTTCAATTCCATTCCTCCATTAACACTGAACATTGAGCTATAAAGGGGAATAAGTAATATTTTCAAATAAATAGCCTCAAACTTCATTATTAAGAAGTCTATTTTGATTCTTTATAGATTAGGGAGAAATTTGCTTTCTGATGTTTCATATAAGTTAAAAAGAAGTGGAAATTGGATTCGTAATAGACCAATTATTTCTGTCCTGGTGAAGATAATTACAAGACAGAACCCCGCCCCCGACCCCAGCCCCCGCCTTAGTCACAGATATTCTTCACCAAACATTTAGAAAATGTTTGGAAGACAGAACAAAAGAACAGACTCACAATTGTATAATAGTCATCTGGGGCCAAATTTATTCTGGGAATAAATGCATTTATTCAACAAAAATGAAGGAAGGAAGCAAAAGCCCTTATCCTCATCCCATAGCTGGAATTGTTTCCAGCAGCTCCAGACAGTGTCCCAGCCATGGGTGGTGGGCTGTAGACAAGGTTCTGAAACTTGCCCAGAGTCACCGAGTTTTAGAGCTCGGGGTTTAAAAACTCTCACATTTGGATTAAAAGGTTGAAAATAGTAGTGATAAGATCTGACATACCTTAGGCAAATCCTTTAACTGGGAATCACAAGTATTTGAAGACTTTTGACAGGTCTCTGATTGTTGGTATTCCAAAACAGACACCTTAAAAGAATTGAAATAGCATCCAGACTACTTTGATAAGCAAAGATTTCTTAAGTTCATACAAACACTAATTATTTTATTTATTTATTCGTTTGAGACAGAACCTCACCCTGGAGTGCACTGGCACCATCATGGCTCACTGCAACCTCCCCGTCTCGGGTTCAAGTGATTCTTTTTTTTTTTTTTTTGAGACAAAGTGTCACTCTGTTGCCCAAGCTGGAGTGCACTGGTGCAATCTCAGCTCGCTGCAACCTCCAACTCCCAGGTTCAAGCGATTCTCCTGCCTCAGCCCCCCAAGTAGCTGGGACTATAGGCACATATCACCATGCCCGGCTAATTTTGGTATTTTTTAGTTGAGATGGGGTTTCACTATGTTGGCCAGGCTGGTCTTGAACTCCTGACCTCGTGATCCACCCACCTTGGCCTCCCAAAGTGCTGGGATTACAGGTGTGAGCCACTGCGCCTGGCCAGTTCAAGCAGTTCTTGTGCCTCAGCCTCCTGAACAGCTGGGACTACAGGTGCATGTACCACGCCTGGCTAATTTTTTGTATTTTTAGTAGAGACAAGGTTTTGCCATGTTGGCCAGGCTGATCTCGAACTCCTGGCCTCAAGTGATCCACCTGCCTTGGCCACCCAGAGTACAGAAATTGCATGTGTGAGCCACTGTGCCTGCCCCTCAAACACTATTTATAAAAGAACATTTTGGCCACATGCGCAGGTCACACCTGTAATCCTAACATTTTGGGAGGCCCAGGTGGGAGAATTACTTGAGCCCAGGAGTTTGAGGCTGCACTGAAGTATGATTGTGCCATTGCACTCCAGTCTGGCTGACAGAGTGAGACCCTGTCTCTTGAAAAATTATTGGAATTCAATAAAATTAAGAATTTCTTTTCATCAAGAAAAGAGATTAAGAGAGTGAAATGGCAAGTTGTAGACAGAAGATATTCTCAACTTTATCTGGAATATAAGGAGGTAAATTCTTTTAAAAATTTAAATAACGAGTTTGAAAAATGGGCAAGGGACATGAACAGTTATTTTACAAAGAGAAAGAGAGAGAGTAAAAAGAAAATATCTCAATGGCCAGTAAGAATATAAAAAAGTGGGCTGGGCATGGTGGCTCACACCTGTAATCCCAGCACTTTGGGAGGCTGAGGCAGGCGGGTCACAAGGTCAGGAGATCGAGAGCATCCTGGCTAACACAGTGAAACCCCGTCTCTACTAAAAATACAAACAATTAGCCGGGCGTGGTGGTGGGTGCCTGTAGTCCCAGCTACTTGGGATGCTGAGGCAGGAGAATGGCTCGAACCCGGGAGGTGGAGCTTGTAGTAAGCTGAGATTGTGCTACTGCACTCCAGCCTGGGTGACAGAGTGAGACTCCATCTCAAAAAAAAAAAAAAAAAAAGAATATAAAAAAGTGTTAATCATCATTAGACACAGGAAAAAAGCAAATCAAAAATCACAAGATACCAATACACCCTCCCTTCCCCAGTGTGTCTAAATGTAAAAACTGGCATTATCAAGTGTTGATCAGGATGTGAAGCCACTGGAACTCTCAGACTTTGCTTTACCTAGCTTTTCTGTCACAGAAAAAAATATTTACTGCAAAAAGCCAGATACAAAACAGTCCATAGAGAACAATACATTTATATAAAGGTAACACTACACAAAATTAATTTATGGTGATTGAAGTCAGTATAATAGTTAATTGGAAGTGGAAGGCAACAATTGTAGATAGAAGGGGGAAATAAGAAATTTCTAGTGTGATGGAAATATTCTATATCTTGACTGGTGGTGGTCACATGGGTGTATGCATATAAAATCCCATTGAAGGCCGGGTGTGGTGGCTCACGCCTGTAATCCCAGCACTTTGGGAGGCTGAGGCAGGTGGATCACGAGGTCAGAAGTTCAAGACCAGCCTGACCAACATGTTGAAACCCCGTCTCTACTAAAAATACAAAAATTAGCCAGGCGTGGTGGCACACGCCTGTAATCCCAGCTACCCAGGAGGCTGAGGCAGAAAAATCGCTTGAACCCAGGAGGTGGAGGTTGCAGTGAGCCGAGATTGCACCACTGCACTGCAGCCTGGGCAACAGGAGCGAAACTCAGTCTCAAAAAAAAAAAAAAAAAAAAAAAAAACCATTGAGCTGTGCATCTCAGGTTGATGCTCTTTTCTCTATGTATACTGTACCACAATCATCTAACGCTGATGCTCTTTTCTCTACGTATACTGTACCACAATCGGCAATACTTATGTATCTATAAAATTTGGCAGACCTTAACACTGCATATAACAATCTCTTTTGTCATTATTTATAAGTCATCAGTTATTAACTTGAGACTTTTTTTTTTTTTTTGCAACAGAGTCTCGCTCTGTTGCCAGGCTGGAGTACAGTAGCATGATCTCAGCTAACTGCGATCTCCACCTTCCAGGTTCAAGGGATTCTCCTGCCTCAGCCTCCCGAGTAGCTGAGATTACAGGCGCATGCCACCACACCCAGCTAATTTTTGTATTTTTAGTAGAGATGGGGTTTTACCATGTTGGACACGATGGTCTCAATCTCCTGACCTTGTGATCCACCCACCTCGGTCTCCCAAAGTGCTGGGATTACAGGCATGAGCCACTGCGCCCGGCCTAAAACATCTTATTACTATATTCCAGAGTTAGGTAGCGACAGATTTGCTATTTGTATTTTTCCCCAATATATATTTTTTTCTGTAACTAGTTATAAACTGTGTAAAGGCAAGCAACATTTTATAAATCTGCCTTTTGGGGCACTTACTATAAGCTAGGCACTGTATGCTGATTGCTGAACAAATGTTATTTCCTTTCATCCTCAACCACCCAGGAAGTACATATCATTATTTTATTTTTACAGATAAGCCTAAAGTCAACCACTTGGTCAATAGAGACACACAATTCCAGCCCTGGTTTTTCTATTTGCAAGGCAGTACTTTTCAGCAATATGATACTATAGTATACTATACTAAATGTCCTATATACTGTGGTATACTAGTACTATATATATAGTGTATATATGTATATTATATACACTATAATACTATAGGAACATCTTCCATTGTTATTATATAATTTTTTTTGTCATCTCTGCTAGAATTTAAGCTCCCAAAGGGCTAAGATTATATCTTCTATTTCTGTTTTATTGTCTGGCCTTCCTTGAATAGAGAATTAAATGCAGTGGGTCCTAAATCAATGATGTAGACAATAATAGGAAATCAGCACCTGAAGACAGGGGCAGGGCCAGCATCTGCGGTGATGGGAGCTTCTGGATGCATTTCAAAAGTATAGTTCATGACCAAAATCAAAGGCAGACATTCTGCAAATATGTGACAAGGCCATTCTCAATGACAAGAGCAGCAAGCTTAGGCAGAACAAAAATGGGCTCTGCAGTGGTACAAACAGAGAATTCTCAATTTCCCCAAACATTTCACAGATTTAAAAGTGCAAAGGTATTTGTGTCTCTAAGAAACAAACATGAGATTGATGGAGGTAAATGGAAAATAATCCTGTATTTCTATGTGTGCAGTTTTAAAACTTCCTGACTGTACTTGTGTTGACTGGAAAAGAGTATTTTTAATTATTAATTTATCCATTTTTCCCAAGACCTATTGCTTTGAAATACCCTCCTTAACTCTTCTTTCATGAGTGCTCATAATGGCCTCTCTTCATCCTCTCTTTCTCAGTATTCTGACCAGTTTTAGCTGAAATGATGGAATAGGCAGGTTTTGCCTCTGGCTCCCTCCCACTTCTCCTTTTATCTTTCCTCCCCCAGATGTTCACATATAACACCCTCCAGTCCTCTCTCTGGTGACACTTGCTGATAACAGTTTTGTTAGGGGCTGCGCATTCCAGGGGGATTTGCATTTTAATAATTTACCTCGGGCCCCTGCACTGGATCACCAGTGAGCAGTCAGATAATATTTAGCCTGCCCAGTGTTTAAAAGACAAGCAATAACTACAAAAACATTGAGGCAACATGTAAAAATAAAAATACATTTTTTAAAAGTTTCCAGGCTCTTCTGAAATATCAAAGTGTTGGCCACACACGGCTTGCATTCTCAAACGCAATAATCAGCAGGAACTGTGCGAAGTCTGTCAACTCTAGAAGGTGATGGGGTCATCAGGTTGCCACACTCACCACCACTCCCTGTTGCATCCCTGACAGGGAGGAATAGTCAGTTGTCATTCATCAGTGTTGGGGCTTTTGTTTTACTCAGAGCATAGAAATATTTCTCCGTACCTATACGTCTATCCAAAGTCAGAAAATAAAAGGTAGGCCGAGAAGGCTTATTTATTTATTTCTTTATTTATTTTTTTGAGATGGAGTCTCACTCTGTCACCCAGGCTGGAGTGCAGTGGCACGATCTCGGCTCACTGCTACCTCCGCCTCCCAGGTTCAAGCAATTCTCCTGCTTCAGTCTCCCGAGTAGCTGGGATTACAGGCACCTACCATCATGCCCAGCCAATTTTTGTATTTTTAGTAGAGATGGGGTTTTGCCATGTTGGGCAGGCTGGTCTTGAACTCCTGACCTCAGGTGATCTACCCTCCTCGGCCTCCCAAACTGCTGGGATTACAGACGTGAGCCACTGTGCCCCGCTGACTTATTTATTTTTCTCACACCCAGTGTGATTTACTCATTTATATGCCTCAATTGGACCATGTAGACACCAAGTTTGTGGCCCAGATTTAACCTCTTGTGATGGATTTTAAGTGTAATAACAGGCAGCAGAAACATTCATTCTGACTGTCATTCATTCAGTCAGCCAGTCCGCATCATCACATATTTTCTTTTTTTTTTCTTTTCTTTTTTTTTTGAGACAGGGTCTTTCTCTGTCACCCAGGCTGGAGTGCAGTGGCGCTATCTCGGCTCACTGCAAGCTCTGCCTCCCTCGTTCACGCCATTCTCCTGCCTTAGCCTCCCAAGTAGCTGGGACTACAGGTGCCCGCCACCATGCCCGGCTAATTTTTATATATACATATTTTTAAGTAGAGACAGGGTTTCACCGTGTTAGCCAGGATGGTCTTGATTTCCTGACCTCATGATCCACCCGCCTCGGCCTCCCGAAGTGTTAGGATTACAGGCGTGAGCCACCATGCCCGGCCGTCATCACATATTTCTAAGTATCTGCCATGTGTCAGGCACTGTAATAAGCACCAGAAATGATGATGATGATGATGATAGTAATGGTGATGGTAAAAATAATATTTATGAAAGGCTAGATATTATTTCATGAATTCTCTCATTTAATCCTCATCCCAAACCTATGTGGTAGATTCCATTATTATCCTCACAGATGAGAACACAGGCATTCAGAGAGGCAAAGTAATTTGCCCAAAATCTGCAAAGAAGTGATCTCGCTGGGTTATGAAACCAGCAGTCTACCTACAGAGTGGCACAGCCTTAGCCATTATGTAACACAGCCTCTGATATCACAAACAACACAGGGCTGGTGCACCTTGGTTCTGGGCTTTGTAACAGCTCCTTCACAGCTTCCTATCAGAGACTACAACTGTAAGGAGACCTCCTGCCTCTCCACGTTTTTAAATTTTGTTTGTTCTCTGCATCTCTCCCATTGAGAGATGACAGCGTGCTGGCAGCCCTCACAGCCCTTGCTCGCTCTCGGCGCCTCCTTGGCCTTGGCGCCCACTCTGGCCGCGCTTGAGGAGCCCTTCAGCCCGCTGCTGCACTGCAGGAGCCCCTTTCTGGGCTGGCCAAGGCTGGAGCCGGCTCCCTCAGCTTGCAGGGAGGTGTGGAGGGAGAGGCACCAGCGGCAACGGGGGCCGCCCGCAGTGCTTGCAGGCCAGCTGGAGTTCTGGGTGGGTGTGGGCTTGGTAGGCCCCACATTCGGAGTGGCCGGCCGGCCCTTCTGGCCCCGGGCAATGAAGAGCTTAGCACCTGGGCCAGTGGCTGCGGAGGGTGTGCTGGGTTTCCCAGGAGTGCCGGCCCACCGGCGCTGCACTCGATTTCTCGCCGGGCCTTAGCTGCCTCCCCACGGGGCAGGGCTCGGGACCTGCAGCCCGCCATGCCTGAGCCTCCCCCATCCTCCGTGGGGTCCTGTGCAGCCCGAGCCTTCCCTATGAGCGCCGCCCCCTGCTCCACGGCACCCAGTCCCATCAACCACCCAAGGGCTGAGGAGTGTGGGCGCACGGCAGGGGACTGGCAGGCAGCTCCACCTGCAGCCCCTGTGCGAGATCCACTGGGTGAAGCCAGCTGAGCTCCTGAGTCTAGTGGGAACTTGGAGAACCTTTATGTCTAGCTAAGGGATTGTAAATTCACCAATCAGCACTCTGTCTCTAGCTCAAGGTTTGTAAACACACCAATCAGCACCCTGTGTCTACCTCAGGATTTGTGAATGCACCAATCGACACTCTGTATCTAGCTACTCTGGTGGGGACGTGGAGAACCTTTGTGTCCACACTCTATCTAGCTAATCTGGTGGGGACTTGGAGAACCTTTGTGTCTAGCTCAGGGATTGTAAACGCACCAATCAGCACCCTGTCAAAACAGACCACTCGGCTCTCTGTAAAATGGACCAATCAGCAGGATGTGGGTGGGGCCAGATAAGAGAATAAAAGCAGACGGCCCGAACTAGCAGTGGCAACCCGTTAGGTCGCCTTCTACAGTGTGGAAGCTTCGTTCTGTTGCTCTTTGCAATAAATCTTGCTGCTGCTCACTCTTTGGGTCCACACTGCCTTTATGAGCTGTTAACATTCACCGCGAAGGTCTGCAGCTTCACTCCTGAAGCCTGCGAGACTGCGAACCCACTGGGAGGAACGAATAACTCCAGACGCGCCACCTTAAGAGCTGTAACACTCACCGCGAAGGTCTGCAGCTTCACTCCTGAGCCAGCAAGACCACGAACCCACCAGAAGGAAGAAACAACGAACACATCCGAACATCAGAAGGAGCAAACTCCGCACACGCGGCCTTTAAGAACTGTAACACTCACTGCGATGGTCCGCGGCTTCATTCTTAAAGTCAGTGAGACCAAGAACCCACCAATTCCGGACGCACCATGTTTGTTCAAAGTTTTAATCTAGATCATGTACCAAATCCCTCGTTTTCCTATATTTTAATTAATTTATTTTTAGATCAGTCACTGCTGTATCCCTCCTTCTAAGGCTGACTTTATAAATCCCGGTAAGGAACTACAAACAAACAAACAAGAACCCCCACTAATCCTCTCTGGCAATTCCTGTGTTTTATCTAATGAGCCCTAATGTATTAGGATAAACAACCCTTCCAAACTATTTGGTTGGAATTTAGAGAATCAATTTCTTTAAGCATTTGGATGATTTTCCTTTCTTCAGTCAATTCAAGTCTAAATAAGCTGCAAACACAAACTCAAGGACCTTGTCCCTTTTTCTTTTTAAACTATCACTAGAGCAGACTATTTTTGGAAAGCTCTGTTGCCAGGGAGTTCATGAGGCTTCATCAGACCACCTCACTTCCTTGGAACAAAAGTTCAAGTAGTTATTATGGGCAGGCGTTTTGTTTCTGATTAATGCCAGTGTCGAACCTTAAGCAAATTTAGTGTAGTCTGACAGTCATACTGTTCATTTGATCCAAATTCTGCTTTGTTTGCCAAAAAATTCCAGCTTTCTCAGCCTACTGCTTGCCTCCACACTGACTTCCCTACCTATTTTAGACTTTAACATTATGAGATAATCATAACCTCAGTTGCCCATTTTCTCTCTCTTCTATCATTTGAAACCCTGTAAGCAAATGAAATTGTGTGGTTGAACTCTCCACTATAGTCCTCTCCAGTAGCAGCTTTCTTACCTTAAGAAACAAAATTATTTAAGGAATTACGTTAATACTCCATTTTACCCCCAAAAAACCATGGTCTGCTGTTTAATGCTAAACAGAGAGTCATTTATGACTTCAAGATAAATATAAGAAGAATGGGAAAAGAAGAGATCATATGTGTCCTTATTTTATTTATTTATGTATTTATTTATTTATTTATTTATTTAGAGACAGAGTCTTGCTCTGTCGCCAGGCTAGAGTGCAGTGGCGTGATCTTGGCTCACCGCAACCTCTGCCTCCCAGGTTCAAGGATTCTCCTGCCTCAACTTCCCGAGTAGCTGGTACTACAGGGGTGCACCACCACACCCAGCCAATTTTTGTATTTTTAGTAGAGACGGGGTTTCACCATGTTGGCCAGGATGGTCTCCATCTTTTGACCTCGTGATCCACCGGCCTCAGACTTCTAAAATATGTGTCCTTATTAACATTCCTCAGCAGTCACATACAAATGAAGTCAGGTAGAATCACAGGTAGTGACCAAATCACAGTTCATCCCACTCCCATTTAGGTGCCAAATACCAAGTAGTCATTCCAGGTAGAAGCACAGGGTCCCGTAGTCTGTTTGTCTTCCCATATTGAACTTGATCCATATGTCTGTTGCTTCACACCTCTGCAGCTCCATCACTCAAGGCATCTCCTGAATTACATTTACATTTCATTTACATTGATTTCATTTACAAATGAAAATTAAAATTCTCTGGTTAGGTATATTTTATGTTTTGCTAAACACTTCTTCCATCTAGTTCAGGTCGATTCTTCTTGATCACATTAACCACTTTTCCTGTTTCTGTTCTTTGATACATCTTTATTCTGTTAAAAAAACAAACAAACAGACAAACTTGACCATGGGTGATTGCTCACACCTGTAATCCCAGTACTTTGGGAGGCTGAGGAGGGTGGATCACCTGAGGTCAGGATTTCGAGACCAACCAGTATGGTAAAACCTCATCTCTACTAAAAATACAAAAATTAGCCTGGCATGGTGGCGTGTGCCTGTGGTCTCAGCTACTCAGGAGGCTGAGATAGGAGAATTGCTTGAACCTGGGAGGCGGAAGTTGCAGTGAGCTGAGCACGCTACTGCATTCCAGACTTGGTGACAGAGCAAGACTGCATCTCAAAAACAAACAAACAAAAAAACCACACACTTGAGCATATTCTCAAGACTTTCCTCAAACATCAAGTCCAACTCAAGCTTTCACTTAACACATATTTACTGAGCACTTGCTATGGGGCCAGGCTCTGCTCCCCATGATGAGGCTGGAGTGGTCAACAAATCAAAGTCGCTACTCTTGGGAGCTCATATGTTAGTGGTGGGTAAAGTATTAAAAAACAAATAAGCAGTTTTATTTAATAATGAGTATGGTGAAGAAAATAAAAGATGCTAAGGTGATGAAGAATGACCGGAGGAAGGAACTACTTTAGAGCAAGTGACTAGGAAAGGCCTCTCCAGGGAGGTAGAAAATGGAGAGTATGATCTTCTACTTTCTTTTCTTGCAAATCCCATATCCTGCTCAGTTCCCTGAAGAGGTGACACATTTTCTCGTAACTTGGAGCTTCAGAAATTCCATGTTGAAATTTTGTTTCCTTCCCATTTTCACTTCTCAATTATTTTGCCATTCCGTTCTTCTAACAATTCTAGATCTCTGTGAAGCCCATATCATTTAACTTTTTTTTCATTTTCGCCACTAAACTTTATGCACTTCCATGGCATTTCCCTAAATTCTTTGACATCTTTATTCTCTCAATCACATATTTCCCACTTGGCATCCAATCTTTCAACTTTTCCATGGGTGGATGCAACATTCAAAAAGATCAAGGAAACAACTTCCTTGTTATCAATCCTTTGATTTATTTCTACTCCAGTGACCTGCAGCTCTATGCTACTTTGACAACCCATTTGCACAGCCACACTTGTTCTTCATTAATACTCAATGACAGTAACTTTGAATTTGGACTCTTGATTTACAAGCTCCTATCACTCTACTTTGCATGTGCCTCCATTCTTCTTTGCATGTGGCTGTATAATTATTCATCTTTAAGTCTACTTGTATCTTTCTCATTTACCTCTGAGTGCTGACTCTGTGTGCGACAGATCTGAGTTCAAATCCCATTACCACTAACAGCTCTGAAACATTAGGGAAAAGTTACTTAGTCTAAGACTCTCTTTTTCTTTATTTCTGTAAAACACAGATAATATTACATAAGGAATATGTACAAAGACTTTGGCATACAGGAAGTGCTTAATGAATGGTTAAGGTTGTTACTGTTATTCCCTTTCTACCTAGTCTGTTTTTTCTCCCGGGACTTGACCATTGGTTATTACAATCTTATGCTGCAAAACATTTTGTGAATCATCATCACTGGAAAAGAATATCTCTATTCATTTTTCTCTCTAGTTTCCAAATTACTGAATTTGACAGCAAAATTCCCATAACTGTATTGATGACTTGTAGTTCAGATTGATGTTATCAAACCTCACAATTGTTATTTACCAAATCTTTTCCTCACTGCTAATTGACTGTCCACCCCATTTATTGGAGTCTCTTTTTCTTTTATATTAACCACAAAAATCCCTAAATGCCCTCGTTCAAGTTCAATAAATGATCTAATCTCCCATTTTACTAATGTATCAGGATGTTAAATTCGACTCTTCCTGTTGTCTTGAATTTTCTGCATAGGTCCTTGGCTGAGAATAACACAATAGTTGCCAAATCCTCCCCCATTCTAAAGAGCAATGCTAAACCAGCCACACAGGACTTGTAAAGAATATGGCTCAGAACCAATTTTGCTACATAAGCCCATCACTACCTTTTGAATGTATAAGAGATTGAAGCTTGAGAGGCCATGAGAGAATTTCACTGGGGAGAGTAGCTGAAATATTGTGACATCTTGTCCTTGCTCTTCGCCTGACAACAAGCGAAAAATGATTCAAAGGGACCCCAAGTAGACCTTAAAATATAACCCTTGAGTGAGTTTCCAAGATCAGATGAGTTCAGGCATGTTCAGAGTGGTATGGCTATTGATTGTGTTCCTTGCGTTAGAGAACGTAAGGTTTGTTATATGATTCTTCTTGCTGAAAGGAGTCTGAAGACAAAAGTTGGTGAAGACAAAAGTCTGAAGACAAAAGCCTAGAGTGAGCTGCTTTGCAGCAGAGAGGAGAGAAAAGGCTGCATCAGGAGGAAACTGATCTTCCATCAATAGCTGGAAAAGGTGGCAGGTTTTCTGGGAAATAACATGGACCTCAAGGTAGAGTGTTATCCCAGGATCATCTTAAGAACTGCACAGAAGCGTGAAGTGACCCGCACAACCAGAAGACAAGAGATGAGGATAAAATTGAGAGCAGCCAAGGCTGGGCACAATGGCTCACGCCTGTAATCTCAGCACTTTGGGAGGCCAAGGCAGGCAGATCACGATGTCTGGAGATCGAGACCATCTTGGCCAACATGATGAAACCCCGTCTCTTCTAAAATACAAAAAATTAGCCGGGCGTGGAGGCATGTGCCTGTAATCCCAGCTACTTGGGAGGCTGAGGCAGGGGAATCGCTTGAACCCAGGAGGCGGAGGTTGCAGTGAGCTGAGATTGTGCCACTGCACTCCAGCCTGGCGACAGAGCAAGACTCTGTTCCAAAAAAAAAAAAAAAATTCAGAGCAGCCAGCCAGGCTATATTACAGAAGTTGAAGTTTGTGTTTCCCTGTGGGAGTAACTTTGAGAAACTCAAAAAAAGATTGTCAAGAGACACAGAGCCTCAAATTGTACCTCTATCTCAAGAACAACAGATGAGATTATGCCAGCTACATAGGCTGGGCAATTTCCCCCTTATTCTACTTTCTACCTACCTAGATCCTGGAGGAGTAAAAAATAAAAAAGGAGTAGAGAAAGAGGTGAACAAAGGAGACAGAAAAATCAATCCATGCATGTATACCTAAGGTAAGCCTGAACTGGGAGAGTAGACACTATTTTAAATTGCATGCCTTTGAGATTAAATATTACATTTGTAGGGACTACTCAATTGGTAAAATAAAGCTGGCTGCAGTGGCTCATGCCTGTAATCCTAACACTTTGGGAGGCCGAGGAGGGCAGATCACTAGAGGTCAGGAGTTCATGACCAACCTGGCCAACATTGTGAAACCTCATCGCTACTAAAAATACAAAAAAAAAAAAAAAAATAGCCAGGTGTGGTGGCACACGCCTATAGTCCCAGCTACTCGGGAAGCTGAGGCAGGAGAGTCACTTGAACCTGGGAGGCGGAGATTGCAGTGAGCCGAGATCATGCCACTGCACTCCAGCAGGGGCAACAGAGTGAGACTACGTCTCGAAAATAAATAAATAAATAAATAAGTAAAAGAAGGCTGATCTTGGAAATTAAAGGGACCAGAAAAGCTGTGGTGCCTGGCTGAGATTTCATCTAGATTATGAAAGAATGGGTCGAGGGATCCAGTTTAAAGGACAATAAGAGAAAAGATAGTGTTACCACCTGACTTAACCCTTGCAAATCAGGTCGCTCGATAAAATAGTAACATCAAGACCCTTTTATGTAGACCTTTTCAACTTCTGTCTTATTCTTAAAGGTTTACATTTGTTCATTTCTTCTTTCCTTATGTTTCTTGACTTAAAAGAAACTCATTGGCTGGGTGCGTTGGCTTACGCCTGTAATCCCTGCACTTTGGGAGGCCAAGGAGGGTGGATCACGAGGTCAGGAGATTGAGACCATCTTGGCCAACATGGTGAAACCCTGTCTCTACTAAAAATACAAAAATTAGCCGGGTGTCGTGGCACGTGCCTGTAATCCCAGCTACTCAGGAGGCTGAGGCACAAGAATCCCTTGAACCCAGGAGGTAGAGGCTGCAGTGAGCTGTGATCGCGCCACTGCACTCCAGCCTGGTGACAGAGTGAGACTCCACCTCAAAAAAAGAAAAATTAAAAAAATAAAATAAAATAAAATAAAATAGCTAGGCTTGCAAGCGTGTGCCTGTCATCCCAGCTACTTGGGAGGCTGAGAAAGGAGAATCGCTTGAACCCAGGAGGCAGAGGTTGCAGTGAGCTGAGATTGCACCGCTGCACTCCAGCCTGGGTTACAGGGTGAGACTCCATCTCAAAATAAATAAATTAATAAACAAATAAATAAAAATTTAAAAAATGAGAGAAAAAAGAAAAAAAGAAAACTGTCCAGTAGAATAAATAATTTTCACCAACTTCTTCCTTTGGTTGTTATTAATCTGCCAATTGATTTTTTCTTTTGAATTTGATACTCATTTTCCATGACACTGCACTTTTTAAAAAATTATCCATTGTGATAATTTCTTAGTCTCCTTTCGTATTTTTCTTCTTCTGCCCATTCCTGATGATTTTTTATGTTTCCTTTCCTCTCTTTGTAGTCTCTCTCTATGGGTCTCTCTATATGGCTTTATATAACACCACTATTCTTATAACTTTCATTGCTACATTTCCAGCCTTGGTGTTTTGCCTAAGTCCAAGATCAAGAGTTTCAAAGGCCTGCAAGATATTTCCATACTTTTATTTCTAGAGTACTTTGCTCTCACTTTATGTTTCTTTAATTAAATCCTACCCATCTTTTAAGAGCAATTCAAATATCACTCATTTTGTGAATTCTTCTCTTAGACCAAGAAACATATCAAATTTCATTCTTCATTGTAATGTACAAAACAACAAATATAGTTTTTAATTTTAGCATCCCATGTGCTGGGACCTCTATGACAATGATGATGTCAGTCATTTGCACTTCCAAAACACCTAGCTCAGTCCTCCTACAAATAGGATATTATTGATCACTATTAATTGAACTGAAATAAGGGGTAGAAAAAATGAAGATGACACCTTTGAAAATATTCAAATATTTAAAATTAAAAACATTAAAGAGTTTAGACAAAATGCATAGGAAAGCTGGTACAGGACCTCAGGGAGCCTAATTAGTCCCTCTATCTATCCTAACCTGTTTCTTCAAACATTTGTTTTTGAATAATTTTCTTCTGAAATAAAATGGAAACTTCTTGAGAGTATAGATTTTACCTATTGAGGAAGTAAAGTTGAATATAAATGATCTTGAGTTGGGTTTTAGTCTCAGTAACCAGGATAGTAGGGAAACTCTAAACTTAGCCAAAGCAGAAAGGGAATGAGAATGAACCATACCTAAAATGCTTAAATATGTGTAAGATGCACATGGATATCAAATACATACACATGCATTAGTCTGTATTTAGACAGTTGTGGGACTATACTTGCTTAATGAATTTGATTTGGTATCACAAAATGAAAATTTTGATGGACATGTACCTTCACAAGTGACTTATTATAAAGAAAAAAACAAAACCTTTTGTATTGTAAAAATGAGCATGGTCAGCTGCATACACTTTCCTGAGTTCTGATTTCTGATTCTTGATTGCTTCCATGACAACCATGTCATTTCACTGCCAGAATATCTTATAAACAGTTAAGATGAATGGAAATATATGCATGCTCTCCTGAAATTAACTGTTAAGAAATAAAAGAGAACTGAAGTTATTCATTTAGTGAACTCCATTCTATACGGATAAAGACGACTTTCCTGACTAAGCCCTCTCCACATGGATCACATTTTATATGCTGTTCATTCTTGCTTAGAGGTTGCCTGTTATCATTTTCTAGTTGTTTCACAAATGAATGTCTTGCTTCCTTTAGTAGAATGTGAACCCTTGTAGCTCTTGTCTTGCATTTCTCTGTTTTGTATTGAGTTCTTGCTATATGCCAGACATTGATATTCATGTATGTGTATGTGATATTTAATCTTTACAAAAATCATTTTCAAGATGAGGAAACTGAGGTCCTGGGCAGTTAAGCAATTAATTCACATTTAGGCAGAGAAGACGAGCTTAAAATAAGATCTAATGACTCTGACTGAGTGCTTACTCTCCTTTTTGACGCATTTTAAGGAATTTATGTACCGCCTGTTACTTACGTGATAAATTTTATTATTGTTCTCAATTCATTACACTGCTCTGTATCCATGTCTTTTGTTATGTGACTTTGTAGTTCCTCCATTAAAGACAGAGTTTATTTTCTCACCCCATTGATGTTGAGTTGGACATGTGACTCCGTTTCCCAATGGAATGTGTTGCTAGTGTGTCCAGAGCTGAGTCTTAAAAGGCAAAAGGTTTTTACTTGCCTCTCTTCTTTTTTCTGCCATCACCATGAGAATAGCATGCTCTGGCTATCACACTGAATCAGGGAGAATGAGAGACACCTGGAGCAGATCTTGACCTAACCTATTGCTTTGAAGTGAGCCCAGCAGACAGCAGGCTAGGTCAGACACCTGGCTGAGCAGCCCAAAGACAAGTAAGCAAGAATAAATTATTTTTGTTGTGGGCCACTGAGTTTTGGAGTGGTTTGTTATGCAGAACTATAGTCACAATAGCTAACTGATACAGGTATCATAACTCTTTGTGTTCACACCTAATTTCCTTTACTAGATTATGTATTCCAGAGTTGTTACAACTCTTTCTTTAAACTTCAATAAGCAATACAATGTTTTGCAGGTTGTGAGTGTTCAAACAAGGATGAATGAATAAATGTGTATCTTTTAATTCCCAAAGTCTGCTGATATGTAAGTCTTGGTGCTTTTGTAATAAAAATACATGAATCTCACGTAATCAAAGATTCGGTAAGATAAAATAACTTACACTGTGTTCTCCACTCATGGTATTTGTCTCTGGAGAATCCTAACATGTTCCTGTTTAAAATGTCAGTTTTCCAAGAAGTGAACTGTTTCAAAATACTAGCATGATCTCTTTAGAAAGGCAGATTCTTACAGTGAAAAGAACTCATCTTTGGTGCTGTAAGCCCAGTTTTGTTATGTATTAGGAATGTCAACACAGAACATTGACTTCTCTGAGCCCAAGTTCACCTACGTAAAATAGAGATAACAGGACCATTTTAATGGAATTTTCATGCAGATTAGAATTATTGATATAGGTAAATGCCTATCGTTAATAAAAATTACTATTTATTAAGGACTTACTATGTGTAATAGGTCTTTTACTAAAACCAGCACAGTATAAGCACAGCACATTGTTACAGAACATTAATGAGACCCGATATTATATAATACATAATATTTCCATAAACTTTACAAGTAAAAAATCCTGCAAATAAATTTTGCACATGCGGCTGGATCTGGGGCTAGATTTTATGCCCCTTTTCTTTCATTAGTAGTGCTTTCTGGGTGTATGAGTTTGCTTGGGCTGCTATGACAAAATACCACAGATTGGTGGCTTAAACAAGAGAAATTTATTTTCTCACAGTTCTGTGGGCTGGAATTGTAAGATCCAAGTGTCAGCCAAGTTGGTTTCTGGCAAGGCCTCTCTTCAGCTTACAGATAGCACATTGTCTGTGTCCACACATGGACTTTCACTGGTGCTTGTGGGAAGAGAGACAGAGGTAGCTCTAGTGCCTCTTCTGTTTTTTAAATAAGGACACCAGCCTTCACAGATTAGGATTTTACCTTCATGACTTTACTTAAGCCTAGTTATATTTTTAGAGGTCCTATCTCCAAATACAATGACAGGGGTTTCGGCACCTCAACAGATGAATTTTAAGAGGATAGAATTCATTCCATAAGAATGGAGTAGGGTGGTTTTCCAAATATGTTCAAAAATTCTTTGATAATCCTCCCTTCAAGAGGAGGAATCTTAATTCTTGCCCTCTTGAGTGTAGGTTGGACTCAATGACTTACTTCTCATAAGTACACTATGGCAAATTTCACATCAAGATTAGGTTATAAAAAGCCTTCAGCTTCAACTTGTGTGCTCTGTTTTGCTCTCTTACTCTACTTCACAATTTCTTGAACCATTTGCTCCAGGGGAAGCTTACTGCCATGAAGAGGCACACATGATGAGGAACAGAGGCCTCCAACCAACAGCCAGTGAGGAATTGACATCTGCTAACAAGAAGAAACTTGTTTTAAGTGGTACCCGATTCTTTTTTTTTTGGTTTTTTTTTCTCCCTGATATGGGTTTCACTCTTGTTGCCCAGGCTATAGTGGTGTGATCTCGGCTCACTGCAACCTACACCTCCCGGATTCGAGCGATTCTCCTGCCTCAGCCTCCCGAGTATCTGGGATTACAGGCATGTGCCACCATGCTTGGCTGTTTTTCTGTTTTGTTTTGTTTTTATAGTAGAGACAGGGTTTCACCATGTTGGTCAGGATGGTTTCGAACTCCTGACCTCAGGTGATCCACCCGCCTCAGCCTCTCAAAGTGCTGGGATTATAGGCGTGAGCCACCATACCCGGCCAGTGCTACCTAATTTCTTATGGTCGCTTATAGTAAAATGTGGGAGAAGAAAAATCAGCTAGAGAGACTATGCAACTTGAAGAAACCAGGACTTGATGGTTTTGAAAATTCTCAGACATTCCAAACAGCAAACAATTCTAAAATTAAGAAATGGGTCCTCAGCAAAGAGCATATGCAGGATGGTGCCAGGAAAACTAGTCTAAAGATGATGGCAAGAATGCGACTAAAACTATTTCATAACACCTCAGAAGGATCTATGGTGGCACCTCAGCATTCCTTTCAGTCAGACTAGAGATCCACTAAGATATCCATTGTGTGTCCTATAGATTCTCTCAATCAAACAATAGGGGTGCTAGGAATCTCAAGGGTATTGTCCCTTAGTAGTCTCAGCAGAATCCTAAAGTAGAGAAGATCATCCTCAAAAAACTAAAAATTGAGCTACGATATGATCCTGCAATCCCACTGCCAGGTATATACCCAAAAGAAAGGAAATCAGTATGTTAGGTACCTGCACTCCTATGCTTGCTGCAGCACTGTTCACAATAGCTAAGATTTGGAAGCAGCCTAAGTGTCCATCAACAAATGAATGGATAAAGAAAATGTGGTACATAGACACAATGGAGCACTATTCAGCCATAAAAAAAGAATGAGATCCAGCCATTTGCAACAGCATGGATGGAACAAAGATCATTACGTTAAGTGAAAAAAGCCGAGCACAGAAAGACAAACGTAACATGTTCTCACTTATTTGTGGGATCTAGAAATCTAAACAACTGAATTCATGGACTTAGAGAGTAGAAAAATGGTTACCAGAGGCTGGCAAGTGTAGTGAGGGGCTGGTGGAGAAGTGGGGATGATTAATGGGTACAAAAAGGTATAGAAAGAGTGAATAAGATCTACTATTGATAGCACAATAGGGTGACTTTAGTCAATAATAACTTAATTGTACATTTTAAAATAAAGAGTGTAACTGGGTTGTTTGCAACGCAAAGAATAAATGCTTGAGGGGATGGATACCCCATTATCTATGATGTGCTTATTTCACATTACATGCCCATATCAAAACATCTCATGTAGCCCATAAGTATATACAACTGCTATGTACTCACAAAAATTTAAAAAATAAATAAATTAATTAATTTTTGAAAAGTAGAGAAGCATGTATCTTTTAAGAAATTGGGGGGTGGCGGCTTTTGTCTAATAGAGTGTTCTACAATAATTTTCACAGAAGACCAATATAGTTTTTATTCAGTGACATTGTCAACTTGAATTCAAAAGGACAGAGACAATGCAAAACAAAGAGGCCATGGCGTTTCAAATTCTACGGGCAGAAAGTGGGCTGAGAGAATGACTCAGCTACAAACATGTTCTCCTTGTCATCAAAAAGGAAAAAGAACAACAAACCCAGAGCCCAGATGGTGAAGCTGAGGGCTATGGAGAATTATTCTCAGGCCGTAAGTCCTAATCAGTGAACATCCAACATTTGCTTAACTGGATTTCACAGCAACTGTGGACCAGTGACATGTTTGTGCCTCTTATCTTCTCATTTTCAGGTCAAGAGTACCTATAGCAGTTATCTTAAACATGTTCCACCATTATATGCATATATATATATATATGTAATGTGAGTAATGTTTATGCAGGGGGCAGAAAATGTACATCTTTAGAATCATAGGGAGAAAGAAGGAAACTGTACTTAAGGGATTCTACTTAAGGGACTAAATCCAAAGAGTCTTGTGTATGCCTGGACTCAATTTACATGCCAAGATTCTGGACTTTGAGCTGAGGCTCCAATGGGATGAGACTTTGGTGGCCTTGAGAAGGATGTGTATATTGTCTGTGAGATGAATGTAAATTGAGGATCTAAGGAAGATTTGGCGATTTTACAAATATGTCCATGTATCGTTTGATCTTCATTTTTTTAAGAGGCGGAGCTTAATTCTCTTCTCTTTGGGTGTGGTCTTATTAGGCTTCTTGAGTGTCAGTAGATTGTCCTCATAAATGAAATATAGGGAAAGCTATGAGTTGTCACTTCTAACATTAGGTTATAAAAGAGTGTGGCTTCTGTGTTAGGTACTGTTTCTTGTTCTTGTACTCATCTGTCATTCTTTTCTCCTCAAGGCACTCATTCTAGGGGAAGCCAGCTGCTATGGAGACAATCAAATGATGAGAGAAAGCAACCTCAGACCAACAACAGTATGGGATTGAAACCTTCCAACAGCCGCATAAGTGAGCTTGGAAGCAGGTCTACCAGACTCAGTCAAGTCTCTAGATAATTAGAGCTGTGACTGATGTCTGATTGGAAGCTCGTGAAAGTACCCTAAGCTAGAATCACTCAGCCATACGGCTCTAGATTGCTGACCCTCTGGAATTATATGAAATAACAAATATTTGGTGTTTTAAGCTGCTAAATATTGGGCATTATTTGTTATGCTACAATAGATGATAATTATAGGGGAAAACCATTAAAAAATCCTGGAGAGGTAAACTTATTATCCTCATTCTGTAGATAAGAAGGCTGAGGTGTAAAAAAAAATATGTATTAAGGGATTTTTCCAAACCAAATAGCTAATAAATGGCAGGAAAAAGATTTGAATTCACATCTATGTGTCTTAGGGGGAAAACAGGTGCTTTATATAAATAAAAATCAAAATATAATGAAGCCACAAACTGTTAAAAAAAAATCTTTGGGCTGACACAGAGAGTCCAATAACGACATACAAAACTACCATCTGCTTTAGGAGTAACTGAGGTGTTGGACGGGCAGGGGAATGTTCAAGAGACGCTTAAGTCTATATACTACAGAGGCCAGGAGGTCTGGTAAAGAAGAGGTGAGCTATTCCCTTTCTATTCCAGCTTTTCCAATTATGTTAATTGTAACAGAATTTGGCTTGCTGGCAATGCAGAGCTAGTGAGGCATTTGACACACTGTAGAATTTAAGTTCAAAAGTAAAATTGTTTAATGAATGCACACCCTACTCCTTATTCATTATGCAAAGTCGGGTTGTAGAGTTTTTCAATATGTACTCTAATTCCCTTTAAGAAACGTGATTTCACATTCCTCATATTAGTGGAGAAAAAAAAAAAAAAAAGAGATTCTGCTGGAAGAGGCTTTGGGGTCAGTTAGAAATTCTCTGCTCTGTTTTTTTAAAGGAAGATATAATCCCCTTTTCTCAGCTATTGTGTTTTATTCTGTTGAGGGTTGATGGCTGTAAAACATAGCACCTCCCCTTCGACTTTTCCATATAACTTGATTAGACAGGAATAATCTCTCATGCTTTCATGCACAAATTTCGGAGTGACCCAGAACAAACGAGTTTCCTTCATCACCATAGCAACCAGGACTATGGAAAAATGCCACTCACTAGACTATGCAAGTCAGATTTCATTCCTTTGATGTTAATTAACAAATTGCTTTCAGAAAATCAATGAGCTCCCCTGCTCCCCTGTAAATGTTTGTGAATATTTTTTAATACTTCCTAAAGTGATGTGGTGGAGGAACGGATGGGAGAGACTGAACAAAATAGAGTACTACCTTTTCCTGGTAAAACTCAGTGGTGATTGGGAATGGGAGAGTCCATTTGGACACGGGCTGAACCCACCTGGATTTCTTAGGCATTGAGTCACAAACCTAACTCCAAGTTTTCTTATTCTACATGTTACTTTTCTCTTAGAAAATGGTAGCTTCTTCCTTTCCAGGAAAAGAAATATAGAAAAGTTAAACAAAAAGGGTTGTCCGGCCGGGCGCAGTGGCTCACACCTGTAATCCCACCACTTTGGGAGGCCAAGGCGGGGGATCATGAGATCAGGAGATCGAGACCAGCCTGGCTTCTCACAGGTAGTGAAACCCTGTCTCTACTAAAAATACGAAAAATTAGCCGAGTGTGGTGTTGCGCGCCTCTAGTCCCAGCTACTCGGGAGGCTGAGGCAGGAGAATCGCTTGAACCTGGGAGGCGGAGCTTGCAGTGAGCTGGGAGATGGCACCACTGTCCTCCCACCTGGATGACAGAGTGACACTCTGTCTCAAAAAACAAACAAAAAAAAAAAACATAAAAAAAAAACAAAAAAACAACAAAAAAAATGTTGTCACAAAGAAAGAAATATCATTTTAGAAACCTATAATTAGATTCCTCTAGTCTCCTAATCTGCTCCTGAGATTAAAATTTCTCAAGAGTAATTTGGTAATTTTTAAACCAAAAGTCTTTGAAATGTGCCCACATTTGAAAGAGATTCTGCATCTAGGGTATCTAGGGAATTACTGACGGAGATGCTCAGAGAGGCATACATAGGTAAATATGTATGGACAGTCTTCACAGTGATGTTTATAATACATTTTTAAAGCTGCAAACACTTTAAATGGCAATGAGAGATTAAAGCGATCTAAATGTGTTTTTATGGAAATTAAACAGGGTTTATAAAACTTCAAGTGAATAAAAGCAGCTTAAAAACAGACTGTTAAAATGATAGATTTATAAACAATTTGAAGTTTCCAAGCAAGTTTCAGAAATTTAGCAAAAGAATAAACAGACATTCCAGGAAGTGTTTTCTCTTCTTTGTGGGTGTCTTCCTGAGATCTCCTACTGTTTTACTATGTGTATGTGATAGGACATAAAATGACTTTGACAGGAAGATATGAAAGACTCAGTTTCATGTAATAGGTCCTCAAACTATGTGTGCATCTATCTTCTTTACTAGACAACAAAAGTTTACTCAAAGATATATTACTAGCCCATGAAGTTTCTCCATTCTGTTCACTGTAATATGATGTGAGGGAATAATTAGAGAAGGTGTTCTTTGAATTGGCTCAGTAAAATTATTGACAAAATCATTAAAAACAGGCATTTTCAAACATACCAAGCCTTACAGAAAACTAATAATTTCTAGATAAAATGTAAACATAACAAAAATTTTTAAAAAAAATTTCTAGATAAAATGAAGTAAGGGTCAGGAAAAAAATGCATAAATGTGTTCAGAGTACAGTAGTTTCCCCTTATCTAGCATTTAGCTTCTCATGGTTTCAGTTATCTGTGGTCAATTGTGATTTAAAATATTGTATGGAGCCAGGCGCGGTGGCTCACACCTGTAATCCCAATACTTTGGGAGACAAAGGCAGGTGGATCACTTGAGGCCAGGAGTTTGAGACTAACCTGGCCATCGTGGTGAAACTCCATCTCTACTAAAAATACAAAAATTAGCTGGGTGTGGCAGCGTGTGCCTGTAGTTGCAGCTACTCAGGAAGCTGAGGCAGGAGAATAGCTGGAACCCAGGAGGCAGAACTTGCAGTGAGCTGAGATCGCACAATTGTACTCCAGCATGAGTGACAGAGCAACACCCTGTCTCAAAACAAATAAATAAATAAATAAAATAAAATATTATGTGGAAAATTCCAGAAGCAGTGTGATGAAATCCTGCACCATTCTTCTCCATCCTGCCCCAGTCATGACCCATACCTTTATCCGCTTATCTATGCTGTCTGTGCTATCCACTAAGAAGCCTTCTCAGTTATCAGATGGAAAACATATAGAATGTATAGGATTCAGTACTATTCACAGTTTCAGGCATCCACTGGGCTCTTGGAATGTATGCCCTGAAGATAAGAGAAGACTACTGTAGTTTGAAAAACACTGTGGTAGAAGATAGCTTTTACATTTCCAACCCGTCCACTCTTGCCTTTCTCCTGCAGAGAGTTTTGGACTAGGTGGAGATATCTAGATCTTGTAATGATAGCAAGGGGCTTTGCTACATTGAACAAGGTAATTAAACACTTTGCAACTCACTTTCCTTGGCTATAAAATTAAAGATTGGATTAGATTATCTCTACAGAAAGCAAGCATCTTCTGAAATGGCCCCCAATCACACTTCTTGGTATTTATGCCCTGTGTGTATTCCTCTTCGAGAGTCAGCTGGATGTAGTAACCAACTTCTAACAAACAGAATAAAACAAAAGTGATCTCATGGTATTTCTGAGATTATGGCACAAAGACCGTGATCTCTCTCTCTTTCTCTCTCTGGCACGGAATCTTCCAAGTTGTGAATAGCCCTATTTAGAGCTCCACATGGCAAGAAACTGATTTCTCTAGCTAACAGCCGCAAGAACGTAAGTCTTGCCAATGGCAATGTGAGTGAGCTTGGAAGTGGATGGTCCCCCAGCCGTCTTTAGATGACTGAAGACTCAGTCAACTATTTGATTGCAGCTCTTCTAGGACGGGAAACCAGAGGACCCTGGTCAGAGCTTCTGGACTCTTGGCCCACAGAAACACCCAGTATTAAATGCTTATTATTTTTTGTCATAAAGATTTGGGATAATTTGATACATATCACAGATAACTACACAAAACAGATAATGATTCCTTCTACTTCTAAGATAGTTGTTGTTGTTGTTGTTGTTGTTGTTGTTGTTGTTTTCCCCAAAGGATGGAGTTTTATTTTGTTGCCCAGGCTGGAGAGCAGTGGTACAATCATAGCTCACTGCAGCCTTGATCTCCTGGGCTCAAACCATCCTCCTGCCTCAGACTCCAAAGCAGCTGGAACCACAGGTGCACACCACCCAGGCTGCCTAGTTTTTTTTATCTTTATTTTTTATTTTTTGGTAGAAACAGGGTCTTGCTATATTGCTTGGGCTTATCTCAGTCCCCATCCTCAAGCCATCCTCCAGCCTCGGCCTCGAAAACTGCTGGGATTACAGGTGTGAGCCACTGTGCCCGGCCTGCTTCTACAATTCATTTCCTTTAATAGGTGTTCAATGAGCATTCATTTATAAACTCAGAGTAAAGCTTGATAGTTTAAGGAAAAATTTATACTGATTTTGAACGTTAATCACCTTTTGCAAAACCCAGTTTTCCTGGTTTCATTTCCCATCCTCTTTAGATGTTAGAATGGACAGTAGATACTTAGCCTGACCCAGAAATTATAGGCATTCCCCAGTCATTCTTCTAATCTTTACAGTATCTGTTAGAGAAAACACTGACAGTTCATATTAGAGATTTCATTGTTGCAATTGCTGATGGACAGTTGGATTTATCTTTTAACAGGAATCCATTATTTTCTTTCTATTAATAAAAACATAAGCTCAAAGACCCTTTAAGAGTTAAAGTAAAACTGTTTAGGAAATACTTTACCATGTCAACATTATCTTAAAGAGGGGCCAATTTTAGGCCAGGCGTGGTGGCTCACACCTGTAATCCCAGCACTTTGGGAGGCCGAGGTGGGCAGATCACGAAGTCTGGAGATCGAGACCATCCTGGCCAACACAGTGAAACTCCATCTTTACTAAAATACAAAAAATTAGCCGGATGTGGTGGCGTGCGCCTGTAGTCCCAGCTACTCGGGAGGCTGAGGCAGGGGAATCGCTTGAACCCAGGAGGCAGAGGTTGCAGTGAGCCGAGATCGCGCCACTGCACTCCAGCCTGATGACAGAGCAAGACTCTGTCTTAAAAAAAAAAAAAAAAAGAAGCCATTGTTACCTGCCTACTTGTGTAGCTTAAACTCATAATTTGGGTCTACTTGCCATGACTAATTTGGGTGACTAATTTGGGTCATTGTGAGGTATCAGTCCATAAATAAATTCCAAAGCTATCCTTTATTTTGTATAAAAATCATCTGATTGTTAAAAGAGTATGTGCTAATTTGTAGCCTAATAATTTATTATTTTACTCCATTCCTTCAACCTCAAAAGCTATCCTTTATTTTGTATAAAAATCATCTGATTGTTAAAAGAATATGTGCTAATTTGTAGCCTAATAAATTATTATTGTACTCCATTCCTTCAACCTCAAATGGTATAGTCTCCTTGAAGAAAAATGCAATATTTTCTCAATCACAAAATAAGACAATAAGCATCAAGAGCCAGGCGTGATGGCACATACCTGTAATCCCAGCACTTTGGGAGGCCAAGGTGGTGGATCAAATGAAGTCAAGAGTTTGAGATTGGCCTGACCAACATGATGAAACACCGTCCCTACTAAAAATTCAAAAATTAGCTGGGTGTGGTGGTGCAAGCCTGTAATCTCAGCAATTCGGGAGGCTGAGGCATGAGAACTGCTTGAACCCAGGAAGTGGAGGTCGCAGTGAGCCAAGATTGCCCTACTGCACTCCAGCCTGGGTGACAGAGCAAGACTCTGTCACAAACAAACAAACAGCATCAAGAGACGTTTGAAATGCAAATGCTATCCAAAATAATGGGATTATTATTTTGTATATTTCTTAGTGCTAATTTCTTTCTTTTTTTTTTCTTTGAGATGTAGTCTCGCTCTGTCGCCCAGGCTGGAGTGCAGTGGTGTGATCTTGGGTCAGTGCAACCTCCATCTCCTGGGTTCAAGCAGTTCTCCTGCCTCAGCCTCCTGAGCTAGGATTACAGGTGCCACCACGCCCAGCTAATTTTTGTATTTTTAGTAGAGATGGAGTTTCACCATGTTGGCCAGGCTGGTCTTGAACTCCTGACCTCGGGATCCACCTGCGTTGGCCTCTCAAAATGCTGAGATTACAGGTGTGAGCCACCACACCTGGCCCTTAGTGCCATTTTTTGTGTTGCCCTTAGAGGCACTGCATTATTATTTGTTGAGTAAAAAAAACATTCTAAGCTAAAACATAGCCGATGATTTCCTCCTCCAGAATTTCTAGTTTCACCCTCACCTGCAAATAGAGTATAACTGTTTTCACTAAAATTTTTGCTTTAGATAGAAATCCTAGGTAGAACACCCAACCTTAACATATCAGAACAACTTGAGAACGTGGTGAAATTTCCTTTTTTTAAAAGGAATTAAAAAAAGAAATTAAATGGTCAATGCCAATTTAGTCACCAAAGAAAGGGAAATATCCAGTTTTCTTTCATAAAGTCCTCAAGTGTGCCTCTGAACACTTCTTCCTGGGATCATACATTGTTCTGCTTCTCCATTTCAGTATTCACATTTGAGAAAGAGTGAAAATTTCCTCTATGTGGAATTGGAGATGCCTCTGCAAAGGTGATTGTCTCGAAGCCACCATGGGTACATTTGATCTGTAAGTATGGAAAACATTAAGACAATGTTATGGCCTCTGGCAGACAGGCCTGTTCTTTGGGAAACTGCATGGCAGAAGAGAGTTATGAGGAGTCTTGACATTGTAGGCTGGTGTCAAGAAAAACAGAAGCCAAATTAGCATGTGATTATGCTGACCATCAACCAGAGTAACCTAGTGCACACTTTTGATGAGAGATTAAACAGTGAAATTGGTAGACTCAAGATGAATTATGAAGTTGTGGATTACAGCAGTACCACATATGAGCAAAGCTAACATGAATTTTCCCTTTTGGAGTATATTAGGGAAGCTTACTATTTCTAAAGCTGAAAAATAAACACAAATGAGACTATCTAGCAAAGCTTCTTTATTACCATAACTTTTTTTCTTATAAAAGGAAATGTTAGCATTTTCAAGAGTAGATACTTAATGAAACAACACATTTTAATGCCAAATATAAAACAGGATTTAGGCCAGGCGCGGTGGCTCACGCCTGTAATCCCAGCATCTGGGGAGGCCAAGGAGACAGGCAGTTCATGAGGTCAGATTGAGACCATCCTAAGATAGTGAAACCCCGTCTCTACTAATACAAAATATTAGCCGGGCGTGGTGGCGTGGGCCTGTAGTCCCAGCTACTCAGGAGGCTGAGACAGGAGAATCGCTTGACCTGGGGAGGCGGTGGTTGCAGTGAGCCGAGATCGCGCCACTATACTCCGGCCTGGGTGACAGAGCAAGACTTCATCTCAGGAAAAAAAGGAAAGAAAGAAAGAAAACAGGCCGAAAAGTGGCTCACACCAGTAATCCCAGCACTTTGGGAGGCCAAGGCGGTCAGATCACGAGGTCACGAGATCGAGACCATCCTGGCCAACATGGTGAAACTCCATCTCTACTAAAAATACAAAAATTAGCTGGACGAGGTGGCGCGTGCCTCTAATCCCAGCTACTCGGGAGGCTGAGGCAGGAGAAACACCTGAACCAGGGAGTTGGAGGTTGCAGTGAGCCAAGATTGCGCCACTGCACTCCAACCTAGTGGCAGAAGGAGACTCCGTCTCAAAAAAAAAAAAAAAAAAAGAAAGAAAGAAAGAAAGAAAGAGAAACAATTTAGATTACTATTTAATTTTCCTTACTTTGTTTGGGATGGGGCTTTTTAAAGACAATTCTTAAACTGCAAGCTATTCTAATAGTTATTCACAAATCACTTATCTTACATATAAAACCAAATATTAAAACGTGTCCTAAAACAGCAATTCCCAGTCTCTGATGCACTTAATCACCTGGGAAAATTTTTCAAAATAGGAATTGTTCTGACCATATTGTATGAGAAACTCTGGGGTATGGAGCCAGAAATATGTATTTTTAAAAGTTCAATATTGCGTTAAAATACATTCCTGCACATCTTGGGAGAAGAAAGAGAGAATTTGGTGCATAGATTCAAAATCTATGCTTCTATTTAGAAAAACACAGCATCACATTTCTGCCTCCTCTAAAGCCAGTGATTGTTTTTTTCCTAAGCCACATTTCCGTCTTATGCCATACGCTTCCTCAATTTTTTGAGCACACCATGCTCAAGATGCTGATGCTTCTTTCTCAGCAGTGAAAAAACTCAGGTTTCCCCAGGAAAGGAATCCAGCAAAGTCACAGTGCCCTCAGATGAGGATTTCTCTTCCAGGGAAAGTTCCCGTCTCTTCTTCCAGTACCTTAAAGGAAGAGTTGTAAGGAAGTTTCAGGGGAATAGAATCTGTTTACCAAGCTTATCTTTGATCTCTCTGCTATTTGCATCAATTTAACTTTCTCTGAGTGCTGTTAGATTAGCCAAGTGGCCTGAAAACAAAAATGTGAGAGTAACCTTCCCTCAATGTGCTTGTTGAGAGACAATTCTTTGTTTCTGCATGTTTATATTAGTTTTTATTCCACTCTCTTTTTCAAGGATGTCTGCATAGCCAGCAGCCTTAGAAGATAGAGATCCTGTCTTCCTCTAGGGCAAGGAGCAGATCTGTTTTCTCACCAGGATAATAAAGATAATATCTCCCTCCAGGCAAAAGCTGGGAAGGGTCAACCCTGTATAAAATCAGAGTTTTTTTTTTTTTTTTTGACAGAGTCTTGCTCTGTTGCCAGGCTGGAGTGCAGCAGCGTGATCTCAGCTCACTGCAACCTCCACCTCCTGGGTTCAAGCAATTCTCCTACCTCAGTCTTCCAAGTAGCTGGGACTATAGGCATGTGCCACCAGACCCAGCTAATTTTTGTATTTTAGTAGAGATGGGGTTTCACCATGTTGGCTAGGATGGTCTAGATCTCCTGACCTCGTGATCCGCCTGCCTCGGCCTCCCAAAGTGCTGGGATTACAGGTGTGAGCCACCATATCTGGCCAAAATCAGAGGTTTTCTAAGCTTCAGATTCTTCAACTGTGATGCAAACGCAGGGTGTGTGCAACATCCACCTGGGCCACTCCACATCACCCTTGGGGAACTTGCGAAACGTGGAGAACCAATGAGAACACGAAGCCCATACCTCCTGCTGTGCCATGAGCAATAACGTTTTTTTCTTAGTCATGGGTCTCTTGTGCCAGTGCCCACCAAACAGTGACAGGGTATGTTGCTCATATAATAGGATAGTCTTTACAGTTCTTGAAGGTGCTTATTAAGTCCTTGAAATCTACCAGATGCCATGTCATTGAACCTCAGCTCTGCCACTTAATACAGGAATCACTAGCCATAGCACTTACCAGCAGTGGGGCTTACTAGTTATGCCACTTACTAGCCATGAGAACTTGGCAGTAATAATAGAAATAAATAATAACTGTCCTAGTAATAAACATAATTCTAGTGGTTGCAATAATAATGGGATCATACTTGCTAATTGTATTCCGAATACTGTGTGAAGTGTATAACTTAGCTCATTCAATCTCAGTTGCCATGTAAAATAGGAATATCAATTGTTATCACAATTTTACCTCTCAGCATTACCGTAAAGATCAAAATAACGTCACTGATAGTAAAACATATTGGGAGCTGTAAACATAAATCCGAAAGCAAATCTCTTTTGTTCTCTTTATTCGCCTGGATCACATGCGGAGCCCTGTAATGCACCTCTGCTTTCACACTCACTGTGCTGTTTGTCTGAAATGCTTCCCCCTTTCTTTTTCTGCAGATTCCTCTTCTTCCTTCATGACTCAGCTCAAAAAAAGCACTGTAAAGGGCACAGATTTTCCTCTCTAAACATGCTTCCTTCTTGAGCTAAAATATAGTTTCTGTTGGCTTCTTAGGTGGGGGAAAGTGTTCACCATTGTTTCTAACCACCCCCCCGCCGCCCCGCTTTTTTTATTGTGAGACAGTCTCACTCTATCACCCATCCTGGAGTGCAGTGGCGTGACCTCAGCTCTCTGCAACCTCCGCCTCTCAGGTTCAAGCGATTCTCCTGCCTCAGCCTCCTGAGTAGCTGGGACTACAGGCACGTGCCACCACGCCCAGCTAATTTTTTCGTATTCTTAGTAGAGACAGGGTTTCGCCATGTTGGCCAGGCTGCTCTCAAACTCCTGACCTCAGGTGATCCGCCAGCCTCGGCCTCCCAAAGTGCTGGGATTGCGGGCGTGAGCCACCGCGCCTGGTCTTCTAACCCCATTTCTTATTTACGTTCGCGGGAGGTAATGGAACTTTTGTAGTAAAGAGGGAAAGTGCTATTGTGTATTCATTATCCTCCTTGGGGACTTTTCAGAAATGAGCCACCTGCAGCCCGACACCTGTGTCTCCCCTGCATGGTGAGCCACTGAGGCCAGCTCTGCCCTAGCCAGGGGAGGTGGCAGTGGCCCAGCTCCTCTGCTGGAGATTGGGGGAGGAATCAGTATATTTGAGCAGGTGGCTGCATATGTGGGAACAGGAAAAAACACGTGGCCTTTAGTCCCAGCCACATTCTCTCATTCAGCTTTACTGTAATGAAGCTGCTCATTCCATCACTCTCACTCTTATATTTATTTCTCAATTGGTTTGGAAGCTAAAGCTGAGAAGAGAGTGAATAACCACTTGTTCTGAAAAATTCATGCCAGCCTTCCTTGCCTCCTCCTCAGCAGTACTCTTAGAGAACTACTAGGCCACTCATTTTCCCATGTACCTGGCAGTTTTCTCATGGGACCGAGCCAGGGTGGAGTTCATTGGTACCTGTATCCTTGGTGTCTAGCGGCATTTGGTACACAATACACAGAACTGTGTATTCAGCATTGTGTACTGAGCATGTGGTAGGTACTCATTAAATGAAAGAAGTTGGGTAATTCATGGAGATTCTCCTAGTGCCTTCTCAGTTTGTCATTTCAGCAGTAACATTACAGCACTTATCCCCTTATAAGGTATAATACTCGGTAGCTCTGCATCGAAAACAGCAAGAATATCACATCTCACTGGGGAGACTCAAGGTTTTTCCGTGGTCCTCTTCTACAAACGGCAAGTCATCAGTTTAAAATTTCAGAATGTCAAACAGTCATTGGCTTTCAAGCCATTCCAGAATATACTAAGAGAGGAAAACAAACTTTTCACCAGTGGTGTTTCATTTTATGTATCAAAATATTTCCTAGTCTTAGAAAACCAGATGGCAAAAAGGAAACAATTCTTAATTCTATAAGAACATCACCACTCACCAAAACATGTAAGAGACAAACAAAGGAGGGCATATCTCAAGATGCTCCTAATGTTTTATGTTGACTCCATATTCTGCTCTTCTGGTTTCTTCCTTCTAATGCTGGTGCTACACCCTTGTACAAGTTACTGAAAATAGGGAAGTGGGCTCTGGTGCCCTGAACTTAATGCTAAGCATTTGTCCCTGAGCCTGAAAGAGTAAGATTGAGCCCTTAAGTCCTAGGAAACTCTGTGATTATGGTTCCCAAATGACACTTTCACAGTGGATACTTTGATTTTTGGCTGCTACTTATTGAATGTTGCTACATGCCAGGAATTGTATGAATACCATCTCATATAATCTTCATAACCACCCTGTGAGAAAGGGACATCACCATTTTACAGTTGAGGAAACTTCGTTTTGGTAACTTATCCAGGTTAAGTTAGTACAGAGGCTAGAATTAAAATTTGTATTTTGCCGTCCCCTAAGCCTGTGTGCCACCCTGCTACCCCCTGGCTCGGGATTTAAGAGTGAGCTACCCCACGTGTAACTCTTCAGGACTTCAAACTGGTAGATTTCAGGATTTCTCATTGGTGAGTTCAGAGGTCTTTCAAGGATTCAAGTTATCATTAGTGAGAGGTGACAGCGTGCTGACAGCCCTCGCAGCCCTTGCTCGCTCTTGGTGCCTCCTCGGCCTTGGCACCCACTCCGGCCGTGCCTGAGGAGCCCTTCAGCCTGCTGCTGCGCTGTAGGAGCCCCTTTCTGGGCTGGCCAAGGCCAGAGCCGGCTCTGTGCGCGGCACTTGTGGGCCAGCATGAGTTCGGGCGGGCGTGGGCTCAGCAGGCCCGGCACTCGGAGCGGCTGGCAGGCCCGCAAGCCCAGGGCAGTGAGGGGCTTAGCACCTGGGCCAGCAGCTGCTGTGCTCGACTTCTCGCCAGGCCTTAGCTTCCTCCCCTCGGGGCAGGGCTTGGGACCTGCAGCCCGCCATGCCTGAGCCTCCCACGCCCGCTGTGGGCTCCTGTGCAGCCCGAGCCTCCCCGACGAGTGCCGCCTCCTGCCCCACGGCGCCCAGTCCCATGGACCACCCAAGAGCTGAGGAGTGCTGACCCACCACACGGGACTGGCAGGCAGCTCCACCTGCAGCCTGGTCCCGGATCCACTGGGTGAAGCCAGCTGGGCTCCTGAGTCTGGTGGGGACTTGGAGAATCTTTACGTCTAGCTAAGGGATTGTAAATACACCAATCGGCACTATGTATCTAGCTCAAGGTTTATAAACACACCAATCAGCACCCTGTGTCTAGCTCAGCGTTTGTGAATGCACCAATCGACACCCTGTATAGAGCTAATCTAGTGGGGACGTGGAGAACTTTTGTGTCCACACTCTGTATCTAGCTAATCTAGTGGGGACCTGGAGAACTTTTGTGTCTAGCTCAGGGATTGTAAACACACCAATCAGCACCCTGTCAAAACGGACCAATCAGCTCTCTGTAAAACAGACCAATTGGCTCTCTGTAAAATGGACCAATCAGCAGGATGTGGGTGGGGCCAGATAAGAGAATAAAAGCAGGCTGCCCGAGCCAGCAGTGGGAACCCGCTTGGGTCCCCTTCCCCAACGTGGAAGGTTTGTTTTTTCGCTCTTTGCAATAAATCTTGCTGCTGCTCACTCTTTGGGTCCACACTGCCTTTATGAGCTGTAACACTCACCACGAAAGTCTGCAGCTTCACTCCTGAAGCCAGGGAGACCACGAACCCACCAGGAAGAACGAACAACTCCAGACGCGCCACCTTAAGAGCTGTACCACTCACCGCGAAGGTCTGCAGCTTCACTCCTGAGCCAGCGAGACCACGAACCCACCATGAAGAAAGAACAACTCCAGACGCGCTGCCTTAAGAGCTGTACCACTCACCGCGAAGGTCTGCAGCTTCACTCCTGAGCCAGGGAGACCACGCACCCACCAGAAGGAAGAAACTCTGAACACATCCCAACATCAGAAGGAACAAACTCCGGACACGCTGCTTTTAAGAACTGTAACACTCACCGCGAGGGTCCGTGGCTTCATTCTTGAAGACAGTGAGACCAAGAACCCACCAATTCTGGACACATTAGTAACTTAACTTGTGCTATTTACCCACAGAAGGGAAATCACACAAGATAGCAGTTAAGAAACTGCTCTTAACTGTGACACCGCTCTGTGACAGCGGTGGGGTAGAATGACCTTGTCCAAATAATTCATCTCAGGAAACTGGGGTTATTGTGGCTGGTAAAATGGGAATAATAGTATCTCACTTATAGGGTTCTTAGGAATATTACAGGTAATGAAGAACTTAGAAAAGTGATTGGTCCTTGAATGTCATCAACAGATGCAAGAAATTAAAGTGTGGGTTTTAAATAAAAAAGTTGCATTGTAATTCTAGTAGTTTCTAGGTAAATTCTGCTATGAGAGTATGTAATTTAGCAATATCTCATCTGGTAAAATATGCTAGGCTGAAGGTTATAAAAGAGAAGCCAAGGGCTTTATGAAAATTTATATAGACTAAATGCATCTATTTAGTCTATATAAATTTAGTCCATAAAAATAGATGTTCCTTTTAAATCCATCTATTTTTCTGAACCCCATATTGAGGTACAGAGAAACTGCAACATCCAAACTCATGACTTCCCAGTGGTGGCAGTGGAATATTATTATACTATCAGTTCTAGAAATTGTAACTTACTTCTAGGATTGTAATTTGGAGAGTGAACAGCTGCTAACCTTGTTGATCAACTGCTGTTGAGGGCTGAAAGTGACCATGGAGAAGAGGAGAAATAGCTTTTCTTAAAGGCTCAAAAAATATCGTTAACACATGGAGACTAGCACACTTGTTATTCCACCAGATTTCTTCACACCTGCATGCATATAACACATCATTTTAAAAATTCGCTAACAACATTTGAAATTGGATTCATTTTAACTTGGAAAAAAATACCAAGAAAACTGCTAGTTACCAGTGGCCAAAAAGGAAGACTCTTCCATACAAGGAACAATTTCTGGAGTTCTGTGCAAAGCTAATTTTGTTCTTCTTCTTCTTTTATTTATATTACAGATATTTTACAAGTTCCATAAGACTCCATCCCACACAAGACAGTGAATCTAAGTGTCACAGAAGACTGAATTTCCTCAGTATTTCACAGTTACCAAAACACCTGTGCTAAATAGTTTTCTGTGTATCAGCTGTGAAAACTCACTGTTCAATAGCCCTCCAAATTTCTCATTTATTCCTGGTGGGGGGGAGTCCTGGGGGGGCTCACAATGCGTTATTGTTAAACTCTAGGAAGGGTAGTGGTTCAAGAGCATCATTAATGGAGTAAAAAGGAAAAAAGTACCAGCAAATTTCACCTATACTCCTTATAGACCTTCGCTTCTACCTCTTCTGAGATGCTGCCTTATCTGCAAATTAATTAAGCAGAAACTAGATGGGCACAAATACCACAACATTCTGAAGCTTAATTAGCAAATGCTTTTTAACTTCACAACAGGTCTTAGCCTTGTTGGTTACTTTGTTTCTTAAAAGAGCAGAAAAGCAAGCTGTATTATTCTTTGCTTCCTTTCAGAGAGGAAACAAGCATGGAAATTTAAAAATAGATCAAGGGATGCTCAGAGGGCAGCTCCCTAGCAACCAGGCTGCATTGCTGGTATGCTAACTTGAGTGGCCTGCATTCTGCCAGGAATGTCGGCAAGCCACTCCCACCGATAGCAAAGACAAGACATGGAGGGAACTGGTCGGATACAGCCATGGAGGGGACACAGACAGGTGACTGCAAGAGCCACAGATTCTCACCCAGCCCCTTCAGTCCCACCCATGGGAAGGCCAGTAACTGTGTTCAGCAGTTTTCTCAATTGCAACCCCCCAGTGAGGCCGTTAGCCCATCCCCTGGGGCAATAACACAGGATGAAGGTAGGGAGAACTCTTGGTCATCATCAAAGACCCTTGAAGAGAGAAATTATTTCCAAAATGTTTGCTGTCTGATAGTTAAAAATCGTGGCTCTGTCTTTCCCTTATTAAATAACACAGGAGAAAAATGAAAAGATGGAATGTTTATTGATAGTCTTTGTGCCTGGTGCCATGGAGCTTGTTTTTGAGGCTCTGATGATAAGAAAAGAAAAAAAATAATAATCCTGCGTGTCATATAGCTGCAAAGTACAGGCACCCTGGTGTACACTGTGAAAATATCATAGAAAAAATATGACATCATATTGTCTGCCTACGATGATACAATTTCTTATTAAAATAAAAAGAGGAAAGTGTGGAGACTAACAATGCATTTCCTTTTTTCACTCAGACTTCACACAGGGAAAGTTACCTGGATGTTCAAGATGTTAAAACATGGCCTTGTGTCAAAAGTGAAATAATTAAATATTCAGTATCAGCCCATTAACCAGATGGGCTCTCCCCACCCCTAATGCCTTTTTAGTTCTTTGGCTTGCTTGTCCAAGATGGCTTCTGAAGAAAAATGCCAAGAAAATTACTTTTATGGAAAATATTTCTTCTTCCTCCCCTCCCTTCCTCTCTCCCTCAATTCCTCCCTCCCTTCCTTTCTTCCTTCCTTCCTGCTTTTCTTCTAAGACAGCATTCTCAAATGGGCAGCCATGCACTACTTCATGTAAAGACAAATCTTTTCCATTCTTTGATTTCTTTAAAATAGTAAAATATATGGCAATAACAAAGCATATAAAAGAATATAATAAACTTTTATGTTTTTATCACTCAATTTACAAAGATGAAACTTTACAACTCCTATTGAAGTGCATGTTTTTATCTCCTAACTACCTTCCTTTTCCATACACTTAGAGGTAACCATTATCCTGAAATTTATGTATATCATTCCCAAACTTTTCTTAATACGTTCATTCTAGATGCATTTATCTGTGAACAATATACTATATTGCTTTTCATGTTTCCAAACATTTTACAAGGGTTGTTATATTGTACAACTTCCTGTTTAAAAATAATTTGATCTTTTTAAACTGAAAATTATGTTAACTGTTTTGTTTTACTTTGTTTTTGAGACAGTGCTTCGCTTTGCCACGTAGACTGGAGTGCAGCAGCTCCATCATAGCTCACTGCAGCCTGGAACACATGACCTCAAGTGATCTTCCTGCCTTAGCCTCCTATGTAGCTGGGACTACAGGCACGTGCCACCATGCCCTGCTAATTTTTATTTTATTTTTTATAAAGATAGGCTCTCATTATGTTGTCCAGGCTGGTCTCAAATTCCTAGCTTCAAGTGATCCTCCTACCTTGGCCTCCCAAACTGCTGGGATTACAGGCACTGAGACATTGTACCTGGCATCAAAATTGAGTTTTTGAGAGGTTAGTACATTATTAGTACATTATCAGTCCATGTTAGTACATTTATTTTTACTCATAAACTGTCTACTTAAAGAAATATTACACAATTTATTCATAAAAACTCTTTTCAACTAAGTCTAAGTTTCCATTTTCAGTACAATTATAAGCAATGCTGGTTATCATTCCTGTTCACGTATCTAGATGAACCCTCATCTGCTTGAGACAAATCTGTCCTCCATATATGTTGTCACCTTTCCACATACTCTATGACAACCTATGAGGTTATTGATTTTTTAAAAAATTAAAATATATCACACTTTTATTAGGCATTACCCCTGTGATTTATGTTTTATATAATATACTTCTTATTATGTGTGAATTACATAATTTTATCTCCATTGTACGGAAATGGAAACTGGGGTTCAGAGAATGCTAACCAGTAAGCATAGAGCAGGCTTGATCTTCAAATACAGAGCTGTCTGACCCCAGTGATACAAACCACTAGGACAGAAAACTCACTCCATTGGCCTCCCATCTTTTTAATTTGAGCACCCTTCCAAAGAGAAATGTTTTGAGCATGAGCCCAGTAAATTCTATTTAAATGCATTTTATAAACATATAACATATACTAATTAATTTATTTGAATGAATTTTTGAAACACATGAAAATGGAAATTTGAAAGGATAGTGTGGTGGCTCACATCTGTAATCCCAGCACTTTGGAAGGGTGAGGTAGGAGGTTCACTTGAGGTCAGGAATTCGAGACCAGCCTGGCCAACATGGCAAAACCCTGCCTCTATTAAAAAAAAAAAAAAAAAAAAAAAAGTTAGGCGTGGTGGCGTGCACCTGGAGTCAGAGCTACTCGGGAGGCTGAGGCAGAAGAATCGCTTGAACCAAGGAGGCAGAGGTTGCAATGGCCTGAGATCACGCCACTGCACTCCTTCCTGGGTGACAGAGTGAGACTCCATCTCAAAAAAAAAAAAAAGATAAACACAAAATGTCATGTTCTTTTATTTAAGACATTAGTGGTTCTACATCACCTGTTTCTAAAATATATTAATAACAGTTATTATCATTATTTATTTTGCAGATAGTATCATTTGGCAAATAAGCATTTTATTGCTTTTTTGTTTGATTAGAAGTTTAAGAATGGGAAAATGGTATATTTGGATGCAAGAAAAACATAAGGCTTTTATTGTGGACTTACTCGTCCAATAGATAGTCTGTTGTTTCTTCTTGTATTTTAGAGTCTAGAAGTAGAAGAATATCATCATCATCATCATCATCATCATCATTGATACAACTTTAGTAAAGGCAAACTAATTGAATATTCACTTTTTGTTACAATGATTCACAGGTCTGGGTCCAAGTTCTGTTTGATTTTTATGTTCAAACAGGTATTCTTAATCATTGTCATTGATAAAAATAATAGAACTTATTAAGCCATATTTATTTTTCAATCTCATCCATTAATTATGTAATTTTTTTCTTAAATGTGGCTCATAAATGTCAACTTCTTTAATGTCATTCAGCTATTCTTATAAACTATTCATAAACTGTTATATTTTTGTATTTGTAAAAGATTAGTTCAAAACCTTACTTTAAAATATTATTTGGAAGATTTTAAAAGGAATTTGGAAATACCATTAAAAAAAAATTTAGGCTGGGTGTGGTGGCTCACGCTGGTAATCCCAGCACTTTGGGAGGCCAAGGGAGGAGGATCACTTGAGCTCAGGAGTTTGAAACCACCCTGGGCAACACAGTGAGACTCTGGCTCTATTATGAATAATAATAATAATAAAAAATTTTAAGTGCTTAAACATGTGTTTTGTTTTCTTTTTAAATGTGACACATTTTCAGCAACAAAACTGTCTATCCATGTAAATTTTTCCAAATATTTCAAAATGCATTCCCAAAGTAAGAGGTTTTTAAAATTATGTATTTCTTTCACTTCCAATGTAAGAAATACCACCTTTATGTCAAAAAGGCTAAGTATGCGTTTTTAAAATTATATATCTTCTAGGTAGCACACTAACTAGGTAGCACACTATCGTATTAAAAGATATAACTTATCTTTTAATACAATAACTCTTTAAAGAATTTCCCAAGAGAAAATCTGAGAATCTCTATGAGGAACAAAAAGTCTTTGTAACTAATCCCCATTTCATTATACAGCTGGTTCAACTTACAATGGTTGACTTATAGTGTTTCTACTTTATAATAGTGTGAAGGTGATAGGCACTCAGTATGCTCCTCAAATCATGATGGTAATATATGCTCCATTATAAGTTGAGAAGCATCCGTACAGAGTATAAAGGCTCTTCTATATTTTAATAGTCATCCTTTTATAAAATTAGCTAGATTGTTGATAACAAATATTAACGTGTGCATTACTAGTTTGCAACTGGATGAGGTGTCGAATGAACTTCACATCTGGTGCCTTTGTTGTAACCCTAATTCCAAATCATTTTTCTTCTATCAACATAGCTACGTCATCGATAATTTCACTCACTGGTAGAACCCCACATATTTCCATAAAACACAGTTTGTATTAAAGAAACTGTAGGATAGTGAAAATATAACTTCTTGGGAACACCTTTTCTACAGTTGTTCAAAATAAAAAGTTTATGTTATTGAATCAAAATTTAGCAAATACCATAAATTGAGACAAATTATAATTCCTGTACCTTTATTAAACTATACAGATATGTTTCATATTTTATAATTCAAAATGATGGTTGTTTCTTCACATTTTATTAATAGCTTCATGCATTATTTTTACATAATTTTTTGCAATATTTTGCAGTATTTATCGACAAATGTAACTATTTTAGCTTGTGCTGTACATTATTTTTTGTATCTTACTTCAACTATCTTTACCGCAGTAAGAAGAACAAATATGTGGCTCTTTATTTCTTGCTCTTAAGAAACCTCAAAATAGTCTTCTACACTTTAATCATTAAGTGTAACAAAATTTAGTAAGGTACTGGAATGAGCACTGTATGCTTCTTAATATCCCTGAAACAACTCTAGGGTTTGCCTTCAAGTTCCAGATGGTTAGTTTTTAAATGTCTCGCTAATTGTGATGGCTTCATTCTACTAACATTAGCTAATATCTATCTCAAGGCACAACACACAGTGCAAAGTTGATCGTTAACAACAGTAAATATAAATCTTTAAATTAGATGTTCTTCTTGATAAATTAGCTTTGTGGGCACCAACTTTTCAGTGCGTCAAATCTGATTAGATAATCATTGTTTGCTTGTTTTTTACATGGTTTTGTGGCTTTAAAGGATTTCATTCTAGCACTAGAAGTTTCGGTTTCTTTATTTTCAATTATTCATTTGTGCTTCAGTTATTAGTATATTATCATCTCCAATCTACAGCATATTTGCAAGAATCTGTATATGATATTTGCCCATGTTAGTTCGGTTGGAACTTGGTAAGATACTCTGCAGATCCATTTAATAAAGATGTATAAATTCCAATATATCTCAATGTACGTATCACAAACAATAGCATGAGGGGACTTCTGCCAACACAGCCTCATATGGGATTCGTATTCTTCCCCAAGGATAGCTCAGAAGAATTTGTAGGTAAAATGTTATTAAACCTAATTCCATACTTTTTATTTACATAAATAGTAAATATAAATGTAACTGACAGTATTTTCTTCCTATACCTTGTTCTACATGCAGTCACCTTTATATGTTGATTATATTAAATCCCATCTGTAGTTTAAGGGGCTCAAACCAAGGTTGAAGGTGATTCACACATTCAACAAGTGTTTGTTTCATGTTCAGCAAATGCTGGTCACAATGTTAATCATCCAGAAGATTCTGAAGAGTAAAGCAGATATGGATCCCATTTTTGTGGAATTTACCATCTAATGGGTGAAAATGCAGGTAAGTTAAGTACCAAATACACATATATTTACAAACTGTAATTAGTACCTGCTATAGTTTGAATGTGTCACTTCCAAAATTCATGTCTTAAAACTTAATGGCCAATATGATAGACTTAACAGGTAGGGTGTTTTGTTTTGTTTTTTTGTTTTGTTTTGTTTTGCTTTTTTGAGATGGAGTTTTGCGTTATCACCCAGGCTGGAGTGCATTAGTGCGATCTCGGCTCACTGCAACCTCTGCCTCCTGGGTTCAAGCTATTCTCCTGCCTCAGCCTTCTGAGTTCAAGCTATTCTCCTGCCTCAGCCTTCCAAGTAGCTGGGATTACAGGCATGCACCACCACGCCCTGCTAGTTTTTTGTATTTTTAGTAGAGACGGGTTTTGGCCATGTTGGCCATGCTGATCTTGAACTCCTGACCTCAGGTCATCTGCCTGCCTTGGCCTCCCAAAATGCTGGGATTACAGGTGTGAGCCACTGCGCCTGGCCTACAGGAAGGGCCTTTAAGTGGCAATTAGATAAGGAGGGCTTCTTCCTTGTGAATGACAGCAAGGGCTTTATAAAAGGGCTTGACAGAGGGAGTACATTCCTTTTAGCCCTTCCAGTTTCTGCCATGTGATGATACAATGTTCCTCCTCTCCAAAGAATGCAACATTCAAGGCGCCATCATGGAAGCTGACAGTAGCACTCACCAGATGATCTTGGATTTCCCAGCCTCAAGAACTGTGAGACATAAATTTTTGTTCTTTATGAATTACCCAGTCTGTGATATTTTGTTATAGTAGCATGCAATGGACAAACACAGTTGGAAATAAACAGAAGTGGGAGTACAGATATAATATACTTGTGTGTACAGTAACCAAAACAGCATGGTACTGGTACCAAAACAGAGATATAGATCAATGGAACAGAACAGAGCCCTCAGAAATAATGCCACATATCTACAACCATCTGATCTTTGACAAACCTGACAAAAACAAGCAATGGGGAAAGGATTCCCTATTTAATAAACGGTGCTGGGAAAACTGGCTAGCCATATTTAGAAAGCTGAAACTGGATCCCTTCCTTACACCTTATACAAAAATTAATTAAATTAATTCAAGATGGATTAAAGACTTACATGTTAGACCTAAAACCATAAAAACCCTAGAAGAAAACCTAGGCAATACCATTCAGGACATAGGCATGGGCAAGGACTTCATGTCTAAAACACCAAAAGCAATGGCAACAAAAGCCAAAATTGACAAATGGGATCTAATTAAACTAAAGAGCTTCTGCACAGCAAAAGAAACTACCATCAGGGTGAACAGGCAACCTACAAAATGGGAGAAAATTTTCGCAACCTACTTATCTGACAAAGGGCTAATATCTAGAATCTACAATGAACTCAAACAAATTTACAAGAAAAAAACAACCCCATCAAAAAGTGGGCAAAAGATATGAACAGACACTTCTCAAAAGAAGACATTTATGCAGCCAACAGACACATGAAAAAATGCTCATCATCACTGGCCATCAGAGAAATGCAAATCAAAACCACAATGAGATACCATCTCACACCAGTTAGAATGGCGATCATTAAAAAGTCAGGAAACAATGGAAACGACAGGTCCTGGAGAGGATGTGGAGAACTAGGAACACTTTTACACTGTTGGTGGGACTGTAAACTAGTTCAACCATTGTGGAAGTCAGTGTGGTGATTCCTCAGGGATCTAGAACTAGAAATACCATTTGACCCAGCCATCCCATTACTGGGTATGTACTCAAAGGATTATAAATCATGCTGCTATAAAGACACATGCACACGCATGTTTATTGCAGCAGTATTCACAATAGCAAAGACTTGGAAGGAACCCAAATGTCCAACAACGATAGACTGGATTAAGAAAATGTGGCACATATACACCATAGAATACTATGCAGCCATAAAAAATGATGAGTTCATGTCCTTTGTAGGGACACGGATGAAACTGGAAACCATCATTCTCAGCAAACTATTGCAAGGACAAAAAACCAAACGCCGCATGTTCTCACTCATAGGTGGGAATTGAACAATGAGAACACATGGACACAGGAAGGGGAACATCACACTCCGAGGCCTGTTGTGGGGTGGGGGGAGGGGGGAGGGATAGCATTAGGAGATATACCTAATGTTAAATGACAAGTTAATGGGTGCGGCACACCAACATGGCACATGTATACATATGTAACAAACCTGCACATTGTGCACATGTACCCTAAAACTTAAAGTGTAATGATAATAAAAAAATTAAAAATAATAATAATAATATACTTGTATGGTGATGGAAGCCTTCTTTAAGGAGACATAAAAGGTAAGAGGAAAATGGCAGCCAAGTGCAGTGGGATTATGCCTGCAATCTCAGCACTTTGGGAGGCTGAGGCAAAAAGATTACTTGAGACCAAGAGTTCAAGATCAGCCTGGGCAACATAGCGAGACTCTGTCTCTACAAGATAAAAATAAAAATTTGCCAAGTGTGATGACATGTACCTGTAGTCCCAGCTACTTGGGAGGCTGAGGCAGGATGATCATTTGAGCCCAGAAGTTTGAGGTTGCAGTGAGCTATGATGTCACCACTGTGCTCTAGCCTAGGCAACCAAGTGAGACCCTGTCTCTAAAATAAAATAAAATAAAATAAAATATAAAAGGTAAGAGGGCGATGGCATTGTGAAGAGTTGGAAGAACAGGACTCCAACAACTGCAAATATGGCTGCATCATAGTGGGAAAGAAAAAGAGCCAATACCAGTTTCTGTAAGGATACAACTTTAAGTTAGTGAGGCAGTAGGGTAATGGAACTTCTGGGAGCCAGTGGTAGCTCCAATGAAGGTGGGAAGTGGTGCTACTGCAGGGTAGGCGGCAGAGACCCTCCTGGAGCTCCATGGGAACCAGAAAAGAGGATAACCCTGGATGCCCTGTTATTGCCACAAAGACTATTTCAGGAGCCCTAGAAGACATGCCCAGGAATATCTAAAACCCTAAAAGACTATGAGCAACAGCTGTTTCCTATTTAATTACATCTACATGGTAAAAACTCTGACCTTAATAGTAAATAAACCTAAATAGTAAATAAACCTAGGTTTAAATCCTAGCTCTGCCACTTACCACCCGAATTGTCCTGAGAAATGTGCTTTACCTCCCCAAGTGTCAGTTTACATATCTGTAAAATATGAATACAGACAGTAACTGATCACTGTGTAGTAGGTGTGTGAATGTATATAGAGGACCTAACATAATGCTTGCACGTATAAGGACTTGATGAATTTTAGCTATTAGTATTATTATTTTATAGGTAACATTAAACACTTTTGTCATTTGGAAACCTGAGTTATAGCAAACTTCTAAGTGAAGAAACCCATTCTTTCAGTATTAACAATCTGATTCTGCAAGGAAGAAGACATTGTTTCAGACTGAGTCATCCCTTTTGGAAACAGAATATTATCATCACAGAACAAAAAGTACAGAGTCATTGGGAAATAAAGAACACCCACAGTTACCATTTACAGTTTGTTAAAGAATTGCTGTCCTCATTCACTAATACATTAATAAATGGTTAATTGAGTTCCTCTTTCATATACAGATGCTACATAATATTGACCTTTTCATGCTCTCTGAATGATAGTGCTAACATCAATGTGTTTCCAGGATAATATCAAGGCATAAGAAGGACATTTATGATTATAAAGGAGGATTTACACATGTGGCTTAATTTTAGAAGACGGAATGGCCCTTGACTAAGAAATTTTCTCTCTTGCCACCCACCATGCCTGAAATTCTACCATCCTTTCAGCTTTCCTATTCTTTAACAGTTCCCTGTCCACAAGACAGGTAATATAGTTTTCAGACAAAACTTCAGTAAGAAATCATTTATCATGTTGTTAGGTGAGAAAACAGACAACATAATCTTTAATAAACTAGGAAGTATAGCAGAGAAGTACCAGAAAAGGCAAACAATAGAACCAGGGAACATATTTCCAATTGGACCCACCTTCCCATTTAGGAAAAAAATTAGAAGGCTACCAGTAATATCTCATATTTTGGATACCCCAAATCCTTTGCTTTAGCTTCTTCTTAAATCTTACTTAAAGTGGACCATGGTCCTTAGAGGCCCACAGCAGCCTGCTTTCCCTGGGATACAACTTAAAATTTTATTAGATATGCATGTTTGTAGAACGTAAATAATGTGAAAGTTTTGCAGAGTGATTTCTTTCATACTTCATCTTTCAAAGAAAAAGATGATATAAAGAAGAATTAATTGGAATAATAAACTGAAAAAATATAGCAAATGGAAGTAAAATCTCACAAGGTTAACCTAAATAGCAGAGTGGAGATGACCAAGGACATAGTAAGTGAGTCTGAAGATAAAACAATAGAAATAGATTGATATTCTGAGCCTCTCTCTTAATGAACTGGATATTCTTTTTTTCCTTCCTTTAAAACACAGAGTAAATAGTGTATTAAAGATTTGTTAAAAGTAACATTTGTCAGTTCATTACACAAAAAAATGATGAACCATAATCATCTAGTAGAGTTCTCTGCTAAAAGTACTTACAGCAGCAGCTATGAAGTTTCCCTTAAGTCAGTTTGTGAACTTAAAGAACAGACAAGCTGCTGTGAACTTGATGCAAGTACTCACTCCATGGACAACACTCAAAGTATCTATTTCTACAATTCACTAATGCATAGTTGCAACCTCTCTTTTTCTCGTAGTAATAGTAAAGCTGAATTAATGGCACTAACACTGTAATTTCAAGAATTGTATTAAGTATTTTAAAAGCTTTATGTGAGGCTTGTCTTATTATTACTAATACTTTAAAGTTTAGTAAGCTGATTCCAGTGCCACATAAGGTGAAGTAAGCATATTCTATCCTCTCTCTCTACTGAATACAGCTATCAAACCTGGAAAGAATTATTGCAGGAACTATTTGAAGACTCTGAAAAATAAATAGAAGATTGGGGGAAAAGACAAGAATTCATAGTAGTACTGAACTAGCAGTGATTGTGCTGGTTTTTTCTTCTGGTTCCTCTCAACCTGTTCTAATGTAATCTGATTCCCAAAAGGGGCATTGAAGTACAGATGAAAAAAGCACTGTCTCTTTAAAGCTGGAAGAGGGGGAAAGGGAACTCCCAACACTCAGAGAGAGAATATACTTCCCCCTTTTTCTTCCTTCATTATTTTCTTCATTTCTCACACGCCACCTCCCAAGCAATCCTGTAGTAGTAATACAGGTGGTGGAAAGGGGAGCGCATAGGAGCCAAAAACCTGGGTGGAAATATTTTCCTCTTCCTTTTGTGGACCTATGGTTTCAAGAGGTTGGGTTGAACATCATTTTGTCATGTTTTTTTCCTCTCTTTCTGTCCTCACACCACTTAGTCCTGGATACAGACAAAATTATAGAAGTACACAACAGTGAGATTATCAAAGCCCCAGAATCTGGATGGGGAACTAAAAAGGGGCACTTCAGGGAATTAGAAAGTATTGGGGGAGATTGTGGAGAAGAAGTTTGAGAAAGTAATCTCATAAATATCTTTATGAACTGCTGGACTCGCCTCATAGCTGTGCATCCATGGAACTGATTCTAGTAAGTGCATTCAATAATTTGATAGCTTAACTAACGGATAGACCGCTGTTCGGACCCTAGGATGGCCATTACGTGGCAAATAGGTGGAGCAGATCAGAATAGCACTGCAAAGGGTTTGAACCCTGAAGTGGCATTGGTGCCATAGCCCACAGAAGCCACATTGTAACTTGCAGCTTGAACCTAATGCACTTAAACAAAAATATAAATATTCCCTGTAATATTTAACAAGGCTCAGAGTCTTCATACCTAATATTCAAATGTCCATAACTTAATCCAAAATTACCTGATATACAAAGAGCCAGAAAAATTTTAACTTACATGGGAAAAGATAGTTATCAGATAGCAATGACCAGATGACAAAAATGTTGGAATTATTTGATAAAGAATTTAAAGCATAAATATATTTTAAAAAGCAAGTGCAAACACACAGGAAACAACTGAGAAGACAGAAAGTCTCCTTAAAGAAAAAGATGATAAAAAGAAAAATTAATTGGAATAATCAACTGAAAAATATAACAAATGGAAGTAAAATCTCACAAGATGAGCTAAATGCAGAATGGAGATGACCAAGGAAATAGTAAGTGAATCTGAAGATAAAAAAATAGGAAGTATCCACACTGAAAAACAAAGAGCTAAAACAAGTTTGGAAAAACCCACAGAATCTGTGTCAAAATAAGTTAATTTTTACGTTTGTCTCTCTGAGGAGAAAGGGTACAGTACTAAGATAATTTGAAAAAATAATATCTCAAAATTTCCCAAGTTTGATGAAAGACTTAAATCTACGGTTCAAAATGGTCAGTGAATCCCAAATAGGGTAGAAATCCATGCCCAGAAATATCATAATTAAGTGACTGAAAACTAAAGACAAAGAAAAAAATCTTGAAAAACAATGTGTCATTTATAGGAAAACAATGATTTGAATGACTGCAGATTTATTTTCAAAAACAATGGAAGCCAGAAAGAAGTTTAAAACCTTTTTAAAGTGATGAAAGATAAGTACTGTCAACTCAGAATTTTATATCAGTGAAAGCATCCTTCAGGAATGAAAGACAAAAAACAAAAATCAGATGAAGGAAAACTAAGACAATTCATTGCAAAAAAATTTTCTCTGTAATTAAGCAAACATATTTAGAAAGGCAAAGCAACTTGGTTTTGATCACTTGGTGATTCTCTAACCTTTGTCAGTTATTTCTTACCAGGCCTATAACAAAAGTCTATAAAACTTCTCTGGAGCTCAGAAAACACCAGTCTGATATGGTAAGAACAGAAGAGAGCATTTCTTCCCAGGTGGAAGGTTTAGTTGACAGTATGTCTACATTAGTTTATTCTCATATTGGGCATGTAAAGTGAATGCTAATTCTTTTATAGTATTCCGTTTTGGGTCTATCAAAACAATTTAGAGGAGATTCCTTACATATCTGAATACATTTTAGGAAATATAAGGAAAGCAGGCATTTAGGGGAATGATTTTCTTGTTATCAGTCAAAAGCAGTGTTATCCACAATGGTCAAAACAGTCAGACACCCCCACTCCAAATCCCACCAGAATCCCCAAATCTCTCCATCTCTCTGAGATGAGAAAATCTACTATCTTTTGAACTGGGCCGAAAGATCCTTTGCAGAGGCATTGCCAGTTTTAAGGTCTACACATTTGCTTGAGTGTCTTCAGTCATGATTTGGATGTAGATAAAAATTATGAGGAGAGAGAGATTTGGATTTATCTTCATAATATTTTGAGGTTTTTAGATTTCTTCTGAAAGTTTAACTTACACATGTTGGTCCTCTGCTAGACTAACATTTCTAGGGAGTTGAAGTTCCCAGCCAAAAGCTAAACGTCAGCAGTGAGTCTTCTTGATAAATCCTCCTATCTTTTTGGGTGCCTTTATTCTTTTTTAAAGCACACCAAGTCTGAAAATATGTTATTTTTCTTGATTCACTTATAGTCTGCTTAAGAATTTCGTCTCCATCTGCTTTTATTCCTTGTTATAGTTTAAAAGGAAGAGCTGCCTAAACTCAGTAGATCAATAGCTAGCAGGATACACCAATGCATTCATTATGATGTTGAAATCTTGTTTCCTGTTAGTCAGTATGGCTCTCCTGTGCTTTCAGTTTGGCTGTGAGGACATTTTATAGCTGATCTTTCTCTGAAATGTTTTACTTGTTGAAGATTTTACATTGATGAAGGTATAAGAAAATGACTTGACTGTTTACCACAAAAGCTCTAGAGCTATAACTTCTGTTCTCACCCAGATTGCAGGCTCGACAATAGGTAAATGTCTCCTTGCATATTAAGTGCTTAATCAAAATCCTCTGTTTCAGCACAGACTTCCTAGCTAGATGGAGCAATGAGAAATGAACACCCAAATAGATATTGAGATTTCATTGCTTTCTAACAAAACTGAAGAGTTGGCTGTTTTACTTTAGAAAGGTTTGTAGTGATCAAGACCTTTCAGAGTGATTTAAAATCTGTTTATTATAATCCCGCTGATGGGAGCTGCTTTTTGCTTTTCTCTACAAGCAGCATGACAAAAATGGGCTGCCCTCTCAATGACTTGTCAGGGAGGGGGACCCAAAAATAAAAGTTGAGCACAGCCCGTGCCATTCTGGGTAGGAAGCCAGGAGGTGGACTGCTGGTGCAAATCTGCTCTGCAGCTCCCAATGGCGACAATGTCTTTTTAACCCTATTCTCAGATCAAGTGGGAAATTACAAACACATTAATGCCCTCCAGTCAAATACTTGCCAAGATAACAGATGGCCGATACCACTAAGCAACCTTGACCTTGTGGTCACCTGCCCTGTCGATCAGGCACAGGATCTCTTCTCTAGGGGAAACTCTGTCTTCTGTGCAACACAGCATGTTCAACCATCATTGCAAATTTAATAAAACACATAGTCCATGCAGCAAAGATGGGCAACAACATTTTCGCTCATATGAACTAAAATGCTGGCATGCTACATAAATTCCCTGAAGTCTTCAACTGCTTCCACATAAACACTGGACAGAAAATGGAACACTGCTGAGCCAGAATCAACAGTTATCTTTGACATGTGAAATCAAAAAGCTCTGTTTGGGGGCTGACAGAACACTTTGAGTGTCATACACCACACAAGTAAGTGCCCATCTAAATCACAGGAAATAGCCATTGTCTGTGGATTCAATGTATATTATTAACCAATGTCCTCAGATGCATCCATTAGATGTGAAAATGTTACAGATATTTCAGAGAGCATTTACCATTTGGTGGCAAAGGAGAGTGCTCTTACCAATGGGAAAACTCCACGAGCACAAATGTCGACATTAAGAGGATATCTAAATAGATGTATGGCTGCTGACAGGCAGAGCTCAGCCATAAAGCTCCGTCAAGAGTCATTAGGAACCTAGTGTGGCTGCTTCTGCCCCAAGGAGATATTCTTTCTGAGATGGGCTGTGCACTTATGAGGGTGCAGCTGAAGGTTTGGTAGGCTAAGAGATGGTATCACACAGATTCACTGACTTGGAAGCAATTGGCCAGGGTTCTGGTGCCTACTATGGGCTCTACCCCTAACTGACTACACTGTGAGGGAAGTAATTTAGCATAATGAACAAGAACTTGAGCTCTTGATCTAAGATGAGCCTCGGATTGAACTGTGACACTGACACTTGCTACCTCATTGTTTCTTCAGTTTCCTGAACAGTCAAATGAGAATAATGATACTTTTTTCAATATACTGTGGTCATTAAATGCAATGAATGACCCTTAGCATGATGTCAAACCCTTAGCATGATGCCTGGTATGGACCAAGACTCATTAAATATTAGTTATCAGCAGGCATGGTGGCTCACGCCTGTAATCCCAGCACTTTGGGAGGCTGAGGCGGGCAGATCATCTGAGGTCAGGAGTTCAAGACCAGCCTGGCCAACATGGTGAAACCTCATCTCTACTAAAAATACTAAAAACTAGCCAGGCGTAGTGGTGGGCACCTGTAATCCCAGCTACTCAGGAGGCTGAGACAGGAGAATTGCTTGAACTCAGGAGGCAGAGGTTGCAGTGAGCTGAGATCACGCCATTGCACTCCAGCCTGAGCATCTCCGTCTCAGCGAAAAAAAAAAAAGTTATCATTAATAAATGTTCATCATTACTATTAATAGTTTAATAAGCTTGGAAAATGACTTATGCACTCTGTGCCTATTTTGCCATTTGAGAAAGAGAAATTGGAATAGTTTATGATGATAAAATGCTTCCAGCTCCAGCATTCCACAGTTTTGTAACCCCGATTTATTGCTGGTAAATATAGATGCCTCCTACAGACATGCAATAGGATACCAGTGTATTTTGGAACATGGAATGATTAAGCTGACATTTTAATTTCTAAAGAGTCCAAGGCATTACTTCGTTAAGTCTTTACTGCAACGTTGTGAGCCATTAACAGATGAGGAAACTGAGGCCCAAACAAGTTAAGGGGCTGCCTATGGTTACACAGTCACCAGGACTAAAAACCAAGGGATAGCAGCAATAGGATTGAGAAAAGAGATTGGGAGCACAAGTGCTGAAAAGGAAGCTTGTCAAAGAACCCAGCAGAACCAGCAACCAAGGCGGCGCTGCTGCTTGGGCACAGAAGATGCCAAAGATCGTTTTGAGATACCTGAAATCTAGACTCCACAGCCAAGGGGAAAGAGGGGAGAAGCAATGTTGGGTTAATTTATTTAACATAAATAATGTATTCCTTAATTATCTGCCACATGATTAAATAATTCTGATGTAAATAATTGAAATCAATGGAAGGGGAGGACATGAAATATGAGGAGTGCTGTTTTTTAAAATGTACTTGCAGAGCAGAGGTCAATTTGGATTTCAGATCAAGACTTCACTGGATCATTTATTCATTGACACTACTACTAAGTGCTGCCATGTGCCAGGCATTGTGTTAGTCTCTGGGAATAGAATGATCAATAATCTAGTAGAATGTCCAATGTAGAATAATTTACAGTCTAATGAGGAAGTCAGCTGTATAACCAAAAAATTCCATTATAGCCATCATCTATTCTTCAGGAGAACAGAGGAGTGAATAACTAACCTCTAGGAAGGTTAACTAAGGATGGATTCTAGTTGGGGCTTAAAATAAAACTAACAGGAGAAGAGCTAGGTGCCTGGGAGATTGTGTGGGAACAGTACATTTGAATTAGGTACTGCTACTAATTCAGATAAAGAAAGAATGATACCCTGTTTCTAAGGAAGAATTTAATTTGACTTTCTTTTTATTGTTGTGAAACAAACACATTGTTCTCAGTCACTTTTTATTTTTACTTATTTTATTTTATTTTATTTTATTTTATTTATTTTATTTTATTTTGAGGTGGAGTCTCACTTTGTCACCAGGCTGGAGTGCAGTGGCATGATCTCAGCTCACTGCAACCTCTGCCTCCCTGGTTCAAGCGATTCTCATGCCTCAGCCTCCCAAGTAACTGGGACTACGAGCATGCGGCACCACGCCAAGCTAATTTTTGTATTTTTAGTAAAGACGGGATTTCATCCTGTTGGCCAGGATGGTCTCAATTTCCTGACCCTGTGATCTGCCCACCTCGGCCTCCCAATGTACTGGGATTACAGGCATGAGCCACCGTGTCCGGCCTCTCAGTCACTTTTAGCACCACCCTTTAGAGAAGGATAAGTCAAAGATGTATGTAGCCTGCCAAGCAACAGTAGAGTTCAAGTTTAGAAAGTGGAGAAGTCGTGTTGGAAGTTTTAGGGTCTGAAGTCAAGCTTCCTGTGTTTGAATCCTACCTCTACCTCTCAGTAACTGGAAAGTTTACTTTGAGCAAGTTACGTCTGCTTCTCTAAGTTCAAGTTTCTTTATCTATAAAAGGAGGATAACAGTAATAATAATAATGTCTACTTTGCAAAGTTGTTGTGAGGATTAAATGAATTGATTCATATCCCGGAGTTAGCACAGTCTGAGAAATAACAAGTGATCTATAATATCTGACTATTGTTATTATCAGCATTACTATTAACTATTATTTCTAGAGGAGCATATGAAGGTCAGAACATCTGGAGAGCTGAGGAAAGTTGAGGATCTTTCTGAGGCTGAAATTATATTTGGACTTTGAGAGAAATCACTGTATGCCATACTATATATATAATGCCATACACATAAGGTATAATGCATTTTATGAAACTCATGGAATTTGAAATTTTTTAAATTATAAAATGTATAGACATTCAGATTGTTAAGAGCAAGGACTTTACTAGTCTTATCTACTTACTAGCTTTGTTATTCAGAGTAAGTTATTTACTGGATACACTAATGTTTTATATCTGAAAAAAATGGGCTTATCTGATCTCTCTAACTTGTGAAAGAAATTCCCAAAAATGGATTATGAAAAAAATGAAAATAAAAACTGTGAGTCTCAGGGTATGGCGTTGCATATCCAACTCACAGAAACAGCCCTTGCCTTAATGTCCTTCACATAAAACTGATTACTTTTATCCACCAAGTTCTTTTTTAAAAAAAAAATTTTTGGCAAAATTCACATAACATTTACCACCTTAATAATTTTTAAGTATACAGTTCAGTCGTATTAAATACATTAATGATGTTGTACGATGACCACCACTATCTATCTCCAGAGCTCTTTTCGTCTTGTGAAACTGAAACTCTGCATCCATGAAACAATAACTTCTGATCTACCCCTCCCCAGAGTACTACGACACTGTATGCATATGACACATTTTCCTTATCCATTTATTCGTCACTGGATGCGCGTTGCTTCTCTATTTTAGCCATTGTGAATAATGCTGCGATGTCTGCTAAACTCTTTTTAAACTGCCTTAATAAAAGATACTAGTTGGCCGGGCGCAGTAGCTCACATCGGTAATCCCAGCATTTTCAGAGGCCGAAGGGGGTGGATCACCTGAGGTTGGGAGTTTGAGACAAGCCTGACCAACATGGAGAAACCCTGTCTCTACTAAAAATACAAAATTAGCTGGGCGTTGTGGCACCTGCCTGTAATCCCAGCTATTCGTGAGGCTGAGGCAGGAGAATCGCTTAAACCAAGTTGGCGGAGGTTGCGGTGAGCCGAGATCGCACCATTGCACTCCAGCCTGGACAACAGGAGTGAAACACTGTCTCAGAAAAAAAAAAAAAAATCCTAGTTCTATAAAATACTTGGGTAACTAGTAAGGTTTGTCTTCTTAGCCAGGCTTCCTCATGTTGTGGAGTCTTTGTCCACTGTTGTCTTTGGTACACAAAGTCCTTCCCATGGGTATTTAGTATCCAGAGCACTGATGTGCTTTCTCCCTTTCAGTTTGAAGCTTTACTGGATTCATCAAATTAGACTACTGAGTCATAAAACTCACCATGCTTTTTCTTCCTCCCATGTATCCTGAATCTCAAATTTAATAAGATTTAATCATACTGAAGTTGCCTTCAGGAGGAAGATCCTAGTAAAAAGTACTGGATCCAGTCCCTAGAAAACGGGGATGTTTGGATCATAGTCATAGTCCTTCACAAATAATACTCAATTATAAAATGGAAAATTGTAAAATACATGCACTAGCAATCTGTAGTGTCTCTTTCCCCACTGGCATGAATATCAGTTAGGACTTGGCTATAAGTAACAGAAACTAACTCTGGCTAACTTAAGCAAATTAAAAATAAATAAATAAATCTGAATACAAGAAAAACCTGAGCAGTCAGACCTCTGAAAAGACGTTAAGTGGGCTGCTGTGAATATCAAATTTGCAGGAAGCAGAGTACAGTCTCTTCATGGTGCTAGAGTTGAGATGGATCCCCGCCAACCATTTCCTGTCCTTGTATCATTCATGAAAGATTCAGATGCCCAGGAGACAGTCTGGCTGGCCTGTTTAGGGTCATGTGCCTATCCTTTGGTCAGAGGAGAGCAGGATATCTTGAACGAATATCATGAAAAGATCATACACGTTGGGCAAAGTGTCATTTGTCAAAGGTAAATTAAAATGCTGTTACCAAAAGGAGGAATGGCTGCTGGGCAGGCAAAAACAACAGATGTCCACTGTAGCAGGTCTATTTGGTGTATCTTTGATGAGCCAAAAGACCAGAAATCACACAAAGACACACACACACAAACACACAATTGTGTATTAATTGCTACAATAAGTCTACCTCAGAGTTGACTTTGCTTGGTTCTCTTCTTGCTTTTTAAAAAGTGCCTTTCTACAATTTCATTCCTTTTGCGCAGTTTTCCACAAAACGTTTTTGCTACAGCTAGGGTATTTTTAATAAATATAGTCAGCTGAGCACGCAATCCTCCTCCATTCCTCTTATTGAATAAATATCAAACAGTGTCAGAGAGAGAAGTATTATGCACATTTATGATAAAAATTGCTTCAAATTACTTGCATTATTTTTAGTTGGAGGAAAAAATGAAGTATTTTTGTTAAGCAGTGATCTACTTTTATTGTCATATTCCACCCTCAAGACATATCATATATCTTTTCTCTAATGAAGTGTTTTCTAGAAAGTAGAATATAGTCCTCCGTTTCTAATCTTCAGATGCCAGAGATTGCTATGGTAACCTCGGTTTTCTTGATTTATAAGTCTCTTCCTTTGTGAAATAAGTAATTTCAGTTTAATTTACTAATGGATTTTACTCAATCTACAATAACAAATAAGTCCAACCACACCCCTTTTTATTAAAAACCTGTAATTGGCATTTTGCAAATGAAAAGGTTGTTTCTCAAAGACCCTGAAATATATAGTAGGAGAGACAAGAAAATGTGAATAAAGTAACATTTCAAAGTCAAAATAAAGTAGCACCTTCAACAGCAATTTCTTTTTTTTAAAAAAGCACTTATCTTAGCAGATCAAAAGATAAGCTTGGAATAATAATCAGGATACAAAAAAAAAATAACCAAATGAAACTCCCAAATACATGAAGCACTGTACTCAAGAATGCATCTATTTATTTATTCTTTGTTGTGAAAAATCCTGGAATGTAGATTCAAATAGACAGATCCAAATGGTATTTTGACACATAACATCAGGCCTAAATGTGCCCTAGTTTACCTCAGTTCCTGCTTCATTTATACTGGATTCAATGTTGGATCCAAACAACTACAGAAAATTTTAACTTGAAACAAAGTGAATCGTCCTAACAAATCTAGTTGTCTGTTATTTGGCTTCATGTTTATCCCCTTTGCAAAATCAATAGGGGGGTTTAGTGGAAAGAGAATTGGACCAAGAATCAGATTTTAATCTGTTTTGGAAGCTCTACCATCTATGTGCTGTGGGTCCTTAGGCAAGTCATGTAACCACCTTGGGTCATCTTTTTTTTGGCTTTTTTTTTGAGACGGAGTCTCGTTCTGTCGCCAGGCTGGAGTGCAATGGCACAATCTCGGCTCACTGCAACCTCCACCTCCTGGGTTCAAGCGATTCTCCTGTTTCAGCTTCCCAAATAGCTTGGACTACAGATGCGCACCACCATGCCCAGCTAATTTTTACATTTTTAGTAGAGACAGGGTTTCACCATGTTGGCCAGGATGGTCTCGATCTCCTGACTTCATGATCTGCCCGCCTCGGCCTCCCAAAGTGCTGGGATTACAGATGTGAGCCATCGTGCCCCACCCGAGTCATCTCTTAAGAGACTGTGCTCAGTTTATATCTGATGATGATGTTAGGATTAAATGAGGTAAGAGTGCTAAAGGTTTTGAAATGGATAAAGTTGGACTCAAGTGGAGGGTACTACAATGAACATGGCCAAATCATAGCATCAGCTTCCTAAGCAGGGGGTTAGGGACTCTGGGTCTTCACAGAGCCTTCTACCTCTCATGACTACTCCATATGGTCCTACAGAGGGCAAGAAAGGCCAGAGGGTAGAAGTTCTCCAATTTGATCACAATACAAATACTTTGCAAAATACATGTTGCTCAAACAAAGAATGTGCTACCTAGGGAGATGCTGAGCATCCAATCATAGTCACAAGATTCAGTTTTTTCTTTTGGAAACAGTCTTGCTCTGTTGCCCAGGCTGGAGTGCATGGCGCAATCTCAGCTTACTGCAACCTCTACCTCCCGGGCTAAAGCAATTCTCCTGCCTCAGCCTCCCGAGTAGCTGAGATTACAGGCATGCACCACAACGCCCAGCTATTTTTTTGTATTTTTAGTAGAGAGGGGGTTTCACCATGTTGGCCAGGCTGGTCTCCAACTCCTGACCTCAAATGGTCTGCCTGCCTCGGCCTCCTAAAGTGCTGTGATTACAGGCATCAGCCACTGTGCCCACACACGAGATTCATTTTCTAAGGTTTATTTCATTAATACCTACTTCCTTTCATCTCCCTCAGATTGAACAAAAGTAGATTGCTTCTCCATTTTCTTGTGTGTGTTCTTTCTTTCTTCCTTTATTTTATTTTATTTTATTTTTTTGAGACAAAGTATTGCTCTGTTGCCCGGGCTGGAGTGCAGGTGATACAATCATGGCTCATTGCCACCTTGAACTGCTAGGCTCAAGGGATCTTCCCACCTTAGCGTCCCAAGTAGCTGAGACTACAAGGCACACATCACCCTGCTCACGCCACCCTGCTCATCTAATTAATTTTTATTTTATTTTATTTTTATTTTTTGTAGAGATGGGGTCTTACTGCTCAGGCTGGTCTTGAACTCTTGGGCTCAAGCAGTCTTCCTGCCTAGGCCTCTCAAAGTGCTGGGATTACTAACATTAGCCACCACACTTGGCTGTATTTCCATTTTCAAAACAAGAAGTAAGCCTCTATATTGTATAGTTACCTAGGTCTCAGATGGCAAATTTTTTCTTTTTCCTCCCAACCTGCAGGCATCCTTAAATTTCAACACGTCAGATAAACCCCTTTGGCTTATGTCTATTAAAATTAAAGTGCCTCTTATGTACATCTTAGTTTATAGCATAGTTTAAGCCTAACTTTAGTAAATCTATAGTCCTCCCCAGGGCAGTCCTATTAATAGATATGAGTGGATGGTGAGTTGCTCTGCGTAGCTCTACCTTTTCTCAGAGCGAAGCAGTAAAGATGAGGAGGAAGGCCGGGTGCGGTGGCTCAGCTTGTAATCCCAGCACTTCAGAAGACCAAAGAGAAGGAATCACTTGAGCTCAGGAGTTTGAGACCAGCGTGGGCCACATGGCAAAACTCCGTCTCTACAAAAAATACAAAAATTAGTCAGGTGTGGTGGCACACACCTATAGTCCCAGCTACTTGGGAGGCTAAGGTGGGAGGGTCGCTTGAGCCTGGGAGGCAGAGTTTGCAGTGAGCTGAGATTGCACTACTGCACTCCAGCCTTGGCAACAGAGCAAGAGAGAGAGAGAGGAGAGAGAAGAGAGAGAGAGGAGAGAAGAAAGAAAGAAAGAAAGAAAGAAGGAGAACGAAAGAAAGAAAGAAAAGAAAGAAGAGAGAGAGAGAAAGTAAGAAACTAAGAAAGTTGGAAGAACATGGAACATGGAACTGGGAAACAGAGGTCTTAGTTGGAGTCCAGGTCCTACCCCTGGTCAGCTGTTGGAACCTAACTGAAAATTTCCAGACATATACAACAAAAAATATTCCTAATACTCTCTCAAGATCATAGGCCTGTGCTTTGTGTTTTTTTTTAATAGGGAGTTTTGCTCTTGTTGCCCAGGCTGGAGTGCAATGCTGTGATCTCGGCTCACTGCAACCTCTGCCTCCCAGGTTCAAGTGATTCTCCTGCCTCAGCCACTCGAGTGGCTGGGATTACAGGCACATGCCACCATGCCCTGAGAATTTTGTATTTTTAGTAGAGATGGGGCTTCACCATGTTGGCCAGGCTGGTCTCAAACTCCTGACCTCAGGTGATCCGCCCACCTCAGCCTCCCAAAGTTCTGGGATTACAGGTGTGAGCCACCGCACCTGGCCGCATTTGCTGATTTTCCTTTTTTTTTTTTTCTTTGAGACGGAGTCTCGCTCTGTCGCCCCAGGCTGGAATGCAGTGGCACCATCTCGGCTCACTGCAAGCTCCACCTCCTGGGTTCACTCCATTCTCCTGCCTCAGCCTCCCAAGTAGCTGGGACTACAGGCGCCTGCCACCAGGCCCAGCTAATTTTTTTTTGTATTTATTTAGTAGAGACAGGGTTTCACCGTGTTAGCCAGGATGGTCTCCATCTCCTGACCTCGTGATCCTCTCACCTTGGTCTCCCAAAGTGCTGGGATTACAGGCGTGAGCCACTGTGCCTGGCCCATTTGCTCAATTTCTAACTGAGACTGAAGAATAATTGATGATTTTGCATGTTTTTATTCTTAATTTGTTTCTTCATCTGCTATAAGAGATACTTTATTTTTCTGTTTTATAATAATACATGTTTATCATGAAAATTTTGGAAAATATAAAGACTGCAAAGAAAGAAGAAAAAATTTCACTGATTCCACTCTTTGCATTCTTTCCCATGGTTATGTGCAGGCATACCTCAGAGATATTACAGGTTTGGTTCAAGGGCACTGCAATAATGCTAATATCTTCCTAAAGTGAGTCACACACATTTTTTTGGCTTCTCAGTACTTACAAAAGTTATGTTTACATTACAATGTACTCTATGAACTGTGCAATTGCATATTGTCTTAAAAAACCCAATGTACATACCTTCATTTAAAAAACTCTATTGCTAAAAAAATGCTAAGCTGAGCATTCAGTGAGATGAAATATTTTTGCTGGTGGATAGTCTTGCCTTGATATTGATGGCTGCTGATTGATCAGGGTGGTAGTTAATGAAGGTTGGTTTGGCTGTGGCAATTAAGGCAACGATGAAGTTTGCCACATCGATTTACTCTTTCACTAAAGTTTTCTCTGTAGCATGCGATGCTGTTTGAAAACATGTGAACCATGGTAGAACTTCTTTCAAAATTGGAGTCAAGCCTCTCAAACCCTGTCACTGCTTTATCAACTAAGTTTACATAGTATTCTAAATCCTTCCTTGTCATTCCAATAGTGTTCACCGCATTTTCACAAGGGATAGATTCCATCTCAAGAAACTACTTTCTTTTTTTTGTTTGTTTGTTTTTTTGAGATGGAATCTCTTTCTGTCGCCCAGGCTAGAGTACAGTGGTGCAATCTCGGCTCACTGCAACTTCCGCCTCCCGGGTTCAAGCAATTCTCCATCCTCAGCCTCCCGAGTAGCTGGGATTACAGGTGCCTGCCACCTGTAATTAGCGCGCCCGGCTAATTTTTTTATTTTTAGTAGAGACAGGGTTTCACCATCTTGTCCAGGCTGGTCTCAAACTCCTGACCTCATGATCTACCCACCTTGGCCTCCCAAAATGCTGGGATTATAGGCATGAGCCACCACACCTGGCCAAGAAACTACTTTCTTTGTTCATCTATGAGAAGCAACTCCTTATCTGTTCAAGTATTACCAAGAGATTGCTGCAATTCAGTACATCTTCAGGTGCCACTTCTAATTCTAGTTATCTTGCTAATTCTACCACATCTGCAGTTCCTTCCTTCACTGAAGCCTTGAATCCCTCAAAGGTATCCATAAGGGTTGGATCAACTTCTTCCAACCTCCTGTGAATGTTTATATTTTGCCCACCTCCCATGAATTGCAGATGTTCTTTTTCTTTTCTTTTTTTGAAACCGAGTTTTGCTCTTGTTGCCCAGCCTGGAGTGCAATGGTGCGATCTCAGCTCACCACATGTCCACCTACCGGGTTCAAGCGATTCTCCTGCCTCAGCCTCCAGAGTAGCTGGGATTATAGGCATGCGCCATCACACCCGGCTAATTTTGTATTTTTAGTAGAGACGGGGTTTCTCCATGTTGGTCAGGCTGGTCTCGAACTCCCAACCTCAGTTGATCTGCCCACCTCGGCCTCCCAAAGTGCTGGGATTACAGGCGTGAGCCACCGCACCCCGCCGAATTGCAGATGTTCTTAATGACATCTAGAATGGTGAATGCTTTTCAGAGGTTTTCAATTTTCTTTGCCCAGATACATCAGAGAAATAACAATCTATGGGAGCTATAGCCTCACAAAATGATTTCTCAAATAATAACAATTGAAAGTCAAAATGACACCTTGATCCATAGGCTGTAGAATGAATGTTATGTTAACAGGCATAAAAGAAACATTCATCTCCATGTACATCTCCTTCAGTGCTCCTGGGTGCCCAGGTGCTTTGTCAATGAGCAGTAACATTTTGAAAGGAATCTTTTTATTTTGAGCAGTATGTCTCAACAGTGGCCTTAAAATATTCAGCAAACCATGGTATAAACAGATATGCTGTCATCTAGGCTTTGTTGTTATATTTGGAAAGCCCAGGAAGAGTAGATTTAACATAATTCTTAAGGGCCTTAGGATTTTTGGAATGATAAAGGAACGTTGTTTTCAACTTAAAGTCACCAGCTGCATTAGCCCTTAACAGGAGACCCTGCCTGTCCTTTGAAGCTTTGAAGCCAGGCATTGACTTTTGCTCTCTTGCTATGAATGTCCTAGACGGCAACTTCTTCCAATGGAAGTCGTTTTATCTACACTGAAAATCTGTTGTTTAGTGTAGCCACCTTCATCAATTATCTTAGCTAGATCTGGGAGACTTGCTGCTTCACCTTGTAGTTTTCTGTTATGGAGACAGCTTCTTTCCCTAAACCTCAGGAACCAACCTCTGCTAGCTTCTAAGTTTTCTTCTGCAGCTTCCTCCCCTCTCTCAGACTTTATACAACTGAATAGTGTTAGGGTCTTGTTGTGGATTAGGCTTTAACTTAAGGGAAGGCTGTGGCTTGTTTGATGGTCTATCCAGACCACTCAAACTTTCTCCTTAATCAACAATAGGCTGTTTGCCTTCTTATCATTTGTGTATTCCCTGGAGTAACAGGGAATACACTTAATTTCCTTCAATAATAATAATAATTATTATTTTTTGCATTCACAACTTGGCTGTTTGGTGTGAGAGGCTTAGCTTTCAGCCTATCTCAGCTTCCAACATGCCTTCCTCACTAAGCTGAATCATTCCTAACTTTTGACTTACTGAGAGTCATGCAATTCTTCCTTTCATTTGAACACTTAGAGGCCACTGTAGGATTATTAATTGGCCTTATTTCAATATTATTGTGTCTCAGGGAATAGGGAGGCCTGAGGGGAGGGATAACGGTCTGTCAGTGGAGCAGTCAAAATACAAAAAACATGTGTCAATTAAGTTTCTCATCTTATATAGGCATGGTTTGTAGTGTCCCAAAACAATTACAATAGTAACATCAAAGATCACAGATCACCATAATCAATATAATAATCATGAAAAAGTTTAAAATACTGTAAGAATTACGAAAATGTCCCCAGAGACACAAAATGAGCACATGCTGCTGAAAATGTGCATGATGCGGGGTTGACACAAATCTTCAATTTCTGGAAAACACAGTATCTGTGAAGCACAATAAACAAAGTGCAATAAAAAGATGTATGCCTGGCCCAGCCCGGTGGCTCACGCCTGTAATGCCAACACTTTGGGAGGCTGAGGAGGGCAGATCACAAGGTCAAGAGTTCGAGACCATCCTGGCTAACACGGTGAAACTCCGTCTCTACTAAAAATACAAAAAATTAGCCGGGCATGGTGGCAGGAGCCTGTAATCCCAGCTACTCTGGAGACTGAGACAGGAGAATCGCTTAAACCCAGGAGGCAGAGGTTGCAGTGAGCCAAGATCACGCCATTGCACTCCAGCCTGGGTGACAGAGTAAGACTCTGTCTCAAAAAAAAAAAAAAAAAAAAAAAAAAAAGAGGTATGCCTGTACGTATGATCATGTATATAATAATATGTAGTGTGTGTATCCTGAGTTTTTTTCTCTTAACATTACATTGGACATATTTTCCATGTCTTTTACTATTCTTAGAAAACATGAGCTTAATAGTGCCTTAAAATTTCACCCTATGCCTCTGTCAAATTTATTTATGACTATCCCAAAGTTTGCGTTCTTAACAAAATATTCTAGAAATAAAATCTGTTATAAAAAATCAAGTGAAACAGAAGTTTAAACAGAAAATTGTGAAAGTCCCATTTACTCCTCATTGTCTTGATCCCCTATCCAGAGATATTCTCCCTAGCATTTTTCTCTGTATCCTGGCAGAACTTTTCTGTGTGTTCTCAACAGCACTTTCTATATTCTTGCTACCCTAGACCCAAAACATCAATATTCAGAATCTCAGGTTCCACCTTAGGCCTACTCCATCAGAATCTGCATTTTCACACGATAGCAAGTCATTGGGACACATCAGAAAGACTGAGAAAGTGGACCAGGCACAGTGGCTCACACCTGTAATCCCAGCACTTTGTGAGACCAGCCTGTTGCCTGTTTTGTGTGGCATGCCAACTAAGAACAGTATTTACAGTTTTCAACAGTTGAAAACAAATCAAAGAATATTAATATTTAGTGACACATGAAAATCACATGAAAATCAAAGTTGTACGTCCATAAATAAAGCGTTTTGTACGTTTGTTTGTTTTTGAGACAGAGTCTTGCTCTGCCAGCCAGGCTGGAGTGCAGTGGCACCATCTTGGCTCACTGCAACTTCAGCCTCCCGAGTTCAGGCAGTTCTCTGCCTCAGCCTCCTGAGTGGCTGGGATTACAGGCGCCCGCCACCACACCTGGCTAATTTTTTGTATTTTTAGTAGAGACGGGGTTTCACCATCTTGGCCAGGATGGTCTTGAACTCCTCACCTCGTGATCCGCCTGCCTCAGCCTCCCAAAGTGCTGGGACATGGGCCACTGCGCCCAGCCAAATAAAGTTTTTAACGGAACCTAGCCATGCTTATTTGTTTATGTATTAGCTATGGCTGCTCTTTTGACTTCAATGGCACAGTTGAGTAGTACAGCAGAGACTACATGGCCTGCAGAGTCTAAAATATTTAATATCTGGCCCTCTATAGAAAAAGGGTTTGCCAACCTTTGGTCAATTTAGCAGAGTATCTAAGGGCAGGGAACATATAACTTAATCACTATAGTATATAACTATATGATAAAAGCAACTCAAAACTAAACAAGCTAACTATTTCTGAAACTGTATGTCTGTCTATTATAAATCATCATCAAAATGTTTCCAAAAATCACTTACCATTTGGTAACTTGTCCTGTTTATTTTTGCCTGTTTATTATCTGTCTCCCCATACTATAACTTTCAAAAGGGTAGAAACCACCTTGTTTCCTGAAGTCACATATTACAACACTCAATAAATAGCCCAAGATTATGAGCTAATTAAATGAAATAAACTTCAAATATTTTCTGCTAGAAATGGGATTGTTGCCATCTTTTCTTAGAAGAATGTTAATGAGGCCGGGCTCAGTGGCTCAAGCCTGTAATCCCAGCACTTTGGGAGGCCGAGGAGGGCAGATCACTTGAGGTCAGGAGTTCAAAACCAGCCTGTCCAACATGGTGAAACCCCGTGTCTACTAAAAATACAAAAAGAAATAGCCAGGTATGGTGTTGGGCATCTGTAATCCCAGCTACTTGGGAGGCTGAGGCAGGAGAATTGCTTGAACTCAGGAGGCGGAGGTTGCAGTGAGCTGAGATCGTGCCGTTGCACTCCAGCCTGAGCGACAAGAGCGAGACTCCGTCCGAAAAAAAAAGGGACGTTCATGGAAAATTTAGAGAAGAGATGCCAGTGGTCATTCCTTTATTTGTATTAAAAAAATAAATATTGTGTTTGGTTGGTACATTAGAAAATATGGCAGCGCAAAATTAAGAAACATGCTAAATTGCAACAAAAGCAAAAGTTGACACTAAAGAGCTTCTGCACAGCAAAAGAAACTATCATCAGAGGGAACAGACAACCTACAGAATGGGAGAAAATTTTTGCAAATCTATCCATCTGACAAAGGTCTAATATCCAGAATCTACAAGGAACCTAAACAAATTCACAAGAAAAAACCCCATTAAAAAGTGGGCAAAGGACAGGAATAGACATTCCTCAAAAGAAGACATTTATGCAGCCAACAATCATATGACAAAAAGCTCAACATCACTGATCATTAGAGAAATGCAAATCAAAACCACAATGAGATACCATCTCATGCCAGTCAGAATGGCGATTATTAACAAGTCAAGAAACAACAGATGCTGGCGAGGCTGTGGAGAAATAGGAACACTTTTATACTGTTGGTGGAAATGTAAATTAATTCAATCATTGTGGAAGACAGTGTGGCGATTCCTCAAAGACCTAGAACCAGAAATACATTTTGACCTAGCAATCCCATTATTTGGTATCTATCCAAAGGAATATAAATCATTCTATTATAAAGATGCATGCATGTGTATGTTCACTGCAGCACCATTCACAATAGCAAAGACATGCAATCAACCCAAATGCCCATCAATATTAGACTGGATAAAGAAAATTTGATACATATATACCATAGAATACTATGCAGCCATAAAAAGAATGAGCTCATGTTCTTTGCAGAGACATGGATGGAGCTGGAAGTCATTATCCTTAGCAAACTAATACGGGAACAGAAAACCAAACACCATATGTTCTCACTTATAAGTGGGTGCTGAACAATGAGAACACATGGACTCAGGGAGGGGAACAACACATACTGGGGGCTATTGGGGGTGGTGGGGGAGGGAAAGCATCAGGAAAAATAGCAAATGCATGCTGGGCTTAATATCTAGGTGATGGGTTGATGGGTGCAGCAAACCACCATAGCACATGTTTACCTGTGTAACAAACCTGCACATTCTGCACATGTATCCTGGAACTTAAAATAAAAAAGAAGCATGCCAAATTTACGCAGCCGTTGACCATCAGAACTCAGATTTCAAAGCACTCAGTATCATTACTTCACATCCCATACTATAGTCACTAAACTCTGAAAGGTGAATAATCTGACCCAAATCACAGAGGGCCATGTAATTGCTTATTATGAAAATATGAAGTTGGCTCAAAAAATCTTCTTGGTTCCCAGAATAATATTGCTGGGTTTTGTCCGTGGGATTGTCGAACACTTTAGTGATAAATTCAAGAGTATAAATCAAGGAAAGACTCTTGTGTTCTAGGAACAGACCTGGCAAAGAGGTGGGAAAACAGATAAACTGTACAGAAAATGAAGAACTGTATCCTAAAGCAAGAAACAATGCTGTGCCAACATTGACTAATCTGATTTTGAAGGGCAACTCTCTATCCAGAGAGTTGAGAACAATTAGTAAGTTTTTTTTTTTTTTTTTTTTTTAATGAAGAAGAATAATTAAGACAAAGGAGATTGACACTCTATGGGCATGAACACGAGGGATTTGAGGACCTGGGTTTTCAGGACTATGGATTTTTCTCTCATTCCTGTCTGATGCCAACATTTCATCAATTTGCTAAGAGTGAGGAGATACTGGCCAGGCGTGGTGGTTCACGCCTGTAATCCCAGCACTTTGGGAGGCTGAGGTGGGCGGATCACCTGAGGTCAGGAGTTCAAGAACAGCCTGGCCAACATGGTGAAACCCCATCTCTACTAAAAATACAAAAATTAGCCAGGCATGATGGCACAAGCCTGTAATTCCAGCTCCTCGGGAGGCTGAGGCAGGAGAATTGCTTGAGCCTGGGAGGCAGAGGTTGCAGTGAGCCAAGATTGTGCCACTGCACTCTAGCCTGGCTGACAGAGCAAGACTCTGTCTCACCGAAAAAAAAAAAAAAAAAAAAAGAAAGAAAAGAAAAAAAAAAAGCAGATACCTTCCATAACCAGCTACTATTTTTTAATTACACAAACACAATTCCAGCTAGGGCAAGGTGTGATGGCTGATGCCTGTAATCCCAGGTAGGAGGCCGAGGTGGGAGGATTGCTTGAGCCTAGGATTTCAATACCGGCCTCGGCAACATGGCAAGACCCTGTGTCTACAAAAAATGTTTTAAAATTAGCCAGGTGTGGTGGTGTGCACATGTGGTCCCAGCTACCCAGGAGGCTGAGGCAGGAGGATCCCTTGAGCCCAGGAGGTTGAGGCTGCAGTGAGCCAAGATCATGCCACTGCACTCTAGCCTGGATGACAGAGCTGTCTCAAAAAAGAAAAAAAAAATCAGGTCAGGAATTCTGCAGTTTTCTCACCTGGATCTCCTGCTTGAGTGAACTCGCTTGTTTGAATTTGGCTACCCCTAAGAGCTTGTTAATCCAATGTGATTTGCACATTGCTTCAGATCTGCAAGGTACTAATATCAGTGTTTTGACTGTCATGTTGAGCCAGAGGAAAATGTTTGTCTGGGGTCACATGAGATGATAAGGCTGACTTTGCTGCTAAAATACAGGGCTTATGATGGGTTCAGGACTTCATGATTCAAGAGTGTTGTTTATCTTGACTGAGGGCATTTTTCTCTGGCAACTGCTGGAGGAGACCAAAACATGTTAGGATCTAACTTTCTTTGCTGCTCAAGTAATTATTTTGTATATGAATTTTCCCTTGTGTGTGAAAACATGGTATGGTATTTCAAATATGTTTTTGTTACACAATAACCCTGAACTTATCATTTTAATGCACTGAATGTTCATTAAACATTTTTATTCACTAAAGATGAAAATATCAGGAAGAAAATAAAAATGTGGGTTTCGTTTATCTAAAAATAATTAGTTATTCCCCAATCCAAAAGGTCACTTTGCAATTTACTAGGGAATATCACTTATAAGTCAGTTCCACGCCATGATATTTCTCAATATATTTTTAATGAAGCTCTTATAAATTGTGGCTTTTTTTCCTTTCCTTTTTCCTTCTTTTCTCCAAGTATCACTCTGCCTCTTTTCTCCCTTGTTACACTTAGAAACAGCTAGTGAAGTTAATTATGTTCAGTGCATGGCACTTTATCACCATTGAGCTGTCCATGGCCCTCTTTTGATTTATTTTTGTTTATCTGTTTTATTTCACCCATTTTATCTGCATTTTCCAATACCATTCTGCTCCCTACCCTTAAAAGGCAACGCTTCTAACAGGTTCATGTATCTTTTGTTTGGTGTAGAGTTGGCAGATTAAATACAGGACTCAGTTAAATTTGAATTTCAGAGAAACTATAAATAATGTTTTAGTATAAGTATGTATCAAATACTGTATGGACTGTGCTTGTAATAATACTTAGCACATACTTATACAAAAAGTTATTCATTGTTACTCTGAAACTCACATATAACTCAGCATCCTGCATTTTTATTTTTTAAGCTCAGCAACCATAGTCTAATATAATCTGTATAATGTTATTTTTGTCTACATATATCTGAATGTATTTAAACAAGTAATGGATAATGTTATGTCTCTCACTTTTATATTTAGACCAACGTTTGTAATCCATCTATCTGTTTGTGTGTCACCCAGTCAATACTACTGTTCTATGTACTGTTCTATGAGGTTTTTGTTGTTGTTGTTGTTTTTGAGACAGGGTCACACTCTGTCACCCAGGCTGGAGTGCAGGCTTGAGACCCCCTGGGCTCAAGCAGTCCTCCTACCTCAGCCCCCCAGGTAGCTGGGACTACAGGCATGTGCCACCATGCCCAGCTAATTTTTGTATATTTTTGCAGAGATAGAATCTCACCATGTTGCCCAGACAGTTTTTGAATTCCTGAGCTCAAATGACCCCCCTCAGCCTCCCAGAGTGCTGCGATTATAGGCATGAGCCGCAATGCCTGGCCTTTTTTATGGGTTCTTTAATGCCTTCGTTGTGCTTCATGGAATACGTCCACCACTGGACACCTGTCTGATGCTCAGAGATAGATACTTGGATTGGAATAGATACTTAATTTCCAATATTGTGATGAGTATGCTTCTAAACATGCCTCATTATTTGGTTGGGAAAATCTTCAGAGCATAAACTCAGCACTGCAATTGCTTGGTGAAAGTATATGTTTGCATTCACACACACACATACAGTATATACATGATGAATATTTATACATATATGCTGCATACTGAATATATATATATACATGTATGCTATATACCGAACATTTATACACTGAATTTGAATAAGAACTGCCCATTGCTCTTCAGAAGAGTGGTAACAATCTCCACCCCACTACCATTTGAAATTTCCAACATTGTAATTTTTTGTTAATTTATTAGAAATAAATTCCACTCATGGAAACTGTTCTTATCCTTTCCCAGCTTTCCTTAGAGCTGCATTCTTTTTGTTGATTTGTAGGAGTGTCTTAATGATTCTAGATATCAGTCCCTTGTCAGGTGTATACATTTCAAAGATCTTCTCTCATTTTATTAACTTTATTCATGGTGCTGTTTTTTTAACAGATTCTTGATTTTGATGTGATCAACTTCATTCCTTTTTAGGTTTTTATGATGTGTGTGTTTGGGGTTTGGATTAAGAAACCTTTTTCTGCTACTAGATTATAAAGATACTATTCTCCAATATCGTCTTTTATTAACCTCTAGCTTTTACCTTCCACACTCGGTCTTTAATTCATCTATTAATAGAAATTCTCTTGGGATATGCTGCCATGGAGGCAGATTCCCAATAGAATCAACTAAATCATCTACTCTTTTTCATTGATTTATGATTATTTGAAATATGTATATTGTATATCAAGTGTCTATCTCTGAATTCTCCTCTTCTATTAGTTTATTTATACATTCTTGGTCCAGTAACACAATGATTTGGCTTTGAAGCATGTCTGACATCTGAGATAGCAAGCTCTTTTTCTTTATTCTTCTTTTTCATTATTGATTTAGCTATGTAATGCCTTTTTACTTTTTCCTTTTAAATGTAGATAAGTTCAACAAGTTTCTCAAAATCTCCAATGAGAACTTTAACTGGGATTGCACTGAGTTAGCTAATTTGAGAATAATTGACATTGTATAATTTTCTATCATCCAAAAGCATGCTGTATCACTCATTTACTTCTCATTATCTTCTTTGTTCTTTATTATAATTTTAAAATGTTTTCCATGGGTGGTATGAGTAGCCTTGCTTAGAGTAATGCCTAGATACTTTCTATTTCTTATTTCTATTGTGAATGGAATCTAAATGTATTAGTCAATTTTCACAAAGAAATACCCGAGACTGGGTAATTTATAAAGGAAAGAGGTTCAGTTCCATATGGCTGGGGAGGCCACGGGAAACTTACAATCATGGCAGAAGAGAAAAAGGCACATCTTACATGGTGGCAGGAGACAGAGAGAGAAGCAAAGGGGGAAGAGCTTCTTATAAAACATCAGATCTCATAAGAACTCACTATCATGAGAACAGCATGGGGAAACTGCCCCCATGATCCAGTCACCTCTGACATGGTCTCTCCCTCTACATGTGAGGATTATGGGAACTGCAATTCAAGATGAGATTTGGGTGGGGACCCAGCCACACCGTATCACTAAGTTATTTTATTTTCTACTAAGTCATTGTTGGTGATAAAATGCCCACTCTTTTTTAATCTAGAAAATTTGCTGAATGTTCTTATTCATTTTAATAGTTTGTCTGTTGATTGATAATATACACTACAAATAATAAGAGCCTCTGTTCTGAAACCTTAATTTCCTAGTTATTTTTCTTTCCTTACAGCACTATTCAGATCTTCCAATACCATGTTAGAGTAGACAATGGATGTGTTTCTCTTGTTTCCAGTTTTAAAAAGAAATCAACTAGAGCTTTTTTATTAAGTAAACTATTTGTTGTTTTAATGTATAATCTTTAACAGAATAAGAAAGTTTCCTTGCAGTCCTTGTTTTCTGAGTTTCTTATTAAATCATTTATAGGTGTTGAACCCTCTCAAATGATTTTTCTGCCTCAATTAGGAAATTTTTTTTTTTTTTTTGAAATGGAGTCTCACTCTGTCGCCCAGGCTGGAGTGCAGTGGTGTGATCTCGGCTCACTGCAACCTCTGCCTCCTGAGTTCAAGCAATTCTTCTGCCTCAGCCTACAGAGTAGCTGGGATTACAGGCGCCCACCACCATGCCTGGTTAATTTTTGCATTTTTAGTAGAGAGAGGGTTTCACCATGTTGGCCAGGCTGGTTTTGAACTCCTGGCCTCGGTGATCCACCCCCCACCTTAGCCTCCCAAAATGCTGGAATTACAGGCATGAGCCACCGCGCCAGGCCCAGAAAATCATTTTTTCCTTAATTTTAATAATGAGATAGCAACTGTTTAAACAAATAAATCCACTGTGATGTCATCAGTGTCCCAAGAGCTGCAGCTGTGCTGTGGGTAGCCAGGAGGGAGCAGGTGATGCAAATGGGATTTGATTTGGTAAAGCTGCAGAGTGGAGAGGCATTTGGACTGAGCCCTTCCAGAAGGGGAGGCATGAGAAAGTTATTTACTCATCTCCACAGCTTAATATAAAGTGGATAGAATCATAGCAGTCTTCCCTTGCATCTTCCTGTGGTTAGCAAAAGAAAGACTATGTAGCAGAGTGGACAAGAGTGTGGGCTTTGAACTGAGAAGAACCTAGATTTGAACCCCAGTCCCACCACTGAAAAGCTGTGTGTCTTGGCAAGTAATTTAACACTTCTAGGTTTCAATTTGTCCACAAATGAAGTAAAATGGGGTTATTGTGATAAATAAATGAAAGGATATAATGCATGTAAAGTGATTGGCACAGTGTCTGGCACATAGTAGGAATGTGATACAGGGCGGTGCACATAGCAGCATCAAAAGCATTCATTCCCTTCAGTCCATGCATCTGCCATGTGTGGTCCTCAGAACAGCAGCATCAGCACCTCCTAGGAACTTGTTAGAAATACAGGTTCCACTGGGCGGGGTGGCTCACGCCTGTAATACCAGCACTTTGGGATGCTGAGGCGGGCAGATCACAAGGTCAGGAGATCGAGACCATCCTGGCTAACACGGTGAAACCCCGTCTCTACTAAAAATACAAAAAAATTAGCTGGGCATGGTGGCGGGTGCCTGTAGTCCCAGCTACTCGGGGGGCTGAGGTGGGAGAATGGCGTGAGCCCAGGAGACGAAGCTTGCAGTGAGCCGAGATCGCACCACTGCACTCCAGCCTGGGCAACAGTGTGAGACTCTGAAGAAAAAAAGAGAGAAAGAGAGAGAGAGAAAGGAAAGGAAGGAAAGAAAGAAAGGAAAGAAAGAAAGAGAGAAAGAAAGGGAAGGAAGGAAGGAAAGAGAGAGAGAGGGAAGGAAGGAAGGAAAGAGAGAGAGAGGGAAGGAAGGAAGGAAAAAGAGAGAAAGAAAGAAAGGGAAAGGAAAGGGAAGGAAGGAAGGAAGGAAGGAAAGAAAGAAAGAAAGAAAGAAAGAAAGAAAGAAAGAAAGAAAGAAAGAAAAGAAAGAAAGAAAGAAAGGAAGGAAGAAAAAAAAGAAAGAAAGAAAGAAAAAGAAAGAGAGAAAAATACAGGTTCCACAGTTCTGTTCCATGATTCTACTGAATCAGCATCTCTGGGGAGGGGAGCCAACTAATTTAATTTTAATAAGCTCTCCAATAAGATTCTAAAGCTATGTTTGAGAAACACGGATTAAGCCGTGTTAGTCTTTCTTCTTACAGGAGCAATCTGAGGTTGAACTATTCTTGCAGTTTGTAATAACAATTCATTAATGTTTTAGATACTCGATCAGATTCAGTTGGCTAGATTTTCTTCAGGTGGGTATCTACGTTCATAAGTAAAAGCATATATGTAACTTAAATTTCTTCTGTACTTTCTCCTGGTATTGCAAACAACATCACATTTAGCCACATAAACTAAGTTGGACAACTTTTGCCTGTTTTTTTTTAACTGGGGATAGAAAAATACCTTAAAATAAAAATTAACTTTCTTGAAAGTTGCCTAGAACTTGCCTGTAGAGCCATATGGGTCTGATGTTTTCTGGAAAGAGGAATCTTTTATTACCATTTCAAATTTTAAATATGCTATTTCCTGGTTCATTCCACTTTCCATCAATTCTGGTATTTTAGATATTTCTGAGAATTTATACATTTAAAATATAAATTTATGTTTTAAATATAATAGGTGAGAAGAGTTTATAATAATCTAACTTATTAAAAAAATATGTTTTTTCTGTAGTTCTCTTCTTTATTGTGTTCTTAGATTGTCCACAAAATGTCCCTACCTCCTTCCTTCATTCTTTCACCCCTCTTCTCTCATTCCCCTCCAGTCCTCTTCGGCTCCCCCCACCAACCACTTTTGGCAAGACTGAAATCTTTTTAAAAGGTCAAATTTTGTTTTCACTCATCTTTATTATGTCATATGCATAGAGGTAATATCATCTTGCACAAATATTCTTAAACAAGCCTAAAACATCTTTTTTTTTTTTTTTTTTTTTTTATCTTGAGACGGAGTGTCAGGCCTCTGAGCCCAAGCTAAGCCATCATATCCCCTGTGACCTGCAAGTACACATCCAGATGGCGGGTTCCTGCCTTAACTGATGACATTCCACCACAAAAGAAGTGAAAATGGCCTGTTCCTGCCTTAAATGATGACATTACCTTGTGAAATTCCTTCTCCTGGCTCATCCTGGCTCAAAAGCTCCCCCACTGAGCACCTTGTGACCCCCATCCCTGCCCGCCAGAGAACAACCCCCCTCTTTCCTTTACCTACCCACATCTTATAAAACGGCCCCACCCCTATCTCCCTTTGCTGACTCTTTTCAGACTCAGCCCATCTGCACCCAGGTGAAATAAACAGCCTTATTGCTCACACAAAGCCTGTTTGGTGGTCTCTTCACATGGACGCGAGTGAAATTTGGTGCCGTGACTCAGATCGGGGGACCTCCCTTGGGAGATCAATCCCCTGTCCTCCTGCTCTTTGCTCCATGAGAAAGATCCACCTACGACCTCAGGTCCTCAGACCAACCAGCCCAAGGAACATCTCACCAATTTTAAATCTGGTAAGCAGCCTTTTTTTACTCTCTTCTCCAACCTCTCACTCTCCCTCAACCTCTTTCTCCTTTCAATCTTGGCACCACACTTCAATCTCTCCCTTCTCTTAATTTCAGTTCCTTTCCTTTTCTCGTAGAGACAGGAGACGCGTTTTATCCGTGGACCCAAAACTCCAGCACCAGTCACGGACACGGGAAGACAGTCTTCCTTCGGTGTTTAATCACGCAGGGATGCCTGCCTGATTATTTACCCACATTTCAGAGGTGTCTGCCCACTCGGGGACGCCTGCCTTGGTCCTTCCCCCTTAGCAGCAAGTACCGCTTTTCTGGGAGGCAAGAACCCCCCTGACTCCTTCTCTCCATGTCTCTACCCCTTCTCCGCTTTTCTGGGGGGCAAGAACCCCCCAACCCCTTTTCTCCATGTCTCTACTCCTTCTCCACTTTCCTGGGGGGCAAGTATCCCCACCCCATCTCTCCATGTCTCTACTCTCTCTTTTCTCTGGGCTTGCCTCCTTCACTATGGGCAGCCTTCCACCCTCCATTCCTCCTTGTACTCCCTTAGCCTGTGTTCTCAAGAACTTAAAACCTCTTCAACTCATAGCTGACCTAAACCTAAACGCCTTATTTTCTTCTACAATGCCGCTTGACCCCAATACAAACTTGACAGTGGTTCCAAATAGCCAGAAAACAGCACTTTTGATTTTTCCATCCTACAGATCTAGATAATTCTTATCATAAAATAGGCAAACGGTCTGAGGTGCCTGGTGTCCAGGCATTCTTTTACACATTGTTCCCTCCCTAGTCTCTGTTCCCAATGTGACTCATCCCAAATCCTCCTTCTTTCCCTCCCACCTGTCCTCTCAGTCCCAACCCCAAGCGTCACTGAGTCTTTCTAATCTTCCTTTTCTGCAGACCCATCTGACTTCTCCCCCCGACCCCAGGTTGCTCCTCGCCAGGTCCCAATTCTTCCTCAGCCTCTGCTCCCCCACCCTATAATCCTTTTATCACCTCCCCTCCTCACACCTGGGCCAGCTTACAGTTTCATTCTGTGACTAGCCCTCCCCAACCTGCCCAGCAATTTCCTCTTAAAAAGGTGGCTGGAGCTAAAGGTATACTCAAGGTTAATACTCCTTTTTCTTTATCCGACCTCTCCCAAAATCAGTTAGCATTTAGGCTCTTTTTCATCAAATATGAAAAACCCAACCCAGTTCATGGCTCATTTGGCAGCAACCTTGAGATGCTTTACAGCCCTAGACCCTAAAAGGTCAAAAGGCCGTGTTATTCTCAATATACATTTTATTACCCAATCTGCTCCTGACATGAAATAAAACTCCAAAAATTAAATTCCGGCCCTCAAACCCCACAACAGGACTTAATTAACCTTGCCTTCAAGGTGTACAATAATAGAGGCAGCCAAGTAGCAATGTATTTCTGAGTTGCAATTCCTTGCCTCCACTGTAAGACAAACCCCAGCCACATCTCCAGCACACAAGAACTCCAAACGCCTGAACCGCAGCTGCCAGGGGTTCCTCCAGAACCTCCTCCCCCAGGAGCTTGCTACACATGCCGGAAATCTGGCCACTGGGCCAAGGAATGCCCACAGCCTGGGATTCCTCCTAACCGTGTCCCATCTGTGTGGGACCCCAATGAAAATCGGACTGTTCAACTCACCTGGCAGCCACTTCCAGAGCCCCTGGAACTCTGGCCCAAGGCTCTCTGACTGATTCCTTCCCAGATCGTCTCTGCTTAGCAGCTGAAGAGTGACACTGCCTGATTGCCTCGGAAGCCTACAGGACCATCACAGATGCTCTGAGTAACTCTTACAGTGGAGGGTAAGTCCGTCCCCTTCTTAATCAATACGGAGGCTACCCACTCCACATTACCTTCTTTTCAAGGGCCTGTTTCCATTGCCTCCATAACTGTTGTGGGTATTGATGGCCAGGCTTCTAAACCTCTTAAAACTCCCCCACTCTAGTGCCAACTTAGACAACATTCTTTTAAGCACTCTTTTTTAGTTATCTCCACCTGCCCAGTTCCCTTATTAGGCCAAGACATTTCAACTAAATTATCTGCTTCCCTGACTGTTCCTGGACTACAGCCACACCTCATTGCTGCCCTTTTCCCCAATTCAGAGCCTCCTTCACATCCTCCTCTCGTATCCCCGCACCTTAACCCACAAGTATAGGATACCTCTACTCCCTCCTTGGTGACTGATCATGCACACCTTACCATCCCATTGAAACCTAATCACCCTTACCCCATTCAATGCCAATATCCCACCCACAGCACGCTTTAAAAGGATTAAAACCTGTTATCACTCTCCTGTCACAGCATGGCCTTTTAAAGCCTATAAACTCTCCTTACAATTCCCCCATTTTACCTGTCCTAAAACCAGACAAGGCTTACAGGTTGGTTCAGGATCTGAGCCTTATCAACCAGATTGTTTTGCCTATCCACCCCGTGCTGCCAAACCCATATACTCTCCTATCCTCAATACCCCTCTCCACAACCCATTATTTTGTTCTGGATCTCTAACATGCTTTCTTTACTATTCCTTTGCACCCTTCATCCCAGCCTCTCTTTGCTTTCACTTGGACTGACCCTGACACCCATCAGGCTCAGCAAATTACCTGGGCTGTACTGCCGCAAGCCTTCACAGACAGCCCCCATTACTTCAGTCAAGCCCAAATTTCTTCCTCATCTGTTACCTATCTTGACATAATTCTCATAAAAACACACGTGCTCTCCCTGCCAATTGTGTCTGACTGATCTCTCAAACCCCGCCTTCTACAAAACAACAACTCCTTTCCTTCCTAGGCATGGTTGGATACTTTTGACTTTAGATACCTGGTTTTGCCATCCTAACAAAACCATTATATAAACTCACAAAAGGAAATCTAGCTGACCCCATAGTTTCTAAATCCTTTCCCCACTCCTCTTTCCATTCCTTGAAGACAGCTTTAGAGACTGCCCCCACCCTAGTTCTCCCTGATTCAGCCGAAGTGCAGGGCTGTGCAGTCGGAATTCTTACACAAGAACCGGGACCGTGCCCTGTAGCCTTGTTGTCCAAACAACTTGCCCTTACTGTTTTGCCTAGCCCTCAAGTCTGCATGCAGCGGCTGCCGCTGCCCTAATACTTTTAGAGGCCCTTAAAATCACAAACTATGCTCAACTCACTCTCTACAGTTCTCATAACTTCCAAAATCTATTTTCTTCCTCACACCTGAACTGCACCCCAAAAACTTGGATAAAGCCCCAAAACTTACCAACCAAGCAAGTAATTACGCTGAACCCCCTTGGGCACTGTCTAATTGAATGTCCTGGGTCCTCCCAATTCTTAATCCTTTTTTTTCCTTCTCTTAATCTGTTTTTCTCCTCTTATTCCCTTTAGTTTTTCAGTTCATACAAAACCATATCCAGGCCATCACCAATAATTCTATATGACAAATGTTTCTTCTAACAACCCCACAATATCACCCCTCACCACAAAATCTTCCTTCAGCTTAATCTCTCCCACTCTAGGTTCCCATTTCGCCCTTAATCCCGCTCCAAGCAGCCCTGAGAAACATCGCCCATTATCTGTCCATGCCACCCCCAAAAAAATTTTCGCTGCCCCAATGCTTTACCACTATTTCGTTTTTTCTTAATATAAGAAGACAGGAATGTCAGGCCTCTGAGCCCAAGCTAAGCCATCATATCCCCTGTGACCTGCACGTACACATCCAGATGGCTGGTTCCTGCCTTAACTGATGACATTCCACCACAAAAGAAGTGAAAATGGCCTGTTCCTGCCTTAACTGATGACATTATCTTGTGAAAGTCCTTCTCCTGGCTCATCCTGGCTCAAAAGCTCCCCCAGTGAGCACCTTGTGACCCCCACCCCTGCCCGCCAGAGAACAACCCCCCTCTTTACCTACCCACATCTTATAAAACGGCCCCACCCCATCTCCCTTTGCTGACTCTCTTTTCAGACTCAGCCCGCCTGCACCCAGGTGAAATAAACAGCCTTGTTGCTCACACACAGCCTGTTTGGTGGTCTCTTCACACAGAGGTGAGTGAAACTGAGTCTCGCTCTGTCACCAGGTGGGAGTGCAGTGGTGAGATATTGGCTCACTGCAACCTCTGCCTACCAGGTTCAAGCGATTCTCCTGCCTCAGCCTCCCCAGTAGCTGGGACTACAGGCCCCTGCCACCACGCTTGTTTTTTTGGTAGAGACAGGGTTTCACCATGTTGGCCAGGATGGTCTCCATCTCTTGACCTCCTGATCCACCCGCCTTGGCTTCCCAAAGTGCTGGGATTACAGGCTTGAGCCACCACACCCAGCCCATCCTCTTTTTTGTCTCAGTCAGGTTAGGTTCTTTAGTGGCTGCTCCCCTATGACACCAGTGCTCAGGACAAATTGTATAGTATTATCTGGTAAATGTTAAGAAGAAATGGACATCTCATAAAGCCAAGAATCTACAAGATAAAAGAAAAGGAGAGGATTCAGTGAGGGATTCAGTAAGGGATTCAGTGCTGCCCCACCCTCTGGTCATCCCACAGAGAGGAATATCAGGGACAAGACCCCACAGGGTGAGTCTAGTTTTCAGGGGCAGCACTGAATCCCTTATTGAGCTTTTTTACAGGGAAAACATGGCTGCCAATTTATCAATGAAAATAGATACCAATTCTGTGGATGCTAGGCATTTTGGATACAGATAATGACTCTTTACACAAATTGTCTGTAATTACATCTCTTCTAATTTTCAGGGTGGGGCCATGTGCCCCATGGGAATCTGAGTTCAGATGCAGTTTCTTCTCCTGGGAGAAAAGATGAATGAGAGGCTGATTCTAGCTGGCTCCTAGGTAACCCGGAGGAAAATCTTGAACAAATCTACTCATTACACCAGTATTTTTTTCTTCGAATTATATTTTGTTAAATATTAAGAGTACTATCCGATATTAGTTTTGGTTCCTATTTACTTGGTCAATATTTTTCATCCTTTATTTTAAATATTTCTGAATCTTTTTGTATTAAGCTTATCCTTATGCAAAAAGCATTGTTTGGGATCATTTTTCTTGTGGTTAAAAATGCAGTCTGAGACTTTGCTGTATTTCTCATTTGTAATTATTTTAATTACTATGACATTTCAGCTGTCTTATTTGACTTTTTACATATTCTCCACATTTTTGCCATCTTCTCCTTTGTTACTTTCCCCTATATAAACAACTTTTGTTCTTCAGATATAAAAATTACATATCATACATTTGTATTCATGATTTCTGCCTTTAATTTAAGACCACATCTAAAGTCTATTTAGTCTTATTAATTTCCCACATTTATCAGTATCTATGTTCTCCTTTATTGTCTATATTTTAGATCTTAATTGTTATAAATATATTTTATCTTTTTCTTTTGATGTACTAAAGCATTTTTTTAAACCGTAAATTGAACCAAATTATTTCATTTCTCTCGTTTCCATATCACTTATCAAATTCTCCTGAACTATTTTTTCTTCTATGAGTACCTTTTTAAAGCATATTTCTAGTATGTGCCTCCATATGAGAAAACTTCTAGGCCCTATATGTCTAAGAATATTGTGTATTATGTCCTTTTTTTTTTTTTAATTTGAGAGGGAGTCTCACTCTGTTGTCCAGGCTGGAGTGCAGTGGCACAATCTCGGCTCACTGCAACCCCTGCCCCTGGGTTCAAGTGATTCTCCATCCTCAGCCTCCCCAGTAGCTGGGACTAGAGGTGTGTGCCACCACGCGAGCCTAATTTTTGTATTTTTTTTTTTAGTAGAGATGGGATTTTACCATGTTGGCCAGGCTGGTTTCAAAATCCTGACCTAAGGTGATCTACTCACCTCAGCCTCCCAAAATGCTGGGATTATAGGCATGAGCCACCGTGCCCAGCCTGTCCTCACATTTGAATGATGATTGGCTAGATGTATCAGTTTTTTTTTTTCCCCTTTAGAGAAACTTAACTTCTTCAACTTCTTGCTTCCAAATTTGCTGTTAAAAAGGCCAATGCCAGTCTAATTTTTATTATTTTGTAGGTGATTTGTTTTTTCTGAAAGTTTATTTACCCTTAACATTCACTATAGTATCACGTTAGCCTTATTTCTTCCAATTTGAGCCTCTTCAATCTGACATCTTTCAACATTTTTTTTAACTCTAGAAAACATATCTTAATTATTTCTTCAGATATTTCCTGTTTTCTTTTTTCTTCCACTTTCTAGGATTTCTATTCTCAGATATTGGTATTTTTATTTTCCAAAATTTCCAGCTACTGAATCCTTTATGTCTTCCACCTTTATTTTGTTCTTGCTGCCTTCTGCAATAGTTCATTCATCTAATCTTCTACTTTTAATCTCTACATATTCTAATATTTGTTCTAACTACTGAGTTATTTCTGACATTTTGCATTCTTGTTGTACCATTTGGCTCTTTTTATGATTTTTTTGTTCATTCTTTACTTTGCAAACATCTTCCTTTACTTGTAAATACATTTATTATGCTTATTTTAAATTCTTTTTTGTATCTTCCAATTATTCTACATCAGATGATATACATTTCACCTTTGTGGCCTTTGTTTGCTAATAACTGTCCTCCTCAAATGTCTTGCTATTTTAGCCTGTGAATTCACATCATGGGGAACCTGCTACTCTGTCTGGAGTCTGTAACAGGAGGGCTGAAAGCTGTGGTTGGTGTGCATCCAGAAGAATATAGAAATATCGAAGGGGAAAAGCCCTTGGGCACAGAGCTCTGAAAACAATAAAAAGATGGCTAAATGCTCCCATTCATTTCCAATCAACCAAGCTCCTCCTCTGATCATTGTTTCACCCTTAACCTTGTGCTGCAGCAGCACTGAGAGGAGACAGGGCTCCTCATCTTCCATTGCTGGGGGCTGGAGGGTGGAGAAGTGAATGGCTGGGTGTGTCTGCCTAGCCTGCAGGTTCTGTGTCCACTCATACCAACATGGCTCTCGCATAGCCCTGATCTTACCTCTGCTCCTTTCCAAAATTGGAGGCCTAGGGTATTGCATCCAATTTCTGAGGAGAAAAGGGCAGCAGCAAAGCTAAAGGGCATCTTACAACCTATGCCCTCACGGCTTCTACCTGAACCTCTGTGCTATACGTTACACATCACCAATTCAAAACTCACTAACTGGCAAAACAGACCTTAGACTCTTCGTGGATCCTCTGGCTTTTCATTTTTCATTCCTCAAATCCATGCTTTCCTCTAGATTTTATAGTTTTCTTAGGGTTGACTTTGGAGGAGGAACCAATACACCCAGGCCAGTCTGACACCTCAACGAGAACCTATTATTATTATTATTATTTGAGACAGAGTCTTGCTCTGTCACCAGGCTGGAGTGCAGTGGCACAATCTCGGCTCACTGCAACCTCCGACTCCCTGGTTCAAGCGATTCTCCTGCCTCAGCCTCCCGAGTAGCTAGGATTACAGGCACGCGCCACTATGCCCAGCTAATTTTTGTATTTTTAGTAGAGATGGGGTTTCACCATGTTGGCCAGGATGGTCTCGATCTCCTGACCTCGTGATCCGCCCGCCTCGGGCTCCCAAAGTGCTGGGATTACAGGCATGAGCAACTGCGCCTGGCCAAGAACCCCTTTAGTGGCATTCTGCCTACAATTCACGTCTATGTCAATTTCAGCCTCTTCTCCAGGTCATATAAAACTTGTGGAGTAAATATTTTCCATGTCTTTTATTAAATGCTCTTAGTTCGTTCTCTCATTTATTTTTCCAACAAATATTTTCAAGCATTAAGACACGCTGGCACTCTGATTAGTGCCAGGGACACAAAGATGAATTAAAGCACAGCACAGACCTTGAAGCATTTAGCTAACCAGTGTTAAAGGACTTCAGGGGAACACACAATAAAATTCCTTTGAAACTACCACATATTTGAATTATGGTGATGATTAGAATGTATTCTCTCCCATCCCACATAACTCAAAAAGATTATTTTTAATGAGCTATTATTTCATTTCCCAGGCTTTATTTCTCATTGTTTAATTCTTTTAAAATAGCATTTCACATTATTGAGGGGGAGGGTTAGTTCATCTGCTGATTGCTGTACCTTCTGGGATCCCTTCTGTTTCCTAAGGCTGAGGCAAAACCCGAATTTACTAATGAACTGCCAAAAATTTCATCTCACAAATTCCTACTCATATGCCATTACTGTAGAGGCTTTGTAGTTATTACAGTGATGAGTTTATAGCCTGGAAACTAGGACAGTGCCGTTACAACTAATTCATTACCTACACTTTACACATTTTAAAGAGGAAAAAAGGGTGTGTGTGTGTGAGAGAAAGAGTGAGAGTGAGATAGAGTTGTATGTGTTTTCTCATTTAACATTGGACTCCACTGTACAAGGCAATAAAGGATTAATAAGGTTATTTCATCCTAGGCACTGTGAAAGTGCTGAAGATATAGCTATTGTGGCAACTTTGTAATGGAGCAACTTAGCTGCTCTGAACTACATTTCCCAGAATTCCATTTTCTAGATATTCCTGGTTAGGGTGGGCTACCACAGACATATCTTGTGGGAGATGTTGCGGGGTGGAAGTGGAGCAACAGACATTTTGTAACTCACAAATATTGTTAAGAATCTGCTAACTTACCGCAATGATGTGAGTTAGCAGGTGGGCCTGGGCTCCACCTTCCCCTGGATCTTCCTTAAACTTCTTTGACTCAGAAACCAAAAATGTGGGTCCAGCTCCATGAAAAAGCACCCTGGTTTCTGCAGGACATCCACACCATGAAAGTCAGAGGAAACAAGAACTGACATGGGCTTCAGGTCATACGTGTGGAGTTTTAGCTCATGCCATGGGCCCTGGACTCCTTTTCACCTCTACCATTTGACAGCCATCTTTTCTTCCTTGCCTGCCTGCCTGTGGGCTTTAAGTTCCAGTATCAGACATGAAGAAAGAGCCCTACAGAGACTTCTTCACCAGCTCCCACATGACACAATGTCAAATGCCTATAGTAAAACCCTTAGTATCACATGTAAGTATTGTCTAAGTGGTTCCGCTTCTCTGATTGAACCCTGACTGACAGAGCTGTCAACAAAAAATAAATTCTAATTTCTATCCTCATTGAGTTTATGATTTAGACGGGGAGGAATATATTTTCAAAATATTACATCACAGTTAATTCATTACAACTCTGAGATGTCCTGTGAACAAAAATTAAGAGTGACAGGAGAAGCCGGGCGCGGTGGCTCAAGCCTGTAATCCCAGCACTTTGGGAGGCCAAGGCGGGTGGATCACGAGGTCAGGAGATCGAGACCATCCTGGCTACCACGGTGAAACCCCGTCTCTACTAAAAATACAAAAAAATTAGCCGGGCGTGGTGGCGGGCACCTGTAGTCCCAGCTACTCGGGGGGCTGAGGCAGGAGAATGGCGTGAACCCGGGAGGTGGACCTTGCAGTGAGCCGAGATCGCGCCACTGCACTCCAGCCTGGGTGACAGAGCGAGGCTCTGTCTCAAAAAAAAAAAAAAAAGAGTGGCAGGACAGTTTCTCATCAGGAGTCTTCTAGAGAGAGTTTGAGAAGGCTTATGGAGCAGAGAATGTGTTCCATTTTATCAAGATTCTCCTGGTTCCCATTTTACCTCTTTTGTAAATGCTCCTGGCTTCAATGTCCTTTTATTTCCAGAAATAGCAACTCTTGCAATGGAGAACTGCTCTTGGGCTATTGAAATGTGCTTTGTCTCCATGAGGAGAACCTGAAGCTTGGTCCACAAGATGTATCTGTCTCCAAAATTACCTGCTTTTGCGGTCCAAAAAAGAACCCCCAACTGTTTCTTTCTTAGTAGCTTTCCTTGCCCAGTGACTCTTATGGACAGAATTAAAGTGGATGATAATAAGCAGTTTTTTCACTTAGAATTTAACATTGAGACATTATTAGTTAAATATATGTTCAATGATTTAATAGAGGTCTAATCCATTTTAGGAGTGTTTATTCTATTCAACATTATCAAAACTAATCTGACCCTTCTCCAAAACTACATTGCCAGCCAAAAAAAAGAATAAAGCCAAAAACTGGTAACTTAGTAAGAAACACTTTGACACCGTGGCCAACCTTCCTGGTTCCTTAGCCTCTTGATTTCTCTCCAGTCTATTCCCTTCTTCATCTCTTTCTTTCAATCATCTTTATGACTCACCTAGTTGAGAACCATATCATCTCTTGTCTGGACTTCCAATTGTTACTAAACTTTTCTGCATACAGTCTTCCCACTTTCATTTCAACATTCACTGTGTCTCAGAAGAAACTTGCATGCCAGTGTGGCCATGGAAGTATCCAGCTCAAAACACCTTAAAGGCTTCTAAGCATTGAGCATTGAGTATTTCAATTTTAGTAAAGTGCTCCTGAAAAAAACCTGTTAAAACACAGATCAATGGTCATCTATAGAACTAGGTGATGAACAATCTCAACTTCTTAGCATGAAGATTAGGTTTAGTTCAAGCACTGTCCAGCTGTCCAGCTCTTCTCTCACATTCTCTTTCACTCTCAGAAAGCTTTAGCCATCTCCTGAGCATATTTTTTTAAATACAGCACCTTGCCCTTGCATATGCTGTTCCTGCTACTCAAAGTGCCCTGTCTTGCCTTGTCAGACTTCTATTGTCAGCTCACATTTTACTGTTGAAGGCTTTCTCAGATGCCCCGAGGCACAACCTTGGCTTTCTCTGGGCTTCTACTGTACCTTTAAAGCAATACTCTTGCCATGGGATATCTTTGTGTGCATGTCTGTTTTCCAAACAGTAGCCTGTAAATGCTTGGGAGCAAGAAACTGTCTTTTTAATTTTTTAAAATTCTCTAACATGTCAGAGATGGTTAAAATATATTTGATGAATGAAGAAAATTAATTACATGTTTATTGCTCCCTGAGGAGCTCAAAGCATCCTGGAAACTGGACTTGTCTGTTGCAAGGTATGTAACACATAGAAAATTATCGCTCTATTGTCCCAAGAGACTTAGCTTTAGTCTCAATGTCTGATGACCCACTCAACAAAGCAAAAACCTTTCAGTTAACCAGAACTTCCTTTCTTGGAATGGGATTGAAGGATCTGCCATTGTTCCCAAAGCATTTACTTCAGGGATCTCACCTGCCCTGCACTCCCAATCCTCAAGCATCTAATTGAATTATTTCTTTCAGAGAGAATTTCTGGAAAATACAATATTATCCATCTCATTGTACCTGTGGTGATATCTTAGTGTCCCTTATAGAGTTGTGCTCTGGAAAACCACCAATTAGCCTCCCCCTTATCTGACTCTGATTCCAATAATGCCCTAAACTTTCAAAAGTAGATTCTCCCCGAAAACACACTCCCACCAAAAATACCCTACGATGTGTTCAAGAACCGTGAGGAATCAGGCAAAACCTACGATATTTCTAGTGAGTCTTCTAGCATAGCAAATCACACTGTGTAAATCTTTCAATCATATCTTATTCTGTAGGAATAATTCAGACCAGATGGTGGTTAACTGTAGCGGGTAGAACTAGGGCAGAAGACGTGAATTTTCTTTTGTCTTTAGGTCATCTCTGTTTCTCAGGCTGTAGACTTTGGACCACCTGCATCTAAATCGACAAGCATGTTTATTAAAATACACTTCCCTAGGCACCACCAGTGAGATACCGTTTCTGCAATCCTAGAGATTGGCTTCAAGAATCTCAGCTTTATTTATTTATTTATTATTTTACTTTGAGAGCAGAACTAGTGCCCATGTCAAAATGCAAATTGGACAAACATTTTATTTGGTGCCCTCTCACCTCTCTCTGGGCAGTCATTGCTACAGTCCTCCCTACAGAATTATCTGCCCACAGGTGCCCACTGATATCTGATACCTACACTGTGGCATCCTACCAGAGCCATATAATGGTGTGCATGTCCAGCTCTTCCTAATTCTTCTGTAATGTGCACTCATTCACATTTCAACCACAGCTAGGACAAATCCACTTTGAATAACTGATTCAATAATACACAGTAGATTGTAAATGGTAAAATGTTTAAATGGATTACATAATTGTTTCTAAATCTCTGATTGATAAAATTAGATGGGGTTGGGAGCCAACTGTCAGAAAACATACAAGAGAATAGCTCTGTGATAACAAAGAAAACAGCCTAAATCTGATGAGAGAAGGAGCCAACATAATTCTGTGTGCTTCTTTCTCTTACTGCCATTTAAAATTCACTGTTCTTTTGAAGTCATTTCTAAAACTACTCTATATTCAAGATGTAAATTAACAGCAAGCTTTCTATTAGAAGACTTATAATTATGTCACTTTCCAAGATAGTTCCATACGTATAAATATATATTATATATTAGAAAACATATTTATTTCAAATACTTAAGGGGCAAAAATGAAGTCATTGCTTTCATTAAAATAATATGTGTGTTATCTTGCTGATGATGTTGACATCTAAGTAACATTACAATATAAGAATTCTGTTAAAAGATTTTACAATAAGAATTTCAGGTGTTAGCTGGAAAAAAATTCCTCCAACTTTCTTCTCAGTCTAAAATGAGGCCCATTTTTATTACAAAATAGTCATTTACATTTATTAGGTGCATAAAAATGACACTAAGTACCCAGAAACTTCCCAGTACAGAGAAAAAAATTGTATTTTTAAAAATTAAGGAGTTAATGTGGTGTTGAGTGTCTTCAGTTATTTCATTTATTTCAGACTGTGTTTATGAGGGTAAATATAATGGAGCACTTTACAATTATCCAGAAAATTTGAGCATTATAGTTAGAAAAAAATCTGATTAATTGATATGGAAGTTTCTTTTTCCCTACAAGTTACTTTGAATAATCCGTGTAATTGCATTACCTCTTTACTTCTTTTGGTTTTTTAGACAGACAATTCCTTAAGGGTGAGACCCATTTCCATATTTCTTTTTTATTAGTCTTGCATATCCTTGTTTGGGACTTTGGATCTTTCGAGGAACTAGCTGACAACACACTAGGATTAGGCAAAACATCAATAGGAAATGTCCTACGAAATCAAGATGTTTCCACATGTTCACAAATATCTGAGTATTTCCATATTAATGTTTTATTTTGGTACTAATTCTCTAAACAAGGATTTGTCAATTTATGAATTAAGATCTTAGTTACAAGTCTAACATGAACATAATCCACTTCCTAGTTTAAGTGTTCATGTTTTCACAGCAATTCTCATTATGTAAAAATTTTGGCTAGGCTGGGCGCGGTGGCTCATGCCTGTAATCCCAGCACTTTGGGAGGCCTAGGCAGGTGGATCACAAGGTCAGGCATTTGAGACTGGCCTGGCCAACATAGTGAAACCCCATCTCTACTAAAAATACAAAAAATTAGCCGGGTGTGGTGGTGGGCACCTGTAATCCCAGCTACTCAAGAGGCTGAGGCAGGAGAATCACTTGAACCTGGGAGGCAGAGGTTGCGGTGAGCTGAGATCGCGCCATTGCACTCCAGCCTGGGCAACAAGAGCGAAACTCCGTAACAAAAAAAAAAAAAAAAAAAAAAAAAAAAAAAGGCTAAACATAGCCCTCCTTATATATAACTAAACAGCAAGCTCATTTGTGTGTGTGTGTGTCTGTGTGTGTGTGTGTGTGTGCGCTTCCTCTAAGGAAAGAGTGGCTAAAATGAACATTCAGAAAAAAAGAAACAAATGATAACAAACATAAAAAGGAGAGTGCCATGGCCTTATTCTAATTAATGACTTTGACAATCATTACTTGCTGTCAAGGGGCATTGGTCAAGGTTCAGTCTTTAGCCCAGGCATTTACCACTCAATATCATACAGCCAAAGTGAAGAACTTTGCCATGTCAATTACCTATTACAAACAAACTATCAAGTCACTTTGAAATAGTTAAACAAATCTATGCATTGATATTTGCTGGCATCTTTATGCTACATTGAACCCACTTGAAGTTTATGCAGTATGAACTTCTCTGCAGATATTTCTGAGATCTTAAAATTGGGAAAGTCTCAAAGGAGATGAGGATTCTGATGTACTGCAGAAATGCTGGGTACTCCTATCAAAACAGTGAAAAACAGAGAAGCGTACTGCCAGTGCCCCAAATTAAGGATGCTTTTTAAACCTTCCATTTCATTAAATTGCATGGCTGGATAGGAAAGTCATGCTAAAATATCATGATTAACACAAAGGAAGCCTAACAGACAATGCTATTATAGGTGAAAGACTGCTAATTGCCATCTTCCCAATAACTTATTGATTTTAATCAAATCTTCCCAGAGCAGCATGCCAGCAGCAAATGGATAATTAGATAGAGGGAAAACACAACAATGGAAGGAGTAATATGGAAGAAATTATTCATGTTTGATTTGTATAAAATTGAACAAATATTCTTGATCAGCATTTATACAAATATAGATTCGTCGGGAAGGTGCTATCTAAATTGCTTCTCTCACAGTGTATTGAAATTACCATAACTGTTAGCATTTTTAATTATTTTGATCTGCTGAAAATAGATTAAACTGAATGGGAAATTGGCTTATTAAGGCTTATATATTTGAGTTAATATGAAATGCTCTCAGCCAGTGTGTCTCGAGAATCTGTCTAAAAGACCCTCACTATGTCTAGTTGACAATGAGACAGGGAGAAGTGGTGGATTTAATCCTCAGAAAGCAAAGTTTTGTTTTGAGGTAGAAGTGAAAAAAAAAATCTTCTCACTCCCTTCATTTCATTAGCAAAACTTAACTACATCTGGTAATGGAAATATTTCATAAATGAGCAACTGGTCTGTTTGATAGATAGAACCAAGTTTTCCTAGGGAAAAAATCTTGCTAGACTAAACTTAACACTTAAAAAAAATGGAGAACCCTTGAAATCCATCTTGTATTACAAGAGCAGTTTCTCTGTGTGAGATTCAATATAGTGTGAAACATTGAAGAGCTCACACTTTGGTCATTCACCTATGATGAAAAAGAAGTACAATGTCGAGTTTCAATTGCAGTCTGTAGGCAGGCCCCGTGGCATCCCACTGACTGTTTGTCTCTTGGGAATGTCTTACTCATCAAATTGTGACACTGGACCCAAAGGTAGATTTCAAATATGAGCATGACTACACTTTTTTTTTTTTTTTTTAAGAAAGAGTATTTAGTTTCCCTTGTAAATCAAATTAATAGCATAAAGATTTAAGTTCCAAAATTATCTTCTTCAACATCTACATATAATTAAGTGTTTTAATAGTGTGGAACAGGGTTTGTCAATATGAACACTATTGACATTTTGGGACTAGATAATTATTTGTTGAAGGCGTGGGGTCTGTCCTGTGCATTTTAGGATGTTTAGCAGCACTGCTCTCCTCTACCTACTACATGCCAGTAGCATTCCCCCAACACACCAATTTATGACAACCAAAATGTCTCTAGATATTGTTAAATGTCCCCTGCTGAGTAAAATCCCCCCTGGTTGAGAATCACTGGATTAGTAGAGGGGATTCTTTAGTTCTCTTTGATAATTATGCATCTCAAACAATTAGCTAGAAAATTTCCATTTCATCCTAAAATGTAGAAGCAGAATAATGAAATTTGTATTATGGATCTGAAGTCTGAGAAGTTTCTCTTTAAATATAGTGTATCCACAAAAACATCTGCATCTAGGTCAGCATTTGAAATTCATGAGATTAACTGACTATATGAAACAGGTAGTAGAAAATAATCACAGTGGGAGTTTGAAAAGGCAAGCAAGTCTGAAGATTAGAAGATGCTACCTTCTGTTTAAGGTTCTAGGGAAATACAGTCTAGTCCAACAGTGGCAAATGGTTTGGAAATAGCTGCCAACTCCAGCTGATTGGTAGTGGCTGATGGAAGCCCTGTATTGAGGAGGATTCTGATGCTGCATCCAGGCTCAGCAGGAAAGAGGACTGTGATGAATTATCAATGTCTACCTTGGACAAGGCAAATGGGAATATCAGGGCTTATCTCAGACATTGTCTCATTCCTTTCTAGTCATTTTAACTGATTTGCTCTCCAAATTATTTCAAGCACCTAATGCGACTGTGGTATGCTGTTTTTGTGCTGCATAAATACATTTAAAAAAGAAAATGAATAAAATGATCATTTAGAAATATTCACTAAGCATATCCTCTTCCTTAGACACTGTTTTAGGCTCTATAGACATGCTATTGAATGAAAAACATAGTTTCAAATATTGAAATGTTAATGTTCCAGTGGTCTGGCCTCCAATGCAAAAGAAACATTAGCCACTCATTTAAAAAACAAAACAAAAAAAAATCAACCACAGGGACTTGACCTCCTAGGAATGTACAGTTTCCTCTAAAATCTGCATAATTCTTTCCATTCTGTGTTATCTAGTATCCTCTTAGTTTCTGAGGTTCCAAGAACCAATATTAGGCCAATTTCCCTTTGCATCTAGCCAGTGGTATGGAGTTGGTGTCTAAGAATGCTTTGCAGGACAAGGGAAATGTATTTTTAGTAGAGACGGGGTTTCACCATGTTAACCAGGATGGTCTTGATCTCCTGACCTCGTGATCCACCCGCCTCGGCCTCCCAAAGTGCTGGGATTACAGGCGTGAGCCACCGTGCCTGGCCGGCAAGTTGTATACTTCTTTAGGGCTGAAAATGGTCACGCATATGATAATGTTTGGGGAATGAGTAAATAGGAAGTAGCCACTCATATGCAGGACATGTCAAACATCCTTTGGAAGGTTCCTCTCCAAATAACAATGTACATTATTATCTCTCCCACAAAATTAAGATATAACCAAAAAGTTTTAAATAACTCCTTTAGATCAATACTAAATACATAATAATTATAAAAATGATTTACGAAATGATTTTCTAGGTACAAGCTACTTCTTTTCTTAAGCCTTTTCATTTCTGTGACTAGGACTAGCAATTGGCTGGTTAGGCCAGTAGCCAGTATTCAGAAAGAAGTTACAGTTTGCTCACTCTTTCCCAGTTGCTGGTCTTATAATGAGAACGAAAATAAGCTCTTCCAAAGTGTGGGTTCTAGACTCCTTCATCAGTCAAGTGACAGTAAGATAACACAGCCTGGAAAGGCTCAATCCAAATTTGTATCTTGGTATAAAAATTGCAAATGGCATGTGCAATTTCGAAATATAATCAAAACTATACATATTAAATCTTTAACTGCTAAGGTTCTGCTGTAGATAAGGTTGACATAAAACTTTGTTGACTTTATTTTTTTTGTATCAGGATTGATCTAATTTCTCTGGTAGATGTAAATAAAGAATGAAACAAATTGAGTGTGTAGCTAAGTTTACTGACTCCCAAGGCAAGGAAAACCTATTCCAATGCAAAGAATAGGATTTGTGGGTTCGGGTTTTCAGATTGTCAGAGGGATATTAACTCAGAAAAGATTAAAGCCTTGGGAATTGACTTGCATGTGGACATAAAAGGGCACAAAAAAACCCTTGTAAAGGTGGCTTCCCAAACCAGTGGCAAGGCAGGGCTTCCAAAGTCAATGGCCACAAAAGTTCACTGGGCCTGTTTAAACAAGTCATTGGCTTATCAGTTTAGGATTGATTGACTGTAGAGGAGTTCAGCACAGACTGATTGCTGAGCCCCAGATCCACTGGCTGAATAGTCAAAAGGTCACTGTGGGGGCTATCTTTTGCCTACTCTGACTAATTATCTGAGAAAAAGTTGTTTTGCTTCCTTCTTGTGGTATCCTGGCCACTTGCTATTTTACACCCTTAAGGCTCAGGATCATGTGAAGATCAAGTTCGCCTGCACAAGTTCAAGGTGCTTTGGAAATATCATTTATTGCCCCCATGGTAATTTGCCATCTGTGGCAGCTTCAAAAGGAATAATATATTTTACAGGGAAAGAAACATATACATATATATATATATACTTTTCACTTAGTGGGAAAATCATTAGAAATAATGAGTGATTTCCTTCATGTGAAGTATTTGTGGCAAGTTGTTCCACATTTCTAGAAAAAGCTAGGGTTAAAACCTGATAGAAAAGACAGAGAATACTCAACATAACCAAACGAGTTCCTCGGTCAAACACCTTGCTGTGCAGAATGGATACCTGTGCAACTCAGCATCGAAAATGAATCCGAAATAAAGTCAAGGACAGAGCCCTTGAGGGGATTTCAAAGGTATAGTTAGACACATATTGCAATTGAACTACTAATATTGGGTAAATGAGGGAATAAAACAGATTACATGATTAGTTATCAGCTTCAAAGATTCGAAGAGAAAAGACTCCCATTTGAAAGAATACTTTGGTCTTTTCCTTCCACAAGAAACATGTTTCATGTCATCCAGACACTAAGTAGATTTCTTTCACAAAAACTGTTACATTATCTGGGTAAACATGTCAATCAAAGACTACAACTAGCAATTTACAGCAATGATGCTAGATTTAACATCTAGAGAACATGATTCCAGTGGGAAATAGTGTTTTTATTTACCTCTTTGTTACTAGAACAATTTTTTAAAAAAGGTTTTTACATAAGGAGCTTTGAAAGGAGAGTATTTATGTTATAACCAAAACAAATCTTTAAAACTTTGAGGTATTTTTATTGGATTGCTTTCTCTTTCAATTTAAGAGATAATTTCTCTAAACTACTATTTACCAAAGTTTTCAGTGTGTCCCAGAACAAACACTTTTTCTTATAATGAAGGTTTGGGAGAAGTGTGACATGATGCGTTATTCTGCTTACAAGTTAAGGTTTAATCATTACTTATTAATTATCTTATTTTCATGAGATTTTTCTCAAACTTAATATTCTATTAAGGTAGCATCTGTTAGAGGAATTATCTTGGTTTTTTAAAGCAAATTTTGCTGATTACCATGAATCTACATAATTAGAATTAGGTCTAATTATGTAGTGTAAATACACGTAATATATTTATAACATATAATGACATAATTATGATTCACAATAATGTTGAAAAACTCCTCCTTAAAATTAGTAAGGAAAATATGCTGCACAATCCCTCTCCAATTTATTACCAATTTTACAATGTATGTTTCTTCTGTAGCTTCTAAACTGGAGCTTTGTAAGAAAATAAAATTAAAAAATATATATACTTTGAAGTTATTCACCCAAAAGAATGTTACCTAACCTTCCTTTGATTTCAAAACTATAAATATTTTGCAACCTTTAAAAAAATACATCTTAAAATGTTAATCCTAATAAGTATACATTTCTAATGCACCTTGAGCCCAATGTTGAATGTCCAGCATATCGAGGAAGAGTTAATGCAAGACAGTTCTCACTTTGTCTTATAAATCATTCATCAAAATGACAGAAAATGTAAGAAAACTGTGCTGAATTGTTGCTCAACTACTACTTGGAAATACAATGAGAAAAATTTGGGCAACACAGCTGCATTTTATATCCTATATTAAGGATACAAAATACATTTCAAAATTATAGGACAAAATCATTTAATTCACAAAACTGAATGATATATATGATTTGCTAGAGCAGGCGTGGCATTTTTCTGTAAAGGATCAGACAGTACATATTTTAGACTTAGAGGGTCATATAGACTGTCACTGCTATTGAAGTCATACTGTTGCAGCTCTAAAGCAGCCATAGACAAACAAATGGGTATGGCTGTGTTCCAGGGGAACTTTATTTACTAAACAGGCAGCGGCTGGATGTGGTTTGGTGTGGCTCCGAGTTTGCTGAGTCCTGCACTGTACCACAGCGGTTGAAAGAATTGATTCTGGAGTTTGTCCTCTATGTTTATATCTTGCTTGCACCATTTAATAACTTTGTGACCTAAGCTAACTTACTTTGGTTTTCTCATTTGTAAAGTGGTGGTAATAACCGCTCCTGTCTCATAAGGTTGTTGTAAGGATAAAAAGAAAACAATTTATGTAAAGCCCTTATTCCTTCGTAGGAGGAATAAATTGGTGTTTATAGATATATAGCATGTATATGTAAAATATTTAGTATTCAACATTGGTTTTTAGATTTTTTATAGCACAATTTTACACATTAAAACTTGAGAAGCATTGGTTTAACTGTTGAAGCAAAAATGTTTATATGATAAATAATTTTTCCAAAGAAGTAAACATCGGCCGGGCGCGGTGGCTCACGCCTGTAATCCCAGCACTTTGGGAGGCCGAGGCGGGTGGATCATGAGGTCAGGAGATCGAGACCATCCTGGCTAACAAGGTGAAAACCCGTCTCTACTAAAAATACAAAAAATTAGCCGGGCGCGGTGGCGGGCGCCTGTAGTCCCAGCTACTCGGGAGGCTGAGGCAGGAGAATGGCGTGAACCCGGGAAGCGGAGCTTGCAGTGAGCCGAGATTGCGCCACTGCAGTCCGCAGTCCGGCCTGGGCAACAGAGCGAGACTCCGTCTCAAAAAAAAAAAAAAAAAAAAGAAGTAAACATCACAATGTTCTGGTAAGTCTGACCTTATACATAAGGCATAAACTATGTAAGTGTACTAAATAAATAATTGTACTGTAGTGCCTCCTTATACGCAGGTGAGTATATCCCAAGACCCCCCAGTGGATGCTTGAAACTGTGGATACTACTGAACCCAGTTGCTGTCCATCAAAACGCATTTATGTTCATGTCTTCATCCATAAATTTAATAACCTTTCTATCTTAACTAAGCACTTGTCACGCACTGTGGCTGTAAGTTTTACAGTTTGAGGTGCGACAGCAAAACTGGGATGAGTTTCTTTTCCTTCTTCACAGTTTCTCGGATAGATTTGTTCTTATCATAGATCTTAGTAACCCTTTTTGACTTTTTTTTCCTTTAAGTTAAGAACTTTCACTTTTCCCTTACGGGAAATACCTTATGGCTTCTCTTTTGCATATCTGAATTGCCACCATCACTGCAGTTGTGCTTTGGAGCCATTACTAGGTAAAATAAGGGTGACTTGAACCCAACTACTGATAACTGAGATGGCTGCTAAGTGACTAATGGGCAGGTAGTGTCTACAGGGTGAGCAAGCAAGACAAAGGAATGATTCACATACAGGAAGGAAAGGAGCAGGATGGGGCAGATGATGCAAGATTTCATCACACTACTCAGAACAGTGTGCAATTGAAAACTTATGAGTTGTTAATTTCTGGACATTTCCATTTAATGTTTTCGGACCGTGGTTAATGTTAACTGGAGTAACTGAAACCATGGAAAGCAAAACCATGGGATTTGGGGATTACTGTATTTAGATAATATATTTACACAGGTATAGCAAAAACTGCTATATACCAGATACAATAAGCATATGATTTTGTTTTCGTGTATAATCAATCAATAAACAACTATTTGGTGCCTAATATGTATAGTCATCAGGCTAGGCAATGGACTTTTTTGCCTTTTTAAAAAAAATGTAGTGGAGAGAGGAAAACAAGGAACAGACAATTAAAATTCAGCGTGATAAACTATTCTAATAGAGTGCACATGTTATATTTTTAGAGGATTTTATGAAATATCTCATAAAATTCTTCTTTGAAGACCATTGAACATTTCCTAAAGGATTTTCATGAATAAATTTTGTCTCACCACTAAAAATGCAACCCTTTTAAGGATAAGGTCTGTGTTTTTACATATATATATATAAAAAAATATCTCTCTCTATAAAATATCTATATATATTATATCTATATATAAATACTATATATGATACTACATGTATAGTATTTCCTAATGTGCTTCTCATGTTTTTATGAACATCCTACTTGCCAAAAATACATTTTTGACTATTAATAAATTAATTTTACTATTAAGTATGCAAGATTGTCACAATTAATTCACCAAACTTTTCTTGATATCTTAGAGTCAATAGTTCAGGTACTGTTATGAGGATAAGTGAGATAACATCTTATAATTTTAAAATGGGGATTCTACCTGCTTTATCTTTCCAAAAAGTTATGAGGAATAACTGCATAATAGTGGGAAAATATAAGCTAATAAATAATTGATGCATAGTCCACACAATGCCATTGAGTATTGACATGGTTTGGATCTGTGTTTGCACCCGAATCTCATGTCGAATTGTAATCCCCAGGGTTGGAGGTGGGGCCTGGTGGGAGGTTATTGGATCATGGATGCTGTAGTTCTTATGAGACCTGGTTGTTGAAAAGTGTGTGGCACCTCCCCCTTTTCTCTCTTCCTTCCACTCCAGCTATGTAAGACCAGCCTGCTTCCCTTTTGGCTTCTGCCATGATTGAAAGTGTCCTGAGGCCTTCCCAGAAGCCATTATGCTTCTTGTACAGCCTGCAGAACTGTGAGCTGATTAAGCCTCTTCATTGGCTGGAAGTGGTGGTTCATGCCTGTAATCCCAGCACTTTGGGAGGCCAAGGCAGGGAGATGACCTGAGGTCAGGAGTTCGAAACCAGCCTGGTCAACATAGTGAAACCCCGGGCATGGTGGTGGGAGTCTGAAATCCCAGCTACTTGGGAGGCTGAGACAGGAGAATCACTTGAACCCGGGAGGCAGAGGTTGCAGTGAGCCAAGATCGTGCCATTGCACTCCAGCCTGGGCGACAAGAGTGAAACTCTGTCTCAAAAACAAAACAAACAAACAAACAACAAAACAAAACCTTTTCATTATAAATTACCCAGTCTCAGGTAATTCTTTATAGCAGTGTGAGAACTAATACGAGTATCTAATAAGTGTTCCATCAAAGAAGAGTAGAGATTGTAGTAGATTGATATTAGCATGAGTGTTGGGAGGTCTAAGTTTGCAGTCCAACTCTAGAAAAATGACTTATCTAAGTGTGGACAAGCCAATTGTCCCTAGGCCTTGGGTTACTCATCTATCAAATAAGTGAGCTTTCCGAATTCTCAAAACTGTGGGATCTATCAGACACAGAATTCCCACTTCCTCCCTGAGCTTCTGATATGCCTGCCCAAGAGTTGGGTGCAGGGAGGAGATGGAGGGCTTGATTTTATATCTTCAGGTTCAGAGTGGTGTTCTTGGTGAGCCCCTATTAATGATGAGCAATATACTTTTGGAGCATGGAACCAGAAAGAAAAGAAACAAAGAACTAGATTATTCCTCAGATCCATTTTGTAGCTACACCAGACCAATTTGGTTCAACTTTTCAAAGTTATGAGTGATCGTTCAGTTGTCACAGACCCTCAGGTCATATAATCCGAGCATGCTCAAATGAAGCAAGTGTGAAACCACAGGGGAACCTAAATGCTTGGGTGAGGAGCTGGCACTCAATTAAGAAATGGACTACACATGGCAGGATCCGGGATCCAATCAGATTGAGTCTGGCGTCACTCCATGGCGAGATCCAGTCAGATCATGACTCTTGACATCATCTCATTGTACTATCCAATCAGATCACCCCTAATTACCTTATGCTTATAAAACCTGACCCAGCCTCCAGCCTGGGGAAGCATTGCTTTGGGAGCTATTCCTGGTGTTCTTCTTACTTGTTGCAAGTAATAAAATCTGCTTGCTAAATCCTCCTTGTTACCACTGGGCTGTCACTCGCCAAGTGACTGGTCCCACCATTGTGTGGGTAACACCTTCAGCTGTGCAGTGGATGAAATTCCAGGGTCTCTCCCTAGACCGTGTTTCCTCTGGACCTTTTTCTATGTTTGGTCTGGACACTTTCCCCCATCTTGCTCTTTCAGTCCTTGGTCTATAGTCCCTTATGTGTTCACAGCAATTCCAGCCGTTTAAATTTTGGTTTTATATGTCTTAGACAGCTTCTGTGACCTAATCACTCATGACTCTATCTCCTCACCAAATATTCTCTTTCCTTTATCCCATTCTCTCAAAGTACTGCTTGGGGGCTCACCCTTATCCAGGAAGCCATTTCCACCTAAAGTATAATATTAAAGTTTAGTAAAGCATTAACCAATTCAGATAATCTGCTTGTATTTTCACAGCAGCTTTCACATTTTCAAGATGAGTCGTAAGTGGTGAATTTATCTACTTACTGTTGGGGAGGGAAGCTGTGAGAGGGAACACATTTTAAGGAAGTGGGATCATTTAGCTCTTCAACATTTACACTTTGAAATTCCTCTAGTAGAAAATACTTTCAGTCCAGGATGCCGTTTGCCTAGTTATTGAAGTATCTTGCCATTCATCCAAGTATGTACTGATGACTAGCAGCAGTGACATTTTTGGAAATGTAGAATCTTAGGCCCCTCCCTAGTCCCACAGAACCAGAATCTGTATTTTAACAAGATCCCCTAATGATGATACTTAGGAACACTGAAGTTTGAGAAGCAATGATATACCACATAGGCAAAAGCTCTCTCCTGTTTGGTTAAATGAATTAGTAACATTGCCTTTACAAGGAGGATGAGATAGATAATGTCTAAACACAACAGGCTGAATCTCATCAACGGACACACAATCTCTCCAGTCAACACTGCACCTCCTGCTCTCTGGGAGAATTCTGTACCATCCATAAACAACTGGGGCAATGGAACACACCAAAAAAGATACATAGAGTTTGTAATCTGTACCTGACTGCTTCTACTCTAAACTTACTTACTCTTTTTTGACTTGTCCTGTTTACCCACATGCCTATGCTCCCTAAGGAGATTAAAGACACTTTTGGGGGAAAAAAGATGTTAAACATCTTTCCTTTCTTCCCATCTCAAACTGCTCCCTCATCCCCTAGTACCTAATATAGTATAGTCTACATATATGGTACTAAAGAAATGTTTGTTGAACTTCTAATAAAGAATCAATAGAGACAATTTTACTATGAAAGATGCATCTTTGACCCACAGGAAACAGAGCAAGGGAAAGACATATACTGCCTTCCCATAGAGCAGAGAACTACAACCTTTGACCTTGCTTTTGTTAATATAGCTTAATAAAGCTTAATTAATCCTCGTGTATTTATGTAGTCTGTGGCTGCTTTTGTGCTACAGTGATGGAGTTGAGGAGTTGGGACAGAGACCAGATGGACCATAGTAACTAAAACATATACTATCTGGACAGATACAGAAAAAGTTAGCCAACCCCCATGACAGAGCTTGGGCTTGGGTTCTTAAAGTCACTCGACACTTGATTGTGTAGGACACCACTGCTGACCTCCTTGGGCTGGTTAACACAGCAAGGATGACCTAAATTGCACAAGGCGAGGATTTAATTGAGGCATGAAAAGTCCTTTCAGGAGAAGCAAAAGTAGCCAGCAGAGAGTCTCCTTCCTGGTCTTTCAAGCCCAGACCCTTTTTCATAGAACATTTAATACAACATTTGAGTAGCACCAAAGTTTAACTTACACTTTGATGATCAAAACGTGTTCTCCTCCCTCATCTTCCTCTAAACGATATGTAATTGAGTAAATTCTGGAAAAGCATTCATACAAAACTTGTTCTGTGAACCTTAAAATTCCCCATTCTGGCCTCCTCTCTGCTCTGCCTTCATGTGTGTGCCCACAAATCTTCTGAACCCCCAGAGGGAAGGAAAAACTCTCTGCGGGACCTCTCTCTCTCGAACTCTGCTTAAATTAAACTTCTATACTCTGAACAGTCATTCAGAATGGCTTGTACCGTCTCACCAGGCAAAGCCTGCTAATATTTTCCTTATATATGAGACCTTTGTCCCCTAAATGTAATTAAAGATTCTTTTGCATTTTCTTGTTTTTGTACACTCTTCTAATTTATCCACCAGAGTTCAATCAGAAAAGTGGATACTTAATATCAAATGTTTAATAAAATGTATTAGTAGCACTTCATTTATATTTCAGTATTTATTATTATTACTATTACTATTCTTTTTTTCTTTTTCTTGAGACAGAGTCTTGCTCTGTCCCTCAGGCTGGAGTGCAGTGGCGTGATCTTGGCTCACTGCAACCTCCGCCTCCTGAGTTCAAGCGATTCTCCTGCCTCAGCCTCCCAAGTAGCTGGGATTACAGGAGCCCACCACCACGCCCAGCTAATTTCTGTATTTTTAGTAGAGAAGGGGTTTCTCCATGTTGGTCAGGCTGGTCTCGAACTCCTGACCTTGTGATCCACCTGCCTCGGCCTCCCAAAGTACTGGGATTATAGGCGTGAGCCACCGTGCCTGGCCATATTATTACTGTTACCATTCTTTTGCTTTGAATATACTACTACTGAACACTATGAGATTTCTAAAATAGGCTTTCTCAGTCAAATTTTTCATTAAAGAAGGTATTTGCTATTTATCAATTGGATGGAGTCAGTAGAACAGGTTAGAGCCAGACTTGTCCCTCTACTTCCAGTCAGTGCCTCTCATCTTTGTCTTTCTTCTCTGGGAGTTAGGATCAAGATCATGGTTGCAATCTCACAACAACTCCCCCAACCCCCTGGAAGAAAAAAACCTTATCTAATTGGGCCAGCTAGAGCAGCCCTTGGCCATTTTTGCTTCTACCTGCCTAAATTTGAAATGTCCTGAGAAGGGCTATTCTAAATGTAAATTTTAAGTCTTTTTCAAATCGTTTGCCTTTCTGTGTCAAGGATTTGCTAAAGAGAGAAAGTGCATTACATGGATATAGATTTCCATGAACATTGCCGATGTTGCTTACATAATTCTTTGTGAGTCACTTTGATTATTTTAAATGTATGTGGACAGATCAAATATAAAGATGGCAGTGGCCCTGAACCCAACTACTTCTTATTGCCTGACAATATGAATGAGCCAGTTTGGTTATTCACCTTTGTTAGAGTTAAATGTGAGTTATAGACCTTCTCACACACTCAGTAACAGGTTACAGTTAAAACAAGTGTCAAGGCAAATTCAGCTCAACATATAGGCATTTATTAGCATGAAAGCATAGGACAGTCATACATCCCAGTGCCAGGCTTCCATCCTTTTAAGTGCTCCAAGAGTGCCCTGAGTAAACCGTATGATTAAGGCAGGTGCTCTCAGCAGGATTTGGCTAACCACAGAGTTAGAAGGCCTAATTAATCAGTAACCTAATAACCTGGGAACACCGTCTACTGTTTTCTCTCAATTCTTAATTTCCTGCAACATCAGGGATCGCCTCTGAAATATTTTACCAGTGCATGTGTCTTGCACATCACAGATTTTCAATGATGTGCTTTTAATCTCTTTTGTTATTTAAAAAGACCCCAGTGTTGTTCCTAGATAAAGACAGCTAAGTTTCATAATAGCTGCCTCTGGACTGTGACCTTTTGTGTGCAATGTGTACACCTGATTAGGACAACTAACTGCCCTGCTATAGTTTGGATGTTTGTCCTCCGAAACGCATGTGGAAATGTGATCCCCAAAGTTGGAGATGGGGCCTAATGGGATGTGTTTGGGTCTTGGGAACGGATCCCTCATGAATGGTTTGGTGCTGTTCTCAGAGTAATGAGGGAGTTCTCACTCTGCTAGCTCCCATGAGCATTCCTCCAAGAACTGGTTATTAAAAAGAAGCTGGCGGCCAGGTGCGGTGGCTCATGCCTGTAATCCCACCACTTTGGGAGACCAAGGTGGGCAGATCACAAGGTCAGGAGTTCGAGACCAGCCTAATCAACATGGTGAAACCCCATCTTTACTAAAAATACAAAAATTAGCTGGGAGTGGTGGCACGCAGGAGGCTGAGGCAGGAGAATCGCTTGAACCCGGGAGGTGAGGTTGCAGTGAGCCAAGATCACACTGCACTCCAGCCTGGGCAACAGAGCGAGACTCCATCTCAAAAAATAAATAAATAAAATAAAAAATAATAAATAATAAATAAAAAAGAAGCTGGCACCTTCCCCCTCTCTTGAATCCCATCTCACCATGTGATCTCTGTATATGATGGTTTCCCTTCACCTTCCTCTGTGAGTGAAAGCAGCCTAAGACGCTCGTCAGAAGCACATACTGGTACCATGCTTCTTATAGAGCCTGAAGAACCATGAGCCAAATTAAAGTTCTTTTTTTTTTGTTTTTTGAGATGGAGTCTCACTCTGTTACCCAGTGGTACAATTTTGGCTCATGGCAACCTCTGTCTCCTGGGTTCAAGCGATTTTCCTGCCGTAGCCTCCCGAGTAGCTGGGATTACAGGCACCTGCCACCACACCCGGCTAATATGTGTATTTTTAGTAGAGATGGGGTTTCACCATGTTGACCAGGCTGGTCAGGAACTCCTGACCTCAAGTGATCCACCCACCTCGGCCTCCCAAAGTGGTGGGATTACAGGCATAAGCCACCGTGCCCGGCCTAAAACTCTTTTCTTTATAAATTACCCAGCCTCAGATATTCCTTTACAGCAACACAATTGGAGTAAGAAAATTGATACTGAGGAGTGGGGCATTGCTATAAAGATACCTGAAAATATGGAAGCAGCTTTGGAACTGGGTAACAGACAGAGATTGGAAGACATTGGAGGGTTCATTCGAAGACAGGAAGAGGAGGGAACATTTGGAACTTCTTAGAGCTTGTTTAAGTGATTGTGACTAAAATGCTAATAAAGACCATAATTATCAGGTCTCAGATGGAAATGAGGAACTTTTTGGAAACTAGAGCAAAGATCATCCTTGTTCCGCCATAGCAAAAAACTTGTCTGTATTGTGTCTATTCCCTAGGGCTATGTGGAAGGCTGAACGTACAAGTGATGACCTAGGGTATATGGCAGAAGAAATAATTTCTTTTATTTTTTCACTCTTGTCGCCCCAGCTGGAGTGCAATGTCGCCGTCTCGGCTCACTGCAACCTCTGCCTCCCGGGTTCAAGTGATTCTCCTGCCTCAGCCTCCCGAGTATCTGAGATTACAGGCATGCACCACCACACCCAGCTAATTTTTTTGTATTTTTAGTAGAGACGGTATTTCACCATGTTGAACAGGCTGGTCTCAAACTCCTGACCTCAGGTGATCCTCCTGCCTCGGCCTCCCAAAGTGCTGGGATTACAGGCAGGAGCCACCGAGCCTGGCCGGCAGAAGAAATTTCTAAACAGCAAAGCGTTCAAGAAGTGACATGATCGCTTTTAACAACCTGCAATCAGATACAGGAGCAATACAATGACCTAAAGTTGAAATTGATAATTAAAAACAAAATAGAGCACAAAAATTTTAAAAATTTGTACCTGGACATGTGACAGAGAAGAAAAGAGCATTTTAAAGTGAGAAATCCAAGAGCGCTGTGGAGAAACCACTTACTAGAGAGATTAGCACAGATAAAAGGGAGATAGGCGATAAGAGTAAAAGAAAGAAAAAAAAAAAAAAAAAGGAAAAAATACCCCAAAGACATTTCAGAAATATTTGAGGTAGGCTCTGCCTAGATACCCTAGGTCAAGGGCTCAAAGGGCCCCCAAGTACTACTCAGGTTGCAACTCTGGAGGGAGCAAGCTGTAAGCCTTGGTGGCTTCAATGTTGTGTTAATTCTGAGGCTGGGAAGAATGCAAGAGTGAGGAAGCTTGGCGGCTTCCACCTAGATTTCAGAGGATGTCTTGCAAAGTCCGGGTGCCTACGCAGAAGCATGATGCAGGGGTGGAGAATTGCAAAGAGACTCTATGAAGAAAATGCCAAGCAGAAATGTGGGGATGGAGCCACCACAGAGAGTCTTTGCCAGGGCACTGCCTCCTGGAGTAGTAGGAGCAGAGCTACTGCCCTGCAGACCCCAGAATTATAGAACCGCTGATAGCATGTACCCTCGGCCTGGAAAAGCCACAGGCATTCAATTCTAATGCATCAAAGCAGCTGTGTAGCCTGCACCTAGCAAAGCAATGAATTGGAGCTGCCCAAGGCTTTGCAAGGCAACTTCACACTGGTGTGCCCAAAATATGCAACATGGAATCAAGGGAGATCATTTTGGAGCTTTAGGATTTGATATCTGGCCTGCTGGGTCTTTGATTTGTGTGGGGCCTGTTATTCCTTTCTTTTGGTTGAGTTCTCCCTTTTGGAATGGGAGTATTAACCCAATGCCTGTACAACCATTGTATCTTGGAAATAAATAATTTGTTTTTTATTTTACAGGCTCATAGCAGAAGGAACTTGCCTTGAGTCTCATATGAGACTTTAGACTTTGGACTTTTGAGTTGAGGATGGAATAAGTTAAGACTTATGGGGACTAAAAGAGATAATTGCATTTTGCAATGTGAGAAGGACATGAGGTTTGTGGGACCAGAAGTGGAATGCTATAATTTGGATGTTTGTTCTCCAAACCTTATTTTGAAATTTAATCCCCAGTGTTGGAGGTTTTAGGGTCACAAAGATGGACCCCTCATGAATGGCTTGATGCGGTCCTCAAGGTTTTCAGTGAGTTCTTACTCTATTAGTTCCCTGAGAAATTGTTGTTAAAAACAGCCTGGCACCTTCCCCTCTCTTTCCTGCTTCCTCTTCTGTGTGATCTCTGCACACACCAGCTCCCCTTTACCTTCTGCCTTGAGAGGAAGCAGCCAGTGGCCCTCACCAGATGCAGATGCTAGCACCATGTTTCTTGTACAGCCTACAGAACCATGAGCCAAGTAAACCTCTTTTCTTTATAAAATGCTCAGCCTCAGGTATTCCTTTGTAGCAACACAAAGGGACAAAGACACACCCCTAGGTCTTACATTGAAAGAAATACCAATATACATATCACACTGGCTGCGCTGAAGAAATTTCACGTTAGTTACAAACTAGATAACATTTCCCGTGTTCTCACTATCTCTGATTTGGCATTTATTCATTTTTTCAGTCAAAGGAACATACACTGGGCTCAAGCCGTGTATGACACATGGGTTATAAAGGTGAATGGCTTTTACGACACCTAGAGCTTTGTTTTACAGCAGCCTCACCGCTCGAGGTGTGGTCAATGCATCCACAGCAGTTGCATCATCTGGGATCTTGTTAGAAATGTATAATCTCAGGCCCTACCCAAGATCCTCTGAATCAGAATTACACCTTAACAAGCTACCCCGGTGCCCCTGTGCATGTGAATGTTTTCAGATGTGTGGTCTAGGAGGGTAGAGGTCTTCAAATACTACAGTGCATCAAAATTACCTGGGGATACTTATTAAAAATTGCATATTCCTAAGCCTACTTTCTTCAAGTCAGGATGAAGCCCAGGAGTCTACAATTTAACAAGCAGGCAATTGTTCTGCAGGTGGTCCTGTGACATCTTTGAGATATACTAGACAGTTGTAGGGCAATAAGAGCAATTTGGGGGTAAGGGGTAGAGGGGGAGGTCATGTGAGTCAATATTGAAATGAGAGTATCTTGAGTTTAAAACTACTGTGCTTTGTGTTGCTGGCATTGAATCCTTTCTTTTTTTGGGTTTGAATGGAACAGATCGCTCTCCTAATTGCTGCTCCAGCTGGGAAGGGTCACAGACTTGAATATCTAGTGCTGCAAGAGGTCTTTTTCATAGCTAATGCATATCAAATAATTTAGGCCATTTCTGCCTCTGATAAAATGGATTTTTGACAGAAATGAGGAGGTCTAAACATTAGTCATGACTGAGTGCTAATCACAGAGTGTTAAGATACTTGTTTATTATTATTTAAGCATCTCATTCATTTAGCATTTTTCTAAGGTAAACTGCTTTACATTTGTATGAAGGGAAAGGGATAGAGCATGTCTACCCTAATGAGGCCTGTGAGTTGTCTGCCAAAGCCTAACAAATGAATGGCATTCCTATTTTTAAACAGATAAACCAGGGGGAAAAGTTAATGATATGCTCAAGAGCAGCTTTATATAACTATGACTGAGATACTGCCTTTCAATTCTCTCACTAGTCTTAGTTTTTTGAGACAAGTTAACAAGGAAAAGGTTTTCAGGTAACCTAGATTGCTGTTCTTATAAGTGCTTGTTATAGCTGTAGTGAAATAAAAAGAAGCACCAGGTGGGAGGAACACATTATCACCCATAAAAATGAGCAAGAAAGGATTCATTTTAGGCCTGAATATTGGATAGGAAGTGAAAAGACCCATCAGGAGTGCAGTTCTGGAAATTCGCTAATTTTCAGGCCATCACTTAGAGAGGAAATTCTCACTCCAAAACAGGATCTGTTTTGAGGTTGTTGCCTGGGTGACCCAGCATCTTCAGCAGTTGTTGAAAGGGATCCTGGTCCCTTAGCTCAGCAATTCCTTTTCACAGAATTTATCCTGCAGAAATACACAGATGAGAGTTCAAAGATATGTCTATAAGAGTGTTCACTACTACAGCTTTATTTGCAATGGTGAATAATTGAAAACCACACAAATATACATTAATAAGAGAGGAGATGAATAAATTTTAACATATCTATGCAGTGGAATACTATGCAGCCATTAAAAAGAAAGAAATATCTAGATTATTTACATGAAAGTATGTCCAGTTACTATGTAAAAAATGCAAGAACAGGCTGGGCACAGTGACTCACGCCTGTAATCCCAGCACTTTGGGAGGCCGAGGTGGGCAGATCACGAGATCAAGAGATTGAGACCATCCTGGCCAACATGGTGAAACCCCTTCTCTACTAAAAATACAAAAATTAGCCAGGCGTGGTGGCACATGCCTGTAGTCCCAGCTACTTGGGGGCTGAGGCAGGAGAATCGCTTGAACCCGAGAGGCAGAAGTTGCAGTGAGCCGAGATCGCGCCACTGCACTCCAGTCTGGTGACAGAGCGAGACTCTGTCTCAAAAAACAAAACAAAACAAAAAAAAAACCAAAAAAAACCAAGAACAGTGTGTGTGAACCATAATATATAAAATGATTAGTATGTGAACAGGAAGTAACATATCAAAGACTATATAACAAAATATTGATGAGTTGTCTTTGAGTAAGGTAGAATTATGGGGGACTTTTATATTCAGATATATACTTATTACTTTTAACATGAGAAATGAAGAGATGCTTTATAAAGTTTCCTGAGAAATGAGCAGTCCTAGCCTATTTATTCCAAACTATTATTTCATTTTATTTTACTTTATTTTATAGGTGAGAAGTTTGAGGTCCAGGAATTGACTGGCCTGAATTCCCCAAGTCGATCAACATCCAAGACCCACTAGTAAATTCAAAAGAGCAAAAGCCTGACCCTCTACTGGAGAAGGCCTTCAGAGTCTCCAGTGTTGTGCTGGGGAGCAGGGGAAAGCAGGGAGATCAGCATCAACAGAAAAGAAACTCAGCCAGAGATCCAGAAGAGGGAAACAACACTGTGTACATTTCCTTCAAATTAATAATCTGGCAATTAATTTTTGAACTGATTGTAATTTGTATGTGGCACCTTCTGTCAACGCTATCAACAAAAGTTGCTTTCATTTCACACTGGCTTGTTAGCTGGAAGGGGCGGCGTTGGTCCAGGTTTCACTATGCTAACATGGGCTGCCATCAATTTGATCTCTTTGGCTGGAACCATTGGGCAATGTCATGAGCAAAAGCAGGTGACCATTTATAAATGTGATTTATGTTTAAAGAGATAAGGTACCTCACCCTACCTCCACCCCTATACCTTTTATTTATACACCCAAAGTTCCAAATCTTGGAGAAGAGTCTGTAAGGAACATAGGCAGGAGAGTGGATTGGTGATGGTTCTAGAAGTTAGGGCATCTTGAGTTTAGTAATTCTATAGTCTTAGCCAACTATGGGATTTTGAGCAAACCATTGGAAGTGATGCCTCAGTCTCTTCTCCTGTGTTAGTAAAAGTATTCACTTAATCTACCTTGAAAATATTAGCTGAAAAAGGATATTGTCAGATAGGGCTTCCTTGTTTGCATATTGAGAACTTGTGTAAATTAAACTGAAAACCCAATCCAGCACTCCAATCCTGACGGCCTTTTTGCAGGGTATGACTCATACATCCTTAAGCTGCATTCTAACCAGCAAGCTTTCTCTGTTTTCTTTCTTGTTGACAGAACCTTACTATTTTGTCTTATCTTAGGGAGGCCCTGTCTTCAAAGGAGACGTACTCTGCTTCAGGTTATAACTGGTATTGGGCTGATCTAATCATGTAGTCTCCCCTCCTTGCTAACAATATCTTTGAAAAGAAGTAGGGTCTCTTCTGTTTGATGAAATCTAATAGGATGTCTTCTCAAAACTTCTAGGAAAGGTTTTCCTTCATGCTAAGAACAGACATTTAAGGAGAAACTTTCCTTTTTCTGCAACCAGCCATTATCAACAGCAAATGCTTCCTGATTGCACAGAAATCCTGCAAGCATAAGAGGAAAAGGGAGAGAAGGCAATCAGGAACCATGACAATGTCATCACTGTTCTTACAGTGGTGGAATCTTACAAGTGTAACAAAGTCCTCTGATTTTCTCCCAAGACTACATTTCTGGATGGGTAACCAGCCATGGTTCTTGATGAAAGCCAGTCTTATCCTATTTTTGCCTTTACGTATTGCTTACACACAATTAAATCCAAGAGTGCAGTAAGAATATTTCCTGGATCAAGAGCTCCTGGGAGGTTCATGTTTCTAGAACCAAGATTCATAGATAAAATTAGAAATCTGATCACTAAAATACTTTGTGGTTATCCAGGAATCTAAAGGGTAGCTGTATTTCTCAAAGTGCATTCTGTTGCAAACATATCCTGTGAGATTTTTGCAAATTTTAAACAGATTAAAAGTACATTTGGAAAAAGGTTAAACAAATAGATCTTTTTTTTTAGTATTTTTTTTGCTATTGTTGATTTTATTAATTGTTTTACTGTAAAATTGCCAGTTTTGAAGATGTCAATGTACATTGCATATCTCCATTAATGAGATAAGCAATATTTAATGTTTCCTAATTATCCTGATTATATTACTATAAGTATCTTGAGCATTTTAGAGTTGTGCTTATTAGATAAAATAAAATCACAAAACAATTTTTAAAAAAAATCTCACAAACTTGAGATTTCCTAGATGTACAGATGACATAATTTCTCCTATTAAGAATTATTTTTTGTGCAAATGTGGTCAGTAGACTTCTGCATAATTTTATCCATGGTTTCTCTGGAGTGTTTTTGCCTTAAGCCTCAAAAGGACTGATTATCTTCTGAGAACTTAGAGTAAAAATCATAACCATCATCATCACCATTATCTTCAACATCAATGTCATTCATTCAACAAATATTTATTAAGCACCTACAATATGCTCAACACTATTGTAGACATATGGAATAGAAAATAATCCCTGCTCTCATGGGGCTTTTTTTTTTTTTTTTTTTGAGACAGGGTTTCGCTCTGTCGCCTAGGCTGGAGTGCAGTGGTTCCATCTCAGCTCACTGCAAGCTCCACCTCGTGGATTCACACCATTCTTCTGCCTCATCCTCCCTAGTAGCTGAGACTACAGGCTTCCACCACCAAGCCTGGCTAATTTTTTGTATTTTTAGTAGAGACAGGGTTTCACCGTATTAGCCAGGATGGTCTCGATCTCCTGACCTTGTGATCCACCTGCCTCGGCCTCCCAAAGTGCTGGGATTACAGGCGTGAGCCACTGTGCCCAGCCGGGGCTTGCATTCTAATTGGAGTATTACATTATCGGGAGATATTTCCTTATGAATTTATCACATCCCTATACATTTATAATTAATTATCCATATTCTCCAGGCCTACATTTTTAAGAATGCTTGCACAAGCATGCAACACTAGAAAGAAAGAAGCATTCCTGGATAACTAAAATAAAAAAACAGCATTTCTTTCCGAAAAGATTTAGAGATATCAAACATCTCTCACTGAAAATATTTGCTTACATTCCAGGGTAATAAAAATTATGTCTCTAGAGAGATAGGAGTCTGCTAATTTTGTTGTGAATAATAAACTGTCTGTCTCTGACCCAGAGGTCTCCTTGCTTCTCCAACCCTTCACATTTCCTGACTTAACACACACAAGACATTTTAGACTGGGTGGTCAGAAAAGAGCTGACTAAAGATGTGATGCGTCATAGCTTAAGCTCAAGTATAAGAAAGACCCTGTGAGCTTCTTTAGCCATTGTGTAGTGGTAATACAGTATGGTAATGCCACTGGAATGGCAGCACCATGAGAGCGTGAGGATTTTTGTCTGTTTCCTATTCACAGCCATATCCTCAGTGCCTAGAGCAGTGCCTAATATAAAGTAGGTACTCAATAGATTTTCACTGAATGAATGAATGAGTGAGTGATCAGTATAAATAGCCTTCTTCAGCCTTCCCTTAATACACAGACCACAACCACGGAAACTAAGTAAATCTTACAAGTAAAAGAATAAATATTTCTGATGGATTGTGGTAATGGGTTTAAACAGAAAAACTGCCTTACTGCCTTTGGGAGAGAAAAAAAAAAAGAAATATTCTTAATACCTAGGTTATGAGTCTATATTAAAAAATAATTTCCTCTGGATGCATGGTTTCATTCGGACCCATCATACCAAATACAATAAACGAATTATGCTAAAAAAATAAGTTCTAAACCAAATAAATATACACGTACCTGCAGGCATTCCAATTGGATTTTTTTAAACTCAAAAAGTAATTATGCCATTATCTATTACTGAACCTAGTGACCTATGAAGAGATAGTGGAATTCATATCTACTACTACTGAGCCATTTTTTTTCTTGCTAAGAACTTATATGTCATAAAAGTAGCCAAGAATAAAAAAATTAGAAATATTGATATTAATAACTAATATGGTCATATAGCAGAAACAGGGCAACAGATACATTGATAAGTAAAAATCTGTACCGTCACTTTTGTGCTCAGAACCTAAAAGTTATCCTAACATGTATTAATATACTTAAAATTGCATTTTCTTTGAACACGTTAAATATGTGCAGGCTACTGGTACTGATGCAACATGAGATTAAAAGGACATTTTTTTTTTACTAGACTTGAAAGCACTGATAGTATGATTGTTTTAAAGGTTTCTGGTCGTGGCGAAATATGTAAAAAAATGTACAACTTTGCCAGGAATAAAACAGCTCTATTTCACTTCATGTTTTGTATTTCTATGACAGTCTCCCTTTGCGGATTTTAAGAGTAGGAAGAATATTCTTGCATTCCTTCATGTATTTAGGGGTAATAACAACAAAATAACAGCAACCATTTACTGAGCATTACTCCATGCAAAGAGTGCTGCTAAGAGCTTCATTAATCCTCCAGGCAACTCTATGGGATAAACACTAGAATATGCCCATTTTCCACATGAAGGATCTCAGGCTTAAAGAGGTCAAGTAACTTGCTCAAAATGGTGAAACTAGCATTAGATAAACGAGGATCCAAAACTAAGCAATGAAACCCCAGGATCTGTTGTCTTAACCACAGTATTATTCAATGTTATAGGAAAAATCTTGTCAAGCGATGAGTGAGCACAGAGGAGGGCGCCTGCCGAGTGACCCTAGGTCTTCTAGAATTGTACACAGCTCATTTGGAACAAGGCTTTCACATGGCTGAATCCAGGCTTCTCAGCATTGGTGACCAATGGCAAAGATGGGTTTATGGTCTGCTTTAAGAACCAGGCTGACCTCAGAACCTCAGAATACTGTCTTATTTGCTGTGCTTCCTTTTTTTCTCCTTGGATCTATATTTTTTTATTCTTGCTCAGAAGACCCCCATTTGAGTGACACGTGGGCAAACAAAAATTTAGCTTTGTCTCAGACCACTCTTTGGGAGTCATTATTTTTTTTTTTTCAAGAACAGCTATGAACACTAGGGTTCAGTTATATATGGGCACCCAAAACTTAGTGAAATAGCTGAATAATTTTCAACAATATGCCTAGCAATCAGATGTGTAAACATATCCTGACATCAATACCTGTCCAGTTTACCTCCAATCTACTCTTTTCCTACCTTTCTTTGCCACTGAATTCCAAATCAACATTTTAGTCGTGTTAGACCAGGGGTTTCTCTTTACCTACAAATGTTTTGTATCACCTGCTTCAGGATCTTTGCTCAAGCTTGGCCCCTTCAGAGGGTCCGCCCCCTTCCTCACTATTTCTCCTGGACTGCATAACTTTTAGCCGAAGTTCACTTCCTAATTATTCTATAATGAATTTTTCTGACCATCCTTATTCAGATATCCTTCCTTACTTTCCACCCAACAGTACGTTGCTATGCCATGTATGGAGGATTTTGAATTGTATAAAATGTGAGTATTAAAATTCCTTCAACTAGAGGGGACAATAGAAGACTATGACCATTAAGGAGCTTTTAATGGAGTTGATCATGAACCACATTTCAGGCAGTCCAAACCTATTCTTATATAACATATCAAGATATACTACAGGGGTTCAGAGAAAAAAATGGGACTACTTCCTTAACTGAAAGTGTCCATCCCATGATTCATGGACCCTTCTAGTGCATACCAGGAAAACCAAAAACAAAAGCTATACAGTCAGATTACTTTTCCCAAACTGTATCATCTTGGTAGAGATTCACAATGCATACATAGCATATGAAAGATCTCTTGCAGCAGTAGAGAAACCTGCTTTACTTTTTTAACCCACTGTTGCCAAATTGGATTTTACTATGGAATACCTCCCTCACAGAAAACTTATTAATAGCGTGTGGAACAGAATTTGGGTAAAATTGTTTTAGCATAACATGCATGATCATAATATAGTCCCCAGGAAAAGATTCTGAGAAAACGAGGAGCTAAATAAATGTTCTTTTGTGTTTATGAGCCTCCTATATAAATATGGAAGCTGAAGGGGGAGGTCACTACTTTGAACAGTCTGGGGAAGTGGGGAGATTCTAGTGAGCTAAAATAATGACTGTGCTTTAAAACTTTTAATCTGGCTTTGAAGTTGAAGTAAAACTCCTAGAAAAGGTTCTATTTTCAAGGAGTATTTGGCCACCAAGAATACTGATCAATGTCAATTGCACATAGAAGACCCAGTTTACCTCATAAACAGTTTGTTCACCTAAACAGTTGCCAACTTTTAAATAACTATACAGTGGTTTGAATCTGTTCTGAGTAAATAATCAAGTATTTGGTGGCTTGCAAAACTGAGGGATAGACCTGAATATGCAGGACTTTAGCCAAAGAACTGCCCACAGGAGGGAGTTTTACAGAGAAGTTAGATGTTGAGTTTCTTTACGCCACCTTATTGTCTGTACCACTGGGTACTGCAGATTTGTTTGCAGAGTGTTAGAGATCAGTAAGTGTCTTAGCCCATTTTGTGCTGCTATAACAGAATACCACAGACTGGGTAACTTATAAAGAACATAAATTTATTTTTCACAGTTCTCAAGGCTGGAAGGTTCAAGATCAAGGTGCTCTGCAGATTCAATTGTCTGAAACGGGATGCATCCTGTGGTAGGGAAGAATGTTGTGTCCTCACGTGATGGAAGGCAGAAGGGCAAGTAAGCTGAATGCTGCCTGCATGAAGCCTCTTTTCTAAAGTCCTTCACCTCATTTATGAGGGAGGAGCCCTAATGGCCTAATCACCTTTTAAAGGCCACACCTCTTAATATTAGCACATTGACAACACTTGAATTTTGAAGGGGACATGTTCAAACTGTTGCAGTACTTAATGGGTCGCAACGATTTGCATAGAAGGAAATCTTAGAAATTCTTAGAAAGAAGCCTATAGCACTTGCCTAGAGCAGCATAGAAATTAGGAACACAGTTCTTGAGTCAGATTAACCAAGGATAAAATCCCAGCTCTGCTTTTCACTACTTGGTGAACTTAGACTAATCATTTCACTGCTAAGTGGAACAAGCCCTTAAATGGTGACTGTAAGGTTTAACTGAGATAGTATATGTAACTGCTCAATAAATATTAGTACTATTTTGATAGATGCATCTATTACTTCCATTATCACTGTTTCTTTAAATTGCTATGCCAAAGGGAATCATTTATTAAGCCCAGAAATTATTGCTATTCTGCTAGGGGCCAGGGCTGTGCTAAATTTGAGCAATACGACAATGAACAAGATAAAGTGACTATAGTTAAGAGCTCAGGTTCTTGTGAAGAAGGCAGATAAGTAGACCTAAAATTCAAATGTACTCTGATAACTACTTTAAAGGAGATATATGAAGCATATTATAGACCACAGAGCAAAGCAACTAACTCATCAGAAGTGGGAGCAGAACAATACTCCAAGAGGAGGAAGCTCATGAGCTGAATCTTCAGGGTAAGCAGGAATTAGCCAGTTGAGCAAAGCTAGAGACTGGTGAGTGGAGGAGAAGAAAAGAACATTTGGACTGGCCAAGAGAGCTCAGAGCGTTTGTGAAATCTTGTCATTTCTTAAAATATGTCATCTGGAAAGTACATTGAGAGAAATATTCTCTTACAGAAATAAAGCTGGGCCTCATTTATCCTACTAAGGAGTTCATCCTTTATCTTGTGGGCAGAAGGGAATGCTGTGCTGGACGATTCCAATCCAAAGAATGAGAATTTGATTTGGACAGATGAAGGGGTCAGTGATAGGGAGGGAGACCTAGTGGCCAGCTCCTGAAATAGTTGAGGTCAGAAATCTTCAAGGTATTATCTACAGTCCACTAACCATCCTCCTGCAAGTGATCAAGGCTGTAAATTGGCTCTGACTGATAGTCATTCATTTATGTATAAGATGGAAGGCAGTTACTAGTATAGCAGGAAATCCAGATGGAGGAATTAACAATGTCCATCTTTATGTGTTATAGGTTCACTGTAAGAGAATAAATTCCCCCACAACCATCCTGCCTAAGGCAGCCTCAGTTTAGGGTATTGAAAGCCTTAGGCTCTCCTATTCCTAGAAGAGAGAGAAGAGCCTTTTCTTTTCTTTCATTTTCTAAGCCTAAGCTTTAGAAGGTAAAGAAAGATTTGGACAGTTTTGAAGTGACAGAATTCCTGGCCAGAAGCCAGGGAACTTGTGAGGGTTATTTCCAGAGTGGCCAGATCTGTGTTCAGGTGGAGCCAGTGCCTAAGCACTGAAGTACAATCCCTGCAACCTTGGGATCCCCAGCATAAGACGCAGGGCCAAATTCCACACAGGGCCAAATATGGCACAGGGTAATGGCTGAAGTCCCCACTTTCTAATAGATCCATGGAAGTTAAAAAGTAAGAATCTCAGTGGTTACCACTACAGACTAAAGAAAGAAGTCCCTCCCAAGTCTCAGGATTCTTAAGGAAAAGCTCCCCCACCGACACTGATGACACTGTATTTCTTACCAATCCCACGTGAAGAGGGAGGGTGGGAAGGGAAAGAGAAGCCAACTGTAATTTGCATTAATAAATGAGTTAAGGGTAACCAGTATTTGATATTCCTTAGCTAAAATATACAGTTTAGTGGATTCTAGCTATGGAAGACTCTAGTACTAAGGTGGGCTGCCAGATTAGCCTTGATTATGTTGCAAAGGACACACTGTACATGTTGATATGCTTATAGTTGAGATTTTCAGACAGGACATCTTATATGCAATCCCTTATCAGAACTAACTTATTTGATTATAGTTTTTAGTTGCTGTGTTTATTTTCATTTTACTTATAAATTTTGTTAGATTAACCATTATCGATTGAGTTTTTGGTGAGTTGATTGGTTAAACCTAAAGTTTATAGGTTATATGTTTACATCAGCAATCTTTTGGGCCTATAATTCTTTAATAGCCAGACTTAAAACATATACGTGTTCAAAAATAAACCACTCATAGTCCTATTGCGAAAGTAGTTTGTGTTACAGTGATGATGTGCCACCCATGGATTTGTGACTCTTTTTTGACACTTAAATAGCTTGTGAAGTACTATAGAAGTGAGTGCATATTTTAAGTTTATAGGGCATTGTATTACTGTATAAGCTTATATGACATTACCTTTGTGAATAAGATCATACTATTTTTAAACAAGTAAATGGGACCCAATTAATGAATGCGATTTGAAAAACTGTATGCCAGTATTTACTTGTTCCCTTTGAACTAATTGTTCATCAACAAGTTTATTTGTCATTGAAACATACCCTGGGTGGGGAAGTTGGCTCTTAACGTCTTTTTCCCTGTCTAGAAATGGATTGTGTTCTAAAAAGTTTGAGAACCACTATGTCTAAATCCAAAGTGAGGAAAGCTTAAAAAGAAGCAGGAACTTCTGGAAGAGGTGGTACATTTCATCATCACCCAGGACTTACAAGCTGCCAGCAATTATATTAACCTTGCAAGTTAACCTGTAGCCCAGACAGAAATGAAGAACTGCATGAGCTACTATCATTCATTTAGCTTCCCAGCCTTTTTCCTGTCTGGAGTTAATGGATAAAAGCCTTCCCAATTTACACCCGACTTCCCAGCATGCACTTACTTGGATTGCTTACTCTAGATAATATCCCTTTATTTTCCCTTAAAAATCTAAACACAATTCAAGGACCAATAATAGTAATTTATAGGTCAGAAATATCAGAAACCAAGAAAGCATGCTCTAAATATAGGAGATCTTTAGTAAGTTATGCTGTGCCTAGAAAATTTGATCTGGAGAGATATATACCAAATTATCAACAGTGGGTAATTCTGGCAGGTAGATTACTGGCAGCTTTAATTTTGTATAATATATATTTTAAAAAATATTTGATTTTTAAAATATAGATCATGTATTATTTTATTATCAGGAGATATTGAAGTGTGTTTCTTTTTTATTTTCATTTAAAATACAGGAATAATCTTAACCTACCTGTCGCAGTTGAAAAATTGAAAGGAGAGAGATTGTACTAGATTCTGTGTTTTGTAGACTATATTCATTCACAAACCACTTTAATACTTTCTAATATATCTACTACCATTTGTACTATTGTTTACTTAATGCTTTAGCTTCATCCCAGCAATAAAACCTGGAAAATCTTATGTTTGATGTGCTCGCTATATTAAAGCAAAAACCTTTTCTCCCAGATATCCCTACAATTTGTTTTTGGCACATTTTCATATTAGAGCTGCATTTTAGAAACTTTGGATTTCCAAGGTTTGAGCCCCAAGATTCCATTCAATCCCCAAATTCTATAAGTCCAGGAAAGAAAATTCTGCCTGCTTGGATGATTTTTATTGCATGAAAATTCTCTACTTTCTAGGTTCTTCTGGTAGCATTTAATCATTCACAGACTACAGACTGTGCAATTTTCTGAGCTATTTTCATAATTAATGAATATTGTACAGTACAGGGGAAGCATATTTTTTTTGTCAAGGGCCAGATAGTAAATATTTTAGGCTTTGGGGTCCATACACTATATCTGTCCTTCCTTTTCTTTCTCTTCTCCTCATGCTCTTCCTGTTCATCATTCTTCTCTTTCTTCATTGTCAGCTTAATTGTTAGTGTCTTCCTCCTTCTCCTCCTCCTCTTCCACCTTTTCCTCTTCTTCTTTCTCTTTTTCCTCTTCTCTTCCTTCTTCCAATGCTTTATGATTCTTTGCTCCTAAGCTATACAAAGAGAGGCTCTGGACTGGATTTACCAGTAAGCTATAGCTGCTGACCCCTGGGGCATTGAAATGACTTATCCAGCAGAGCTTGGTCAAAATATAGTACTTTGTGCACGGTGGGCATACAGTAGATATTTGCTGGCTTGATTTGAAGAGAAATTGGTATTCTGTTTTTTTCCTCTTTGTTGACACCTTAGTGAGAGTTTGGGTGGAAGAGAATGGCTAACATTTCAATAGCTCAGTTTTCCACGAATTTTAATTTTCCTGGTCTCTGTTCTTCCCCCACCCCCTGCAATATGACAGATTCCTCAAAACTCTTTGTGGTTTATTGCCTCCATTAGTGCCCAGAACTTCAGAATCCCTTCATGGAGCCCAGTGGTAAATGGAGGAGACACACCTTTACAGAGGCCACAGTTGGCTTTTAAAATATGCTTGAGTGTTAACAATTTCACATTCATTTCTGCTAATGATTGGGGAAGTGAAGCTTTCATTTTAGTCACCTTTCCTCTTCTAAAAGAGTGTCTGCATTTCACCTTTAAGGGAAGCTCTGGGCTTAGTGCTTCATCCCACATCAAAACCCACTCCTAGGATTTCTACCTTCAAACAAGTGAAACAAATGCATTCCCGCAGGGGGGCGTGCTGTCAAAGAGAAATGAACTTATCCAGATATTAGAACTATTCAGATAGGATTGCCTACTTAGAGGAAATCAGTGGCTGATAGAGAATACTTTCAGTGGGGAACCACTTAGCACTCCATCCCACATCCATCTCATCTCTTTAGAGCCAGGGAAAAAAGCCCCTCCACATTTACGTGAGAAGGGAAATTGTGTAATAGATGATACAACTCAGCATGCGCTAAGATATTTTGATTAATTTTATTTTAACCTTCTCAAATTAATGGACACTTTCCCACGAACAAGTCACATTTCCTACAGAATTCCTGGAGCAAAGCCTTCCTTCTCTCTAAACCTTTTCCATTTTAACATTTACTTAAAATAAAAGATGGATAATGATAGATACTTTGCGTCAAAAAAAAAAAAAAAGGAAGAAAAGAAAAAAAGAAAGAAGAAAAAAGTCGTTCCATTAGCAACTTTGGTAAGAAATTGCTCCACATTGTTCCTCTGAGAAGTAATTTTTCCCAGCATGTGTGCATCTTAAAAGTATTGCAAAACAATATCTTAAAATGAACTGATTAGTATGCGTGCTCTGTGGTCACATTTAAGTTCTATTTATAAAATCTATTCTGTTCCAGGCTCAGACAAACAAAACTGAAATGCAGCTGTGTAACACATTGATAATTTTCATTAGTTCTAAAAGCCTCAATAGAATTTGCAATTTTATTCATTACATCCAAATAATCCTGGAAAACCCATTGTGAAAGTGACCTTTCACTTTTTCCCCCCGGCCTTTGTGACTTAGCTCTGATTATGTGTGTGTGTGTGTGTGTGTGTGTGTGTGTGTGTGTGCATGTGTGTATCCGAAAGGGCCAGACAAGGCAAAGAGATTATTGCAAGTGTAAAGAACAAAACAGAACAAGAAATCAAGTCAAGCAAAGATGAAAAATGAGGCATAGGGAATCAAAATCACCCACGTAGGTTCTGAAAGCTGTTTTAACTAGGGGCATTCTGCCATCATTCCCCAGATGTGTACAAGCCAAATTTCTGAAATCACTGTGTGATATTGTGGGCAAATGCAGATTGTATTCTAATTCACTGGGAGGCAGTTCTCTTTTTTGATCTGCAAGGATGAGGATTTTCCCAGAGAGTGAGCCAAAGGACATGCCCATGAGAAATAAATAATGCTGCTTCTTTCAACTCAAACTTGTTCTTGAAAAGTAAAACAATGCCAACTCTGGAGATGGTTTTTCTTACTGTGAGCATTTTTTTGTGTGTGTGGATCTTTAAAAAACAAAGATCTAAAAACACACACTTCCCAGAACGCTGGCAGCCAGCCATAAAACCACAAAGAAGTCTTTAGAAAATTAAGATAACAAAAATAAAATAAGAGGTATAATATGAAGGGTGAAAAATAAAGACAAACACCTGCAATTTAGCAGCGCCTGAGATGGTGCTTCAACATTGGCCAGGCAATTAAAATGATAAAACCTAGTGTGTAGAGAATGTGAGGCACCTGTCTCAGATAAATATATATGCATGTGGGTACAAATGCTCACACTCAAGAGTTCATCTGATAATTGCTAATTTGGGACTAAAGATAATGACAGTTATGAATTACCCATTATGTACAAGTGCCACCTTGCATAGTCCATCTTTCTCAGTACAGCTGGTCAGGGCCTTAGCAAGGATTGTTTTGTCTCAGTGTCTCTAAAGATGTCATATTTTTTTTTAAAGGGCAGGGGGGATGGGTGGTGGCAAGTTGAAATTCTGGAAAATGTGAAGTTAAAGTTAAGATGGCTTTCATACTGCCCAAAGTTTTAATGAGAATGTCAGTTTTTAATATCTGAGAGAGGATGCAGTATACGGCATTTCCCATACTAATGGAACAACAAAAGCCTTTTGTTCCCCATTTTTTTCTGTATGACATCCTGTAGAATTAGTGCTATGGGTGAACATATTTTGGAATATGCTCCTTTAGTTGAATAATTGATTTATCAACCATGGCCACCTAGCAGAAATTATGTTTCAGATGGAGCAAAGAACACTGTAGAATGATTAATTTTGAGTGAGAAGGGAGAAGCTCAAGGCATGGAGTTTTGTTCAGGCCAGCGAGGCTGAGTAAATATTTGGGCTTGTAGGGGACTCAGACATAAGATGGGAGAAAGAGAAGGACATACACTGGAAGCATGCCCTTAATTGAAATTTGCAATTTGACCAATTTTAAGCCTGTGACACTACAATTCAAGCCAGAGATTTACCAACAAATTTGAAAGGTTCTAGAGGTTTGCCTGAGAACTGTTAGGTAAACAATTTTACTACGTCTCATTATTACATTCAAAGTATACTAATAAAAGAAAATGTGGCTATATAATCATGCAGAATCCCATCTCATTTCAAAACCACTATATCCAGTGATTCTCAGGATTCAGGCCAGCCTACGCTCTTAGAAGATTTTTCGGCGGCCAGTGCAGTGGTTCACACCTGTAATCCCAGCACTTTGGGAGGTCGAGGCAGGCAGATCAACTGACGCCAGGAGTTCAAGACCAGCCTGGCCAACATGATGAAACCCCATCTCTACTAAAAATAAAAAATAATAATTAAAAAAAAAATTAGCTGGGTGTGGTGGCGGGCACCTGTAATCCCAGCTACTCGGAGGCTGAGGCAAGAGAATAGCTTGAACCCAGGAGGCAGGGGTTGCAGTGAGCCAAGTTCAGGCCATTATACTCCAGCCTGGCAACAAGAGCAAAACTCTGTCAAAAAAAAAAAAAAAAAAAGAAAGAAAAGACTAAGATGTTTTTTAGGCAATAAGATGATACCAAGGAAATCCAATGCAAAGAGGTCTCTCATCAACATTTGAGAGTGTGGAAGGACTATATGCATTCATACTTTAGCATGAAGAGCTATAGAACTCAGTTACCAGAAAGAAGTTTCACTGACAGACCTGCATATCAATGGCAGAGCAGAGAGATTTTTTAACTGCTTGACCTCATGAAGATTCATAGGCTAAGAAACTTCATGCAGTGGGATCTCTCTATTCTGAGCATAGCTAGGCCTTGCTCACCAAAGCCGTATTTGTAAATGCTATAAAATAATAAGCACTAGGAGTTACTGGCACACTAACACTGTGGTAAGACAGTGTTCGGGAACTTTACTGTAATCAATTACAGGCAACTAAGACCACGTGGGCCTATATTTATGTGACAGACTTCTATTGCCATGACTACTAATTGGGTTTGGTGAAGCTATTCAAATTTAAATAATATGTTTTAAATAAATTATATACAAAAAATTTGAATTAACATTCTGACAATTTATTTTTTAAAAAGTCAATCATTACATCATTTTAAAACTTCAGGCCAAGGAGGTTATAAGTCACATTACAATTGTTGCATGGATTGACTCCATGTTGGCCAGTTAAGGGAAATACCTACTATCTTTTGTCAACATTAGGTGAACCAAGCTGTTGTTTGCATGTATCAGAACTTGTGAATTATTTGTCAGATCACTGAGCTACTTTAGCATTCACTCTTATTTTAACTTTAAGTCTGCTTTAATAGTGTCATAGAAGTGTTCATTTTCTAACAATGATAGTACTCCAGGTGAAAAGTAGTAACTTTGGAAACAGTTTAGGTTTGATGAATGCTATGAAGGCCAAACATCTACCATGATACAAAATGCTGTTAATTTAGGACAGGGTACTGGGTAAATTACTGGAGATGGTGCCGAGAAAACAGAAAGCAACTCTAATGTAGTTACATTTCGAATTTGTAGAACTCTTACATAACAAGATAAATGATGGTGACATGGCCACAGAAATCAACACCGTAAGCTACAGGGATTACAGATTTAAGCACCTTGGGAATTCACTCCAATTACTTTCTATTTGTTACAATGGCAAAATTAATCTTGAATTATGTCAGTTTTGAAGTATGAAACTTTTTCAGAAATATACTTTTGGCATAAAACAAGGCTACCCTGCACTAACATTTCATTCCCCCTGAAAGACATTAACTATCAAGCCAGTTCAACAAGGATGTCCTTGAGTGCTGTTCTGTTCAATGAGAAAAACATTACAAACAGTTGATTTCTATTGCTTATCACGTGCTTAGTATATGTTGACTTTATCCACCCTCCATCCCATAATTCCAACAACAATTCCTTGACATCTGTACTGGTATTATGCAATTTTTATAGTGAATATCTGAGGCTTAGAAGGCTGATACACCTGCCCAACATCACACAATTTCAAATGTCCATTCTGAGTCCAGAGCCTCCACTTTTAACCACACATGACAGTGAGGCAGAGTTAAAATATAAGTACCTGAGAATTTATCTACATTGCCTTTGTTTCTTGAACTTGCCTTGAGTTAACACAGCTTGTTTTTGATGTGTTTATAAAGCCAAGAAAAATTGTAAATTACTGCGCACACTGTTATTTCTTTAATTCCATAAGAGGAAGATCATAAGGATAATGAGGACTGTTCCTTTGTAATTCCAGTGCAATATTTTTGTGGGTGGTTTTCAAAGTACATGGTATGCAATTAGAGATAATGTGAATGGCTTCTTGTTTTCTAGGAGTGTACCATCATCCACTGGGCACTTGCCGAGAATACTTGAGGTGTGTGCCGCAGGCACTGATGTGGACATGTCATTTGCCTCTCAAGTCTGAGAGCCCTCTGGATTTTGGCGAGGGTGTGCGCCCCTCAGATAACTTGTAATGGAGATCTGTAAGGAGGAGTCTCCATTACATTTTAAATACTGTTTTTTGCTTCTGATAGTATTTCCTCTCTTTCTTGGACTTCTTCCCTAGACTGAAAATTGCCATAGTAATCAGGAAAATGACTCTTGCAACTGTGGCCTACGACTTTCCTTTATTTATTCTCTTGCTATGACTTTCATCATAACTTTTCAGAAGGCACACCACAGGAGCTATTCTCCCTGCCAAGGCATTTAAGCTCGGCAGAAGCAGATGTCCAGCAATGTAATTTCTGCCCAAGTTCCACTGATATATTATTGAGGAAACATTGAATTCAATGAATACCAGAAAAATTAGTCTATTCTCACAGTTTTTCTGTCTGACCTATACTTCCAAAGTCAAATGTACATGAAATTTTCAGCCCTCATATCCCCTAACCTTTATACATATGTTACCAAAAAAACAAAACAAAACAAAACCAACAACAAAAAAAACTTCTTTTTCCATGGATGCTGTTGAACAGTGTTTTCGTTTTAAACTGTTTCATTTGTCTGCTTTTCTTTTCATTCCCACACCACTATCTATGCCCTGTCCCTGCCAAAGTAAGCTGACATGTATCCTTTAGGATTTTTTCTATAGCTGAAGTGTGGGTCATTGCATGCTTTAGCAAAAAAAAAAAAAAAAAGAAAAGAAAAAAAGAAAAGAAAAAAAGAAAACATTATATATACTTTTGCATCTTGCTTTGCTTGCTCACAAGCTTTCGTTACTTATTATTAAATATCTCTCAGCTCAGCTGTCCTTCGACTTCTTATCATACATGCTCATTTCTTAAGTAGATGATAAACTCTAATATTCCATATACCAGAGCTTATTCATGGCATTCAACTAGCTGTCTTGATCACTCTCAACTAATACTGACTGACTGGGAAGAAAAGGATGAACCAGATAATGGATCTCCTCTTAAAGGACATGTAATCAAACGGTTAATTCACTCAACCATCCATTCATTCAGTGTCTTACCATGTTTCTAGCACTTCTCTTCAGGATCTGCTTTTATGGAATTGCATTCCAATAATATTAGAGAAGAGCTGACCATAAACAAGTAACAAAAAAATCAGATGGTGTCTGAGAGTAATAAATGCTCTTCAGAAAATAAAAACAGAATCATGGTATAGAGAGCACACTCACAGGAGATCACATTTGAACTAGGAGTTGAGTGATGAAAATATCAGCAATGCCAAAGTCTAGATTTGAGGAAGAGCATTAGAGGCAGAAAAAACTTCAAGGGGATGAAATGGGAATGAACTGAGAGCATCTGAGGAACCCAAAAAGGCCAGATGAGAGGAGTATAATAAAAGAGGAGAAAGGTGTATAAAGCCGTTGAGATTGGCAGGTACCATATCATGATAAATTACTGAAGAAATAGCTCAGAAAACTGACACTTATTAAATACTGTGAGGATAGTACAAAACGGTATGGGGAGAGAAGGGGTATGTGTACGTGTGTGTGTCTACGTGTGTTTGAATAATACCCATCTTAATGGAGGAGGTAATAATTGAGATGGGCATTATAATATCGGTAGGATTAAGACAGATAAAATACAGGGCTGGGAGTAGGTAAAAGGGCACAGAAGCTGGTAGGAACCGCCTGTGCAAGGGAAAATAGATGGGAGTGTATAAGGTGGTTCTGTGACTAACAAGTGCTCCATTGTAACCGAGTGATCAAGAATTGGGGAACATAAAGCCTGAAAGGGCTGTGAAGGGGTTTGAATGAAAGAATATGAAAACTATTGAATAATCTGAAACCATGGAAGGTTTGGGGACCAGAAAATGACATAATCAGAGCTGTGATTTCCAAAGATTTCTCTAATACTTGACTGTTGCATTGTATCGAGTTGGTAAGACTGGAGATGAAGAGGCTAGTTAAGAAGGTTTTAAAAACATTTAAGCAGAGTGGACATAAGAAATTAACAAAGCATGAGAAAATCTGGGCCGGGTGTGGCGGCTCATGCCTGTAATCCCAGCACTTTGGGAGGCTGAGGCGGGTGCATCAGAAGGTCAGGAGATTGAGACCATCCTGGCCAACATGGTGAAACCCCATTGTTGCAGGAAGTCAGGGACCCCAAATGGAGGGACTGGCTGGAGCTGCAGCAGAGGAACATAAATTGTGAAGATTTCATGGACATTTATTACTTCCCTAATAATACTTTCATAATTTCTTATGCCTGTCTTTATTTTAATCTCTTAATCCTGTTATCTTTGTAAGCTGAGGATGTATGTCACCTCAGGACCACTATAATTGTGTTATTATAATTTCTTATGCCTGTCTTTATTTTAATCTCTTAATCCTGTTATCTTCGTAAGCTGAGGATGTACGTCACCTCAGGACCACTATAATTGTGTTAACTCTACAAATTGATTGTAAAACATGTGTGTTTGAACAATATGAAATCAGTGCACCTTGAAAAAGAACAGAATAACACCAATTGTCAGGGAACAAGGGAAGACAACCATAGGGTCTGACTGCCTGTGGGGTCGGGCAGAATAGAGCCATATTTTTCTTCTTGCAGAGAGCCTATAAATGGATGTGCAAGTAGGGAAGAGATCACTAAATTCTCTTCCCAGCAAGGAATATTAATAATTAATACCCTGGGGAAGGAAAGCAATCCTGGGGGGAGGTCTATAAACAGCTACTCTGGAAGAAAAAAACCCCACCCTGGTGAATTTGAGGTCAGACCACTTCTCTGCTCTCAAACCCTGTTTTTTGTTGTTTAAGATGTTTATCAAGACAATACGTGCACAGCTGAACATAGACCCTTATCAGGAGTTTTTGATTTTGCCCTTTTCGCCTTGTGATCTTTATTGGCCTCAGAAGCATGTGATCTTTGTTCTCCTTTTTGCCCTCTGAAGCATCTGATCTTTGTGACCTACTTCCTGTTCATACACCCCCTCCCCTTTTGAAGTTCTTAATAAAAACCTCCTGGTTTTGCAGCTCAGGTGGGCATCACGGTCCTACCGATATGTGATGTCATCCCCGGAGGCCCAGCTGTAAAATTCCTCTCTTTGTACTCTTTCTCTTTATTTCTCATCTGGCTGGCACTTAGGGAAAATAGAAAGAACCTACGTTGAAATATTGGGGGCGCGTTCCCCCGATACCCCATCTCTACTAAAAATACAAAAATTAGTTAGGTGTGGTGGCACGTGCCTGTGGTCCCAGCTACTCAGGAGGCTGAGGCAGGAAAATCACTTGAACCAGGGAGTCAGAGGTTGCAATGAGCAGAGATAGTGCCACTGCACTCCAGCCTGGCAACAGAGTGAGACTCTGTCTCAAAAAAAAAAAAAAAAAAGAAGAAAAAGAAAATCTGATTGAGAGAAATCTTAGACATGGAATCTGCCCTAGATCCAATAGGCAATTCCTTTTCCATCACATTCATCGAATAGCTAGAGTCTCTCTAATACACCTATAGTGACAGAGAAAACATAACCTCCTGGGGAAGCCAGTTCTGTGGTTGCAGAATACAAATTGTTAGAAAAATTCCTTCTCAAGTTGAAGTGGAATCTGCTTCCCTGTATCTTCTACTCACTGAACCTAGTTTTGCCTTCTACAGAGAAGCAGATGATATAGCCTTCTTTTCCTACAAGTCAACCTTCCACATACTTGAAATAAACTATCATTTTTACCTTTTGTCATTTCTGGGTTAATCTCTCTCCAGTTTCTTCAACCATGAATTTTTACATATAAACATAGAATGTGCACCATATTTTATGTACAAATGAATTTATGTACTATATTTAATAAATTATATTTACTGATACTTTACATGCTATTAACAATGGGAAAATGTTTCTTCTGAAGACTTTTTTTCTCTTTTGGAGAAATGTATCTTTTGAAGCTTTCTCCTATTTAAATGCTTGGCACTGATTATACAAATGGGGAACAAGAACATAGAACTTCCCTGTCCGACATAACTATATTCCAGGCCAGGAGTCAGCAACTATGGCCTATGAGCTAAGAATAGCTTTTACGTTTTTAAAGGGTTGAAAAAAATTAAAAGAAGAATAATATTTTGAGATACATAAAACTTTGAGGAAATTCTAATTTCAATGTCCAATAACAGTTTTACAGAATGTACTCATTCATTTATGTATTGTCCACGGCTCCTGTCATGTCACAATGTTGTAACAGAGACCACATGGCCTGTAAATCCTAAGATATTTACTATCTGACCCTTTAGAGAAAAAGTTGGCCTTAACTCTTAGGCCCCTGTGTGCAGTCTGTGGACTGCTTATGTCTGCCTCACCTGGGAGCCTGTTAGAAATGCAGATTTCAGGCCCCTCCCCAGATCCAACTGAATGAGTATCTGCATTTTAACTAACCCCCAAGGTGTTGTGCGTTTCTGTTAAAGTTCAGGAAGCAATGCTGGAGCAGAGCTTCTCAACTTTGGTATGCATAAGAATCACCCCAGGAGTTTGCAACAGCACCAATTGTGGGGTCCCATCCCCAGGAATAGGATGGGGTGGGCCCTGAGAGTCCACATTTCTGCTAAGTTCCCAGACGGGTGATACTGAGGCTGCTTTTTCCTGAGCACATTTTGAAAGATGCTAGGGAGCTCTCTTCCACATTTAAAACTTTCCTCCTTTGCAAGGTTTTCAGTGACTATTCCAGATACAACAAATTCTTTCTCCCTTATTTGAACTATTATACTACAAACTGAACTCCTTTTACATGTGTAGAACAGTATGTAGAATTAGTATTTATCTCCAGTGGAAAGAACTCTGCCTTACTAACTTAATGACCACTTGCTATTCTCCAAACCTACCACACACAGTCCCACTTGAGGGCTTCTGTATTTTATTTCCTCTGCCTGGCATACAGTTAGGTCATTCAGGTCTCTCCTTAAATATTACCTCTTCAGCAATGCATCCTCTGAGTACATTTTCTCTTTTTTTTTTTTTTTTTTTTTTTTTTGAGACGGAGTTTCACCACTGTTGCCCAGGCTGGAGTGCAGTGGTGCAATCTCGGCTCACCACAACCTCTGCCTCCCAGGTTTAAGTGATTCTCCTGCCTCAGCCTCCCGAGTGGCTGGGATTACAGGCATGTGCCACCATGCCTGGCTAATTTAATATTTTTAGTAGGGATGGGGTTTCTCCATGTTGGTCAGGCTGGTCGGCTGGTCTTGAACTCCCGACCTCAGGTGATCTGCCCGCCTCGGCCTCCCAAAGTTCTGGGATTACAGGCATGAGTCACCATGCCCGGCCCCTCTGAGTACATTTTCTAAAATAACTTCCTACCCCCACCGCATCACTCTTTCTTTCCCTTACTTTCTTTTTCTTCATAGGACATAATAGCATTTTACTTTACGTATTTATTCAATGTCTCTTTTCTCCAATTAGATTATAAGGTCTGTGATGGCAAGTACTTTGTTTTCATCCACGCAACATTTCTTTTTATTGAGCACCTGCTATGTGCTGGGCACTGGTTTAGAATTAGAGGACAAATGAGTGAACCTAGAAAAATACCTAAAATTGTTAGACAATCAATGAATATCTATGGAATAGATAAAAGAATGAGCTTCTTTTTAATCCACCTGGAGCAGAGATTATGATTGATATTTTACAAAATTTACATATCCGTTTTTGTTAAGCATAGTTACATGTACAATGATATCTAATGAAACCTAATATTCACAGAGTACTTATCATGTAGCAGCAGTGAAAGTTGGTATGACTTTTATTCTCATTTAAAATTTAGGAAAATTGAGACCAAAGGCAGTTATATCACTTAAACAAGGTTCAAAATGTGTATAAATCCAGGTGGTCTAACCCCAGAACCTGAAATGATAACCATCACGTAGTCTCCCTTCTCAAATGAAATTTGTGGATAGGTTGCAGGTTTGTGTGACAACAGAGCAATATTACTGTATTTACTTACATAATTGTAAGTATCCATTCACTGTCTGCATCATTCCACAAAAGACTGAAGGTAGTTCTAATAGAGACACACACCAAAACATGTGATGAATGGAAATAAATAAGTCTAGTTTAAATGTAACTTAGAACTAGTAAATAAGGTATTGCTTAGTTTCCATGCAAACTTGCCAATCTATACACAAATTTATTGAGGAGGGGGAGTATGTGATGGTTATAATTTCAGGTCCTAGAGTTAGACTACTTGGATTATACACATGTTGAACCTTTTTTAAGAAGAAAAAAAAAACACATGGCATAATGTCCTCCAGGTTCATCCACATTGTTGCAAATGGCAGTATGTCCTTTTTAAAGGACAGTATGCTAAGTGAAATCAGCCAGACAGAGAAGGAAAAATATTGCATGATCGATCTTCTACATAGAATCTTTTTAAAAGTGAAATAGACTGGGTATGGTGGCTCACGCCTGTCATCCTTGCACTTCGGGAGGCCAAGGTGGGCGGGTTGCTTGAGCTCAGGAGTTTGAGACCAGCCTGAGCACAAAAAACAAAAACAAAAAATCATCTTGGCGTGGTGGCATGTGCCTGTAGTCCCAGCTATTCGGAGGCTGAGGTGGGAGTATTGCTTGAGCCCAGGAGGTCCATGCTGCAGTGAGCGGTGATCGGGCCACTGCACTCCATCATAGGATACAAATTTACAGCTTTGTAGAATGAAATAATTCTAGAGACCTAATGCACAGCAGGACTATAGCTTTAATTATATTGTATTATATATTAAAAATTTGCTAATAAAGTATATTTTAAGTGCTTTTACCACAATAAAAGAGGTAACTATAGAAGATGATGGATATATTAATTTGCTTACCTGTAGTTATCATTTCACTATATATATATATATATATATATATATATATATATATATATATGCAGTCACGTGTCATGTAACTACCAGAATACATACTGAGAAATGCATCATTAGGCAATCTCATCATTGCGCAAACATCATAGAGTATACTTAACACAAACCTAGAGGGTATATAGCCCACTACATATGTAGGCTATATGGTATAGCCTATTGCTCATAAGCTACAACCCTGTACAGCATATTACTGTTCTAAATACTATAGGCAAGTATAACACAGTAGGAAGGATTTGCGTACCTAAATATAGAAAAGGTACAGTAAATGTATAATATAATCTTATGGGACCTCCATCCTATATGTGGTCTATTGTTGACCAAACATCTTTATATGGCACATGACTGTGTACCAAAACATCATGTTGTGAACATTAAATGTATACAGTAAAACAATTTTTTTTCTATTTTTAAAGAAGAAACAGAGCTATGGAAACCATAGTTGCTATCACAGAGCTTTAGAGTTAGCTCTGAACTTCATGGTTGCACATATGGGTTGAATTGTAGGTCTGCCTTCCAAAAGATATGTTGAACTTTCTAACCCCCAATACCTCAGAATATAAACTGATTTGGAATAGGGTCTCTGCAGATGTAATTAGTCAAAATTTGGTCATACCGGAGTTGGTTTGGCCCCTAATCTGACTGTTGTCCTTATAAACAAACAGCTATGTAAAGACAAGAGACTCACAGGGAGAATGTCATATAAAGATGGAGGCAGAGATTGGAGTGATGTATCTGCAGGCAAAGGAATGGCAAGAATTGATGTCCACCACTGGAGGCTAGGAAAAGCAAGGAAAAATAGCATTCTACAGATATCAGAGGGAGCATGGCCCTGCTGACACCTTCACTTTTGACTGCTAGTCTTCAGAACTTTAAGACACTAAATGTCCGTTGTGGTAAGCGACTGAATTTGTGATACTTTGCTGCAGCAGCCCTAGGAAAAGAAAAAATAATTTTTTGGAAGAGCACACTACAAGAGGTAGACATATTTGGGGGAATAAAAGCTGTGAATTTGATATTTAGTGGATTCCTGCAAAAACAAAAATAATTTACGGAGTTGGAAGAAGCCAGACATTCTGTTAGGGTAATTCCCTAACACATCAAGACAAAAAAGCTCTAGCCAGGGCCAGCATCATAAATGGGTGACCTGTGCAATCACACGGAGTCTGCACTTGGAAGAGCTCTGTCCTTGGTCCTCTGCTGTCACTGTCGTGAAATTCTTAATAATTTTGTAATAAGGGTTTCTGCATCTCCATTTCACACTGTATCCTGCAAAATATGTAGCCAGTCCTAAGTCCAGTAACAAAGACAGTGTGGTATTAATACAGAAATTGACAAACAGACTAATAGAACAGTGTAGAGAACCTAGAAATGTAGCATAGAGATAGGTAGGGAAATGATGGACTTTTCCATAATTGTTACTGAGACAGTTGGTTATCCATGTGGAAAAAGAGAAATAATTTAAAACCCAAATTTTCACCACAGCAAAAAAAAAAAAAAAAAAAAAAAAAAAATCAATTCCAGGAACATTAAAAGACCTAACATAAAAGGTAACAATATATAACATTTAGAATACAATATTTGAGACTATCTTAATGTTCTCCGGCATAGAGCTTACTTAAACAAGATGTAAAAAACCAGAAACCATAAAGGAAAATTTTGATCAATTTGTATACATTAAAATTATGCAGTTCTTATTCTAGCTCTCCATCTCCTTTGTGGGGATGTGAGATTTTGACCTGCGCTTATGGATGTCCGGGTCCTGGCCCTGGGCTGCCATCTCAAATGGACAGCATCCATGCCCAGGGCTGAGCTATCTAACTGGCCTTCCTTCCTTATTCCTTTCCCTTCTTTTTGGAGCTCTTGTTTTGCATGCCTGAAAGAAGTGGGGGCCGGTGGGGGAGGGCTGCCAGTGTCTGAGGGTTCACCTTTGGGCTGACTCGTCCAGGTATTTGACTACATGCAGGGTAAACTGATTTAATAAATAATAAGTAAATAGACTGAGAGTCATGAAAGTCAGGTTTTTCACTGTTGGAGAATGGAATTATGAACATGGAACAGGGAACACTAGAATAAACGTTACAGTGTTTAGTTAGCATCAGAGATTATCAGTGTAAACTCACAGTTTTTAACATTTAGTTAGCGTCAGAGATTATCAGTGTAAACTCACAGCTTTTAACCTATCTAGACATAGTAGCATGTAGATGTACTTTTGTGTATGAGTGTGTGTGTGCATACACATATACACTTATATTTTCTATCTGTGTTTGCTAAGAGGACCTAGAAGCGATGATACCTCAGTAGCAGTGAGCCTACTGAATACCCAGATTTGGGGTTTAAATACCATTTTAAAATGCTATTCTCTTTAGAGAAATGGTTATCTCAATAGGAAAAATATGAGATGAGCCAAACTGTGAGATGAGACTATTATTCTAAGTGAAGTAACTCAGGAATGGAAAACTAAACATTGTATGTTCTCACTGATATATGGGAGCTAAGCTATGAGAATGCAAAGGTGTAAGAATGACACAATGGACTTTGGGGACTTGGGGGGAGGAGTAGGAGGGGACAAGTGATAAAACACTACAAATACAGTGCAGTGTATACTGCTCAGGTGATGGGTGCACCAAAATCTCACAAATCACCACTAAAGAACTTACTCATGTAACCAATTCTTTAGTTTTAGAGTGGAGGGCCCTACCATTCACCATCCTAAACAGGTGATAAAAGGTAACATCACCAGTAATGGGATAAATCAATGTTGTCTGCCTCTTGATAAAATTCACTGAGAGTAGCACAATATGACTTGCGTGGAATTTCTTTCAAAAAGCGTGAATCACAAGAAAATGTCAGATACCAAATTAAGGGCCATTCTTCAAACTAACTGGCCTGTACTATTCAGAAATGTTAAGGTATGAAAACAAAGACAGAGGAACTAATCCAGATTGAAGAAGAACAATGAGATATGAGAACTAAATGTGGACTGGATTCTGGGTTCGTAAAGGACAGGTGACAAAGGGTGAATGGTGGTCTTTTCCCTCTGTCACAGCCCTAGCAATGTTACCATTTGGAATTTCTCTTTTTGCGTGAGTCCTGGAGTGGAGAAGACATAGAGCAAATTCCCAGCCCACCCATGATGCACACATATCAGGAGAGAGAAATAAACCTCTGTTAGTTGTTATTCAATTACAAGATTTCACCATGCTACTCAGAATGGTGAGCAATTGAAAATGTAGAAATTGTTTATTTTGGGGATTTTCCATTCAATATTTTCTGACCTCAGGTCAAAACTTCAGGTAACTGAAACCATGGAAATCACAACCGAAGATAAAGATGGACTACTATACACTGCATGGCCACATGTATTTTTAAAAACCAGGTAAAACTAAACGATATATTGTTTCATCCCATGTATGTTTTCACATGGGATGAAAATTACAAATAAAATCAAAGAAAATAATTAACACAAAACTCAGGCTAGCAGCTAGTAAAAACATAGGGGGAGAAGAAAGAACTGAATTCAAGAAGCCCATAAAGATGTCTCAGATATGATAATGTCCAATTTCTTACCCTCATAGTTGGTCCATGCCAATCATTTTATTTTGTCCATTAAATAACATACTTCCATTTCATGCAACATTTTATGTAAACTATAATTCACAATAAGAAAAATAGCAGAAAAGCATGCCGTATTGAGAGTTTATAAATTTGCCGAGCTACCTATACCCCAATAATTCCTTCATCTTATTTTTTTTTTAATCTTTAATATGGCCGGGGGTGGTAGCTCATGCCTATAATCCCAGCATTTTGGGAGGCCGAGATGGGGGGATCACGAGGTCAGGAGATCGAGACCATCCTGGCTAACGTGGTGAAACCCTGTCTCTACTAAAAAATACAAAAAATTAGCCAGGTGGGGTGGTGGGTGCCTGTAGTCCCAGCTACTTGGGAGGCTGAGGCAGGAGAATGGCCTGAACCCGGGAAGCGAAGGTTGCAGAGAGCCGAGATCGAACCACTGCACTCCAGCCTGGGTGACAGAGCATGACTCCGTCTCAAAAAAAAAAAAGAAAATCTTTAATACAATTAGTTACGTTTTATCAATCTAGACATAGGCTTTCTTGGAATTATCCACAGAATTTTTACTGAATAATGTAAATTTCAAGGAATTCAAATTATTCCTGGATATTTCTCTATTTCCAGGGAAAATCTGTTGTGTTAGGTTTTACTATTGTTTTTATTTAAAGTTACATATATATATATATATATATATATATATATATATATATATATTTGTTTTAAATAATAGAGCCAGCCTGAAAGGAAGGGTAGCAATTCAAGTAGTAGTCACGATATTTATTGACCAGGGCTAGCTCATAATATGGTGAGGATATGCATACATAGAAACCACTTCAGAAACCAGCTGCATAAATCGCATGCGACTCACATATTCTTTTACCTAAGATCCATAGAGCACTTGCTATAGCAAATGCAGAAATAATACAAGTGAGAAAAGGTATAAAGACTTCATAATATGTGGATAGATTTTGTTTGACGGACTGTCTCAGACTAAATGAGTCATATTTTCTCATCTCCAGATATACTTGATTACTTGGAAAATCACAAACCAAAATACAAGACAGTTGATTGAAACTTAAGTTGGTGACACTGACCAAAAGAAAATGCATTTGTCTTCCACCTTGAGGATCATGACCGAGTCTTATTGCCTAAAAGGGACACAGAGAGCAGACTCATCAGAAGGGTTTTTAAACTGAGAGTCACATCAGGTTTGTCAACAGCCTCAGAAAATAATGCAGTTATAAGAAGCATTACAACGGCAAGCTAAATGATAAAATAGGGGAAACGTGCTCAGCACAATGGGATAGAATATAAATAACTCTGTTACCAAACAACCAGAAAAGGGCTAGTAATATTTGCTAATAATGAATGTCTTAAGATCTCTGGTCAAGCACATGCTTAAAATGAGGGCTGGTCAGGTCAGCATCTTGGTTGGTGGCTTGATTAGACTCTAATTCAGATAATAAATAGCAGTTCTGACTTGGAAAGCAAATGCTTCCAAGAATTGAAAGGGCTAGGAAGTAGTCCTAGAGTGATTGATTGATTCATCCATTTATCCATCTGTCTGCTTATCCATCTATCAACCTATCCAACCATTCATTCATTCAATTATTCACTTCTTAAACATTATCTGAACATATATATATAGGACTATATATATATGGGACATATATATAGTCCTATATATATGGGACATATATAGGACTATATATGGGACATATATATGGGACATATACATATATGGGACATATACATATATGGGACATATACATATATGGGACATATACATAGGACTATATATATGGGACATATATATAGGACTATATATACATATGGGACATATAGATATATGGGACACACATATATATGGGACATATATATACATGGGACATATATATACATGGGACATACATATACATGGGACATACATATACATGGGACATATATATGGGATATATATATGGGACATATCTATGGGACATATCTATGGGACACATATATATGGGACATATATATATGGGACATATATATATGGGACATACATATATATGGGACATATATATATGGGACATATATATATATATGGGACATACATATATATGGGACATATATATATGGGACATATATATATATATATATATATATATGACAAACCTTGTGTTAAACTCTAGAGATTTTTAAAACAGTTAGTGATGAATTGAAACACTTCTTGCCTTCAAAGAGTTCATAGTCTAGCACAGCATTTTTCAACCTCAGCACTATTGACATTATGAGATGGGTAACTCTTAGTTGTCCAGAAGTCAGGGGCCGTGGGTGAGGTGCTGTCCCCACTGGGGAATGTTCAGCGGCATGACCTCTACTCACTAAAATATAGTAGTATCCCCTCTCCCCACAACATATACAGTTGTAACAACCAAAAATGTCTCCAGACATTGTCAAACATCCCTACAAGTAAAAGGGAGGAGATCGCTCCTGGTTAAGAACCACTGGTTTAGCAGAGGAAGTAAATGTGTTCACAAGTCTTTGAAACAAGGTCTGAAAAGTCCTATAATTAAGAAACATTAAACAAATGACGATAACACAATGGAGAGGGAGAGACAGAGAGAGCGCGAGAGAGCAAGGGAGAGAGTGAGAGCTCAAAAACACTTCTGCCTCCAGGAATTTAGTGAGAATACACAGAGGACACCCCTGAGCTGGGTCGTAGAGAAAGAGCAGGCTTTATCATTTTTAGGAGAAGACACATCTCTGCAAATAGTGAAAATGCAAAGATTACTTTCTTCTTTTCCAATTAGCCCATTTCTAGTTTCTTTAACCTCTGATTATAAAAAAAAACGATAAAAAAAACTAATATACTTGAATATGTTCCAGCATGTACTATAGTGTCTGTAGTGAGTTATTATAACTTTCTGTTTCCTTATCATCCTTTTTTTTGAGACAGAGTCTTGCTCTTTCACCAGGCTGGAGCGCAATGGCGCGATCTCAGCTCACTGCAACCTCTGCCTCCCGAGTTCAAGTGATTCTCCTGCCTCAGCCTCCTGAGTAGCTGGGATTACAGGCATGCACCACCACGCCCATCTAATTTTTGTATTTTTAGTAGAGATAGGGTTTCACTGTGTTAGCCAGGATGGTCTCTATCTCTTGATCTTGTGATCTGCCCGCCTTGGCCTCCCAAAGTGCTGGGATTACAGGCATGAGCAACCGCGCCTGGCCGCCTTACCATCCTTTTAAGTGTATGTTGTACTTTCACATACCAGAAGCAGAGCTCAGTCACCCTTGTCACAGCTTTCAGTCCTATACCACCCCTACGACTCAACAAATGTAGTTGAGCTAGATATCTGCTTTATACAACTGCTCACTGGTGACCACTTCTTGATGGGACAGCTAGATGCAGCCTGCAGATGAACCCACTAATCCTCACATCCCGTTGTGGGCTGTACAGATATGCCATAATGACCACCTCTCAGTCACAGTGTTACCTCCTGGAAATTGTGCCTGCTTAAGGTAAACCCACCAAAGAAAACTCCCCAAGAAAAACCTGTTTGGATAATACCCTGGACACAGTAAAGGTATTGGGCCATGGGTCCCTCTCTCTCTCTCATTCCCTGCCTGTACTCCCTTACTTCCAAGTGTGTGGCCTCTAGGCATACTGTGTACCCCCCAGGACCTGTAAGTAATAAAATATTTATTTCTATCTTGTGTCTCTCTTAATCTTAAAGATCCCAAATTAAAACAGCATCATTGAAATATTTTCAGCTGGAAAGTAACAACCACTCATTCATTCACGGAGCAAACGTTACTGTGCATTGTTTCAGAAGTGCTAGTTTTCTGGGACGTGAGATGAGAAAATACAATGCCTGCCTTTGAGGATATGAAAGTGTAATGAAAAACAATCTAGCCAAAAGATATTTTCAATTTTTTATAAACTTTCTTGCTAAGTAGCACGCAATTCGAAAACTGAATGCCTAATCCTTTCAGTAACTTGCCTGCTAGCTGACTTTGGGGCTCACAATCTACAAATGAGGCAGATTTGTAAACAAATATTATAAAATTTAGTATTAAGCACTTTGGTAATGGCATATATGAACTGTTGGGGACTCGGAAGGTCTGGAAGGCTTTTCTAAAGGCATGGTCCTAAAGGACAAAGAGAAGTTCATTATTTGAAGATGTGATCATCAGTAGATGGAACAGCAAATAAGAAGATACGAAAGAACTTAGAATGCTCAGGAGAAGGTTAGAATTCACTATAACAAAAGTAATAGGGTTATTAATATGACTAGTATTCTAAGACTCTCTTAAGAGGTGGGAGCAGGTAGCTCAGTTTACGGGTAGACATTTATGGGTAAGTAACAACATTGGTGAAGTGCAAACACCTCTCTCCTAGCACACACAACACACACATACGTACATTCTTTTTCTTTCACACAGACACAAACACACTCCCATGGACAAAGAAATGCTACGAAGAATTTCCTTCTCTCAAATATGCTGGATGACTCTGTTAGGTTTTCCCACATAGAATGGAGACTTGAGTGTTTAGTCTGGGCCCCACGCATGCAGATAAGCACCAAGTTGGACATATACTTTGAAAGTCCCTTTACCTATTCAGACTGGCAAAAGACAGGCTGATAGATGGAACATTGGGTTCAATTAGCCTCTGTTACACTTTTGGCTGAACTACAGAACATGACCCCTAAAAACAATAGTAGTGAGATCAAAGAGGGTGCCCAGTTCAATTTAGCAAAGCAAATGGCATGGGATTTGTGAAAACTTGTTGATAGACCAGGCGCAGTGGCTCACGCCTGTAATCCCAGCACTTTGGGAGGCTGAGGCGGGTGGATCACCTGAGTTCGGGAGTTCAAGACCAGCCTGGCCAACATGGCAAAACCTTCTCTCTACTAAAAATACAAAAATTAGCTGGGCATGGTGGCGTGTGGCTGTAATCCCAGCTACTTGGGAGGCTGAGGCAGGAGAATCACTTGAACCTGGGAGGCAGAGGTTGCAGTGAGCTGAGATCATGCCATTGCACTCCAGCCTGGGCAACAAGAGTGAAACTCCATCCTAAAAATAAAAAAATAAAAAAAAAAAAAAGAAAAAAGAAAATTTGTTGATACTCACAATGCAACTGGCTTCAAGAAATGAATAGCACTGGCATGTCCACACAGCACCGTGTGTGACACATTCATGCCAATCAAAGTTGCCTTACCTCTTCTTATACCGACACAAGAATAGGTGGATCCCACAACACATGTACATAAGGGACTAAGTAACAGCGATTTAGTATACAACACTGCATGTCATGCAAGCAGAGAAAGACTTCCAGAGCCACTGGGCACGTTCACTCTCAGAAGCCTGGGGTGACTGGGCATTGCAGCAGGTCTCACTCTTCTCCCTTTATGCTTCTCTCCACCCAAGCACTAGTGGATGCTGTCAGCCCCAAGAGATGTGCAGAACCAGTATCTTTGGAATCCCACAAGTATTTGCCTGTCAAGAAAATTAAAGGACAAGAAAGCAACCAGAGCTGGCCTTTTAAAATGCACAAGTCTAGGTAGGGCAAGTGCAGAGAAAAATGTGGAGCTGCCGCTGAAGGCCAAAGATTCAAGGTTAGAATCATTCTTGACTCTTGACTATGTTGACTCGATTAAAGAAAATAACACAGCTCTGTGATGTGAAGAAACATCCACAGGGTATGGATTGGACTAGCCCTTGTTCCATGAGCCCGACTAAGAATTGCAGGAGGAGCACAGTCTTATGTTTATTCATCACTGGCAGATGCTAATACATTTCTGGATCGACATTTGGCAGAAATATGAATAAACACAGAGAATTCACAATCAGATATCAGAGCTAGAAGCTGAATACTACTGATGGATTGATTATGTTTTTGAGCTATTTAGATAATTGGACATACTAAGTACAGAGCTTTCTGCAATGATAATGGACCTGTCCCGTTGTGGTCTATTTAACAAACACCTGGACTATTTTTTTAAAGCTTGTTTACATTCCTGTACATCCTGGCTTTATTGATATTCTGTCCTTTGAATTACAGTGTCACCCTAGCAACGCTCTAGAGAAAGTTGAGGAGGGCATTATCATTGTTAACCCACCTTTCCAAAGTGAATGAAAGCAAACCCCTTCCAGGGTGAATCTGGAGCTGATTTTTCTTATTATGTTAGCCCCAAATACACACCCCCATTTGGCTGTTAGTCAAAGGTGGGGGTGGCTGGAAGAAGAATGTCTTTATATCTTCTTTCTAGACAAACGCGTCTTTCTGCATGAATGTTTTACCGCAGATCCTTCTGCCTGACATGATTGTCCCCAGATCTTTCTATGCCTCACTCCCTTTCATTCAGATCTCTGCTCAAATGTCTCCTCTCAGACCCTTATCACTCTGTCTCAAGTAGGTCCCAAGAGACAAGAGACAGCCTTATTTGAATCTCCTCATAATTCTCACTATCTCAATTGTTATTTCTTGATCATTCATTTCCCGTAAACTCTGTGAGAGCAGGGATCATGACTAGTGCACCAAGTTGGGTCCAAGTTCAGCGGGCAATTTTCACCCTATTTGCAATGTGGCACCTGGTGCTTTAAGCAGTGAGCTTGTGTTGGGCCACATTATTTGGACAGTTCATGTCTTTATAGAAATGAATGTCTGGCTCTCAGCAGATTTTTATGGTCCCCATTAAAAAATTCTCTAGCTCTTCTAGCTTTCTAAGAAGATCTCTCTGCTGACCACTTGAGTACATTTTGTCTAAGAAAGGAGAATTAGCATTGGAACCAAGGCTCTCAAAGTACAATGTAACCTGCAAATGATGTTTATTTTCCGTTTTAACAGTCTCACAGATTCATGTGCATCAGTTTTTAACTCAGTAAAATATTTTTCTTAAAATATAATTCAAGTAAAAACATGTTTTTCTTTTTCCTGAAATGGTGCCAAGGAACCCCATGAATTATAGCAATACTTAGATAAGTTTTTCATGAAGAATAGATAAAATGTCAGATTAGGAATAAATAAATAGTATTATTTACTTCAAAGTTATAAGGCTTGATATTTACAGTCTTTATAGAAGTAAAGGACCCCATGTAATTATCAAATAGTCCTAGGTAGCTCTCTCTCCTGGGGTATTAGCATAACAGTAGAATTCAAATTCTGAATGACTTCTCTGTAATTCAAAAGCTGCTTTATGAGCCTAATAATGACTTACAGTTCAAATAGTTGCGGTTGTAAACAGTAAGAATGGGGAGATTAGACAGTCTTGATTCTTTGGTTTATTTGTAACTTTTTTTGGTCTTTGATCTCATGAAACTTTCAGGAGGCTCCTCCTCTGAAGTGGCAGCACCATTAGCAATTTCCTTTGCAGCAGGGATAGATGGATTGGCATCCTTGCATCAATCTCGTTTTAAATTTGTGGCCCTTGGGCATTTTCAGAATTCAGTTTATTTTTCAATTTTACTTACAAAAATTAAAAATTAGGAGAAGCCAAAACACTGTCAGTGTTGACTGAAGTAAGTTGACAAATTCTCTGAGCATTTATTTGTTTTGTTTTGCTGTTTGTAAATAATCAATTTATGAAAATTGTCTGGGATTTTGAACTTGTGGGTGGCAAACTCTGAACCTCCATGCTCCTTAGAACTTAGATCTGGTGCCACAGCTTGGGTCAATCTTTGCTATGATGTTAAGAGACGAGTTTCAGAATTTTGATTTCTCTCTCTTTTGTTCTCAGTAAAATTTTTAAAAAGTTGAAAATTCCCATCGATTGTTGAAAACAACTTGGAAGCTGACACTGTGGAAGATACGGGGGGCTTGGAGCTTGCCTTGGAAATGAGGAACATTAGCTTGGTTTTTCTTTAGTACTGGCTCCATAATTTGACTACGGTAAGGGATTAAGAGAAAATTGATTAAGTCCGGCGTGGTAGCTCATGCCCGTAATTCCAGCAGTTTGGCAGGCCGAGGCGGGTGGCTCACCTGAGGTCAGGAGTTTGAGACCAGCCTGGCCAAAATGATGGAAATCCCATCTGTATAAAAATACAAAATTTAGCTGGGCACGATGGCAGGTGCCTGTAATCCCAGCTACTCAGGAGGCTGAGGCGGGAGAATCGCTTGAACCTGGGAGGCAGAGGTTACAGTGAGCCAAGATTGCACCACTGCACCTCAACCTGGGCAACAGAGTGAGACCCTATCTCAAAAAAAAAAAAAAAAAAAAAGATTAGAAATTAAAGGAAGTGGTAGTGGGTAGCCACAAAAAGTGTGGGAGTTTAAAAAATAGTGCCTGCATAGAGAGTAGGCTGTTTTTACTTAGATTACGTTTATTTGAAGTGGTTTGTTCTAAATTTATTTGGGGTATGAATAGATGGACCCTGTGGGAAGAAGTTTGTCCTCAAACTTAGAGCACAGTCAGTGCAAAAAGTGAGTGCATCATGTGTAAAGCGGGAGTAATCAATATACGCATCTCTCAGTACTGATTGGAGGATGAACTGACGTAGTATGTGTGAAATCCTTCATACAATGCCCTCACTATTGCCGATGATAATTATTGTTGTGAAAGCCCCAACTACAACCCAAAGTCTAGTGCTTAGATTACCACTGCTCCACTGCTCAATTAGATTACCCTTCCTTTACAATAGAAATTATTTGTTTATGTTTTTGTGTTTGATTAAGTTACCCCATATTAAAAGAAAATGGAAACACCTGAGGAAATAATGGATTTGAGAATTATGTTATTTTCCTTGAAATATATTTAACCCAGAGAAAGCAACAACAAAAATCAACAAAGGAAAAAAAAATCACAAGCTACACACTAAAGACTCTCAAATGGGGATATTTGACTTAAACTTTGAGGAATCATCCTGACTTATTTCATTTAATCAACATATTTTTTTTTCTCTTTCCCCTAAACAGCTGAACTTTACATTGGGTTTAAATATGAATCAACAGAAGATGAATGGAATATTAGTTTCATCTTTTTATCAGACTTTCTCGTTTAACAGTGTTTTCAAAGAATCATTTCTAAAATTACATTTTTAAGGCAATTTTCCCACTTGTATTATGTTTTTGAAGTTCATTGTTCTTGGGAGGTGAAAGACTCCAAATGCTATAAAGCAAAATGTCACACTACAAGTTGTAGGCAAGGGTAATAAACTTGACTTTTCCTTGTAGTGCATTTCAATTAGGTACTTTGGTACCTGGGGCATAAGGATTACTGCATTTCCTTCCGCCAGTACAACTGTTGAGTCATATAACTGTTGAACTATGAGCATGTGAGTATCAATTAATGATACAAATAAACAAATACAAAAGTACGGTCTTCAAGAAAGCAAATTATATAGATGAGTAATTTTTTAACTTGAATTCTGGCACTCTTATGAAAAATCCAAAATATTTAATTTTTGCCATGTAATTCATCTCATCTTCATTATGTGAATGAAATCTTTTTTATTCTACTGTTCATATAGACAAGAAATAAGAAATTTACTGTAAAGTGCTTGTATTGGGAAAGTCATCATCTGCCACAAAAACATTGAAATAAATAAATGGTGGTTTATTAGCAATGTTTACTTACTTAGTGACAATTTTGCTTTCAGGCCAAAATATATCTAATTGTCAAAGGGCAGAATAATCCATTAGTGTAAAATCAGGTCAGAAGCAAAGATTTAGGGGGCCTCCAAGACTTCCAAATGGAATGATCACTTAATGACACTCAATGATACTCTGGACAAAGAAAGTGAATTCACTAACTGATAAAAACTAAATTGTATAAAAACTAACTTGTAAAGTATAAAAGTCAATGAGCAAAGCAGCTTTAATAGAAAATGGAAAAAAAGTTCATCTTATGATTTACATGCGAGATTAATAATAAAAAAACTCTTTCAAAAGATGAGGCATCTGATGTAATTTTGTATCTCAGGATTATAAGATAAAATACACAATGAAAATTCATTTAAAAATTTGCTTACATAAGACGGTTCACAATCATGTAATACTTTCCAATCCATATAATTGCAACATCAGAAATATAAAGCTTACAAGTCTCAAATATTAAAATTATAGAAGATTCAGGAGTCTACCATGTACTTGTCCAATAAGTGGAAAACTCCTAAAGTTGCAGAAACTTTAGAAAAGGTACTTTATTGTGTACAAATAAAAATATGAACTCATTTATCTGGCCCAGCCAAATGAACAAAATCACACTGTCTATACACACAAAGGAATCAAGGTTCTCTACGACTTGTTTTTGTTTTTAGAGGTAATGTTGATATCCTTGACAGATTCTCCAAACCACTATGTACAGGTCAGAGAAGTTGACTCATACATTTAATGAGTTAGATCTATATAGCATTTTCTCGGTTTTCACAGCACTAAAACTTCAATATGATGTCATTTCATATTTTTTCAATTCTTAATATTTGTGAGTATATAGTAGTTGTAAACATTTATAGGGTACATGAGCTATTTTGATAAAGGCATACAATGTATAACAGTCATAGTCACATCAGGGTGAATGGGGTTCCTTTACTTCAAGAATTTATACTTTTCTTCTGTTAGAAACAATCTAATTACACTATTGTAGTTATTTTAATATGTATAATAAGCTATTCCTGACTGTAGTCACCCTGTTGTGCTATCAAATACTAGTTCTTATTTATTCTATCTAACTATATTTTTATATCCAGTAATAATCCCCACTCCACTCCCACCCACTACCCTTCTCAGTCTCTGGTAAACATCATTCTATTTTCTATCTCCATGAGTTGAATTGTTTTAATTTTGAGCTTCCACAAATAAGTGAGAATATATAAAGTTTGCCTTTCCATACCTGGCTTATTTCACTTAACATGATGACCTCCAGTTCCATCCATGTTGTTGCAAATGGCAGGATCTTTATACTTTTTATAGCAGTATAGTACTCTACTGTGAATATATGTACCACACTTTCTTTATCCATTCATCTATTGATGGATCAAATCTTGGCTATCCTGAGCGGTGCTGCAATACACATGGGAGTGCAGATATCTCTTTGATATGCTGGTTTCCTTTCTTTTAAGTATATACCTAGCAGTGGGATTGCCGGATCATATGGTAGTTCTGTTTTTAGTTTTTTGAGGCACTTCTCAACTGTTCTCCATAGTGGTTGTACTAATTTACATTCTCACCAAAAGTATATGAGGATTCCCTTTTCTTCACACTCTTGCCTGCATTTTTTATTGCCTACCTTTTGGATAAAAGCCATTTTAACTGGGGTGAGATGCTACCTCATTGTAGTTTTGATCTACGTTTCTCTGATGATCAGTGATGATAAGCACTTTTTAAACACCTGTTTGCTATGTGTGTGTCTTCCTTTGAGAAATGTCTATTCAGATCTTTTGCCCATTTTTAAATCAGATTATTGCCTTTTTTTTTTCTATAGTGTTGTTTGAGTTTCTTATATTTCATTTCATCTTTAAAACAACCTCACGAAAGAGCTGGCATTAGCATTAGTGTCAGCATTTAAGTAACAGACAAATGGACTGGGCGCGGTGGCTCGTGCCTGTAATCCCAGCATTTTGGGAGGCTGAGGCGGGCAGATCACGAGGTCAGGAGATCGAGACCATCCTGGCTAACACGGTGAAACCCCGTCTCTACTGAAAACACAAAAAAATTAGCCAGGCGTGGTGGCGTGTGCCTGTAGTCCCAGCTACTCGGGAGGCTGAGGCAGGAGAATGGCGTGAATCTGGGAGGTGAGGCTTGCAGTGAGCCGAGATTGCGCCGCTGCACTCCAGCCTGGGCGACAGAGCGAGACTCTGTCTCAAAAAAATAAAAATAAAAAATAAAAAATAACAAAATAACAGAGAAATGAACCTCATAGACTACAGTGACTAGTCCAGGGACATGAAATTAGCAAGAGTCAGAACTTTTTACATTCAGGTTTCATGTTACCACTGAATGCTAGAAACACACATATACACAAGTAATTAAATAAAATGTACGAAATTCTGATCTGAACTCCTCCTTACTTTTTCTGAGCCTGCATTTGGAATGTTGTTGCATTGATATACATGGGTATTTTAAAATGCGTGATTTTTATACTAAATTAATTTCTTTTTTTGTAAAACTTTCAATGAATATTGTATGAACCTGAGGCAAAGATGCAGAATCAGTTTTAAGATTATTTTGCATAACATATTTGCACAATGTAAGTAATACTACCTGAAGGGAAAAGAGCATTTGATAACATGGTGTGCTACCTTTCAAGATTTTAGCTTTGCCTGTTCTTGGTGTCATGTACAACCAGCAAGGCCATCTTTTAAAATTTAAATGCCTCATACACATTAGCTGAGGGAATGATGAATTCTATTTTCAAAAAAGTACAGTGGGTTTCAAATGTCACTTCTGAACCATTCCTTAATTGCCTATCTAAGAAAAGATTCAACTGAAAAAAAAAGGATAAATTTAAAATTGAATAGCTGGAGAATACTTAGATACGTAGGTGATACTGAATAGAAATATCTTTTTGAAAATATAAATGTGCCTAATTGTATTAACCATGAGTTTTTATTTTAAAAAAGGAAAGAAAAGACATCAATTTTTGGCATCTAGAGAAAAAAATTTACCTTGGGGCAGATTCTGCCTTTCTTATGCAAAATAGTGGGGCTGAAGGGAGTGTGTACTAGGAAGGTTTTCCAAGAGTCAGGCCATTACTAATTGTTTCTTTCCTCTGCCTAAAGAAGTTATGCTCATTACTTGGATGTCTCTATTGTCATTACTAACCTAAGGAAGGACAGAATAGTTGAGTAACTGTGTGGCTAGCCTATGTTCTCATACGACTCACAGTCTTCCTTCACAAAATTTATTTAATGCACTTTCTATGACATAATTATTAATTCATTTGTTTCCAGGTGAAATTTATTTCTGACCACTGTAGCTCCAGTAAAGAAGGCATTCAAATATCTGTGAAATGTAAACCAAGAATAAAATCCTAAGCCCTCCACTGAGTGAATGGACCAACCCCTGATCCTCACCCCCCTGCTGCCCACCTCACCCCAGTGACCAAGTGGATTCCAGAGAAACCCTAAAAACTGAGTTCCTGGCCATGACAGGAAGGGAGGCCAGACCTGCCTCCTTATATTCTCTCCCTTTTAGAGTTTAGACAAAACACTGGCCAGCTTTCATGTTAAATAGAGATCCCAAGACTGATAAAGCAGACTCTTTGTGACAATAAGATACCAAATTATGAACAAGACCTAAGGCCTTGCCAGGCAAGGGTTAAACCATGCCTGCAGGACAGCAGTATGGCTTAAAAGGTCTTTCTAACCCAGTATGTTGTGGCTGACACTGACATCGCATGCCTATCTTAACTTAAACATTCCTTTCTGCTGACTCCAAGTTTTAGACAGAGCCTTACTCCTTCAACCAATTGCAAATTAAAGAGTTTCTGAACCCACCCATAACATGTAAGCCCTCTGCTTCAAGATATCCTGCTTCTGGGGGCTGAAGCAATGTATAGCTTCCATGTATTGATTTATGTCTTTGCCTCTAACACCTGCCTCCCTAACCTATATGTAAAACCAAACTGTAATCTAACTGGCTCAGGACCACTTACTCAAGGATTCTTGGGTTTATGTTTTCTCCAGGCCACAGTCACTCAAATTGGCTCAGACTTAACATTGTAAATGTCTTTAAAATATTTTACAGAGTATGGTTTTTCCATTGACAGAATAGAACGATCATAATGACTGCTTACAAAATATCTGGTTTCTATTGTTTTATTATTATTACTGTTATTCAGACAGGGTCTCGCTGTCACCCAGGCTAAAGTGCAGTGACGTGATCTAGGTTGATTGCTACCTCCACCTTCTGGGTTCAAGTGATCCTCCCATCTCAGCCTCCTGAGTAGCTGGGACTACAGGCACCCACGACCTAATTTCTTTCTTTATTTTATTTTTTGTAGCGATGGGGTCTCGCCACATTGCCCAGTTTGGTCTTGAACTCCTGAGCTCAAGCCAGCCATCTGCCCTCCTCGGCCTCCCAAAGTGTTGGGATTACAGGCATGAGCTACCACACCCGGCCTATTTATCTTTTTATTGAAGGTTCGGTTTAATTTTTAATTTTCTTCTCTCAATCATTATCACCATCATTGACTGTCTTTTTTCTGTCTTATTCATCTCTTTATGTTTGCCTGTGGTCATTACTTCTAAATATGTGAAGAATGGCCATTTCTCACATTCCACAGATAGACTCTAAATGTTCCTTATGGGTCCTTAAACAGAGTGTTTTGAAATTCCCAAGTTATCCTCCTCGAGAGTGGGATTAATTTCATTTTATCCTGAATTGTGTAAATACTAGCCTTGAAAGCAGCATGTTCTCCCTCAGTACAGACCTGGTCTTAAAATATTTCCAGGCATCAGCAACACAGCCTAGAATATTGTTTAAAATCATCCACACCCTCTACAACATGGTCCAAAGAGATCTTAGCTTCTAATTCCCATTTAGTACATTCCACACCATTGAGTGCAACCTAAGCCTGTAGTAAATTGTGCACCAAGAAGACCTAAGGAAGCAATTATTTCATCTTATGCACTTTCTCAATTATTATCCTCCATGCACAGTCAGGGGTACAGTTCTCTGAAGTAAAAATGGCAATGTCTTTATTTCTCATGATTTAGAAAGCTGGTCAACCATAATGTTGAACTGCATTGACTTTCTAATTCAGGAGGAAAGTCTTTCTTTACCAGCTTAGTGGTGTGGCCTCACAGTCAGTGGGATTGTCAAAGGTGAGCATTATCTTTTGATTGGAAGAAAAAAAGCAAATAGCCTGGTTCCCACCTTCACTTAAATTCCACCCAGCACATACTCTAGAGAGAGCGATCTTATAGGTGCTGCTAGCTGGAAAGGTATTTGGAAAAATATCCATGC